>NC_000001.11:47129592-47432622 GCF_000001405.40 Homo sapiens
TGAGGTTAAAAAAACCTTTGTTTTTGAATAAATAAATGAGTGAATAAGTGAATAATTCTATGAGATATTCAGAGAAGTGCCTGTAATCGCAGCACTTCGGGAGGCCGAGGTGGGTGGATCACGAGGTCAGGAGATCAAGATATTCAAAGAAATGATTGTAATCCCCCCCATTTTAGTTTTCTATGGCTATTGTGAAAAAAAATAATACCAGAAAGTTGGTGGATGTAGCAGTCCTGCACCTGTTTTCCCACCTTTCTTGACCACAAAGAAAGGGGTCCAGGCTGCTGGATTCTAGTGGACCTTTACCAGTGTGCCCGACATTGCGTTTGTGCTCAGAGGTGAGTCCCAGAGCTGGGCTGGGTTCCCGAGTACTTCCTATTAACCCAGGTGCCCCATCAAGATGCATTCCTACAAGCAACAGTTCTCTCTTATGCAAATTCATTTCAGAGAGGGTGTGGGTAACCTATTGAGTCAGAATTGAGACAGAGTTTTTTGATTCTGTAAGTACTTTAAGGCTTGGCTGAGTGCAAACAGCTTGCATGTTTGAGCAGACCAGTTATTAGGCAATTTTCTTAACTCTGCTTCTACAGGACTTTCCCTCAATTATTGAATACCCATTGTGTTTTTTTCTCAATCACCTGGGAGGAACCATCTATTGTCTTGTCCTGAAGGGAGTTCCTCCTAGATCTGGTTGGGCCTTTGTATGGTAATTAAGATTTAAATCCCCTGTTAGGAAATCTGCTGGGGTAAGGGAATTTTCAATGGTTAATGTTAAATTATCTTTTTCTAACAGAATAGCCCCATACTTTGAGATTTTTGAGTTAGCAACCTACCCTTTTTGCTTTTTTAACTTAGGATAGTTCTGAACTGGTGAGGTGGGCTCACAATGAGGTTTCCTCTAGAGGCTAATTTTCTACTTCCTTCTGTTAGCAAAGCAGTCGCTGCAACTGATGAATGCATTTCGGCCATCTGCAGGTTCCTGGGTTAAGGATTTTTGATAAGAAGGCTACTGGTTGTCAGTGGCCTCAGTGCTTTTGGGCTATGCCCTTGTTTACACGGACAACAAAGTGGTATTGGAGTGTTATAGGGTCACAGAGAAAACTTCCAATTATCAATTATAGGTTTTAAATTTACCCTGGCTTTTAAAGAAATAGGATATACTGTTTTTTCTTTACTACTTCTATCTTTCTCTTTCTCTCTTTCTTTCTCCTTTCTGTCTTTGTAGATGCATTTTGGAAACACAGTGGAAGGATGTTCGCTCATTGCCCTCATTTGCCACTATATGAATATGCGCCTCCCTTTTATTTACTCAATTTGTTTTCATCCTGATCTATTATGTTGTTGTAGACCCTGTTTCAGTTGTTAAAATACTAGGTTATCAGTTCTAAGACCCTGGTAAGGGTTGTGGGGAACGGGTCCCACATAACTGCCCATGTGGAGAGCTGTATGCCTAAATTGGGAGGGACACCAGGGACAAGACTCCCTGGGTTTATAGCCTAGGGGCCTGAGGATGCAGCATAGAGCTTCCTTAGATCCCTTTGGAGATACAACCTGCTCTAATACTTGGGAGAGGAAGTGAAAGCCTGAAGCATTAGTGTCTAGGAGGTAGGGATCAGAGGAAGTCGATTCAGAAGTTAGGAGAATTTTGGGGCTACACTTTCAAGAAAGTCATGGTCAGGACCCAGGAGGTATGAGTCAGAAGGAAAGGTAGGGTCACACACATTGGCCTGTTGTGGGGTGGGGGGAGGGTGGTGGGATAGCATTAGGAGATATACCTAATGTAAATGAGGAGTTAATGGGTAGAGCACTCCAACATGGCACATGTATACATATGTAACAAACCTGCACGTTGTGCACATGTATCCTAGAACTTAACATATAATATAAAAAAAGGAATGAAATCATGTCCTCTGCAGCAACGTGGATACAGCTGGAAGCCATTACCCTAAGCCGATTAACACAGTAACAGAAAACTAAATACCGCATGTTATCACTTATAACTGGGACCTAAACATTGGATACACACAGACACAAAGATGGGAATGGTAGACACTGAGGACTCCAAAAAGGGATGGGATGGAGGGAGGGGGAAAGGATGGAAAAGCTACCTATTAGGTACTGTGTTCACTACCTTGGTCAAACTTTAGCATCATGTGATATACTCATGTAACAAACCTGCACATGTACCCTCTGAATCAACATTTTAACACATAAAATTTTAAAAAAAGAGAAAAAAAAAGAAATAAAGCCATGCACCTACAGCCATCTGATCCTCAACAAAGTCAACAAAAATAAGCAATGGGAAAAGGACTCCCTATACAATAAATTGTACTGGGAAAACTGGGTGACCATATGCAAAAGAATGCAACTGGACCCTGACTTTTCACCATATAAAAATTAACTTAAGATGGATTAAAGGGGCTGGGCACGATGGCTCATGCTTGCAATCCCAGCACTTTGGGAAGCCGAGGAGGACAGATAGCGAGGTCAGGAGATCGAGACCATCCTGGCTAATATGGTGAAACCCCGTCTCTACTAAAAATACAAAAAATTAGCTGGGCATGGTGGTGGGCGCCTGTAGTCCCAGCTACTCAGGAGGGTGAGGCAGGAGAATGGCATGAACCCAGGAGGCTGAGCTTGCAGTGAGCCAAGATCGAAAAAAAAAAAAATGATGGATTAAAGGTTTAAATGTAAGACCTGAAACTATAAGAATCCTAGATGAAAACCTAGGAAACATGATGATTTACATCAGCCTTGAGAAAGAATTTATAACTAAGTTCTCAAAAGCAATTGCAAAAAAGTAAAAATTCACAAGTGGGACTTAATTAAAGTGCTTCTGCACAGCAAAAGAAACTATAAACAAAGTAAACAGACAACCTACAGAATGGGAGAAAATATTCGCAAACTATGCATCTGACAAAGGTCTAATATCCAGAATCCCTAAAGAAATTAAACAATTCATTTTTTTATTATACTTTAAGTTCTGAGATACATGTGCAGAACGTGCAGGTTTGTTACATTGGTATAGATGTGCCATGGTGGTTTGCTGCACCCATCAACCTGTCATCTACATTAGGTATTTCTCCTAATGCTATCCTTCCCCTAACCCACCATCCCAGACAGGTCCCCATGTGTGATGTTCCCCTCCCTGTGTCCATGTGTTCTCATTGTTCCACTCCCACTTATGAGTGAGAACATGTGGTGTTTGGTTTTCTGTTCTTGTGTTAGTTTGCTGAGAATGATGGTTTCCAGCTTCATCCATGTCCCTGCAAAGGACGTGACGTCATCCTTTTTTATGGCTGTATAGTGTTCCATGGTGTATATGTGCCACATTTTCTTTTTCCAATCTATCATTGATGGGCATTTGGGTTGGCTCCAAATCTCTTCTATTGTGAACAGTGCCACAATGAACATACGTGTGCATGTGTCTTTATAGTAGAATGATTTATAATCCCTTGGGTATATACCCAGTAATGGGATTGCTGGGTCAAATGGTATTTCTGGTTCTAGATCCTTGAGGAATTGCCACACTGCCTTCCACAATGGTTGAATTAATTTGCACTCCCTCCAACAGTGTAAAAGTATAGGGAAAAGAAAGAGAGATCAGACTGTTACTGTGGCTATGTAGAAAGGAAAGACATAAGAGACTCCATTTTGAAAAAGACCTGTACTTTAAACAATTGCTTTGCTGAGATGTTGTTAATTTGTAGCTTTGCCCCAACCACTTTGCCCCAGCCACTTTGACCCAACCTGGAGCTCATAAAAACATGTGCTGTATGAAATTAAGGTTTAAGGGATCTAAGGCTGTGTAGGACGTGCCTTGTTAAAAAAATGTTTACAAGCAGTATACTTGGTAAAAGTCATCACCAGTCTCTAGTCTCAACAAACCAGGGGCACAATGCACTGCGGAAAGCCACAGGGACCTCTGCCCTTGAAAGCTGGGTATTGCCCAAGGTTTCTCCCTATGTGACAGTCTGAAATATGGCCTCGTGGGATGAGAAAGACCTGACTGTCCCCCAGCCCAACACCCGTAAAGAGTCTGTGCTGAGGTGGATTAGTAAAAGAGGAAAGCCTCTTGCAGTTGAGATAGAGGAAAGCCACTGTCTCCTGCCTGCCCCGGGAACTGAATGTCTTGGTATAAAACCCGATTGTACATTTGTTCAATTCTGAGATAGGAGAAAAACCGCCCTATGGTGGGAGGCGAGACATGTTTGCAGTAATGCTGCCTTATTATTCTTTATTCCGCTGAGATGTTTGGGTGGAGAGAAACATAAATCTGGCCTACGTGCACATCCAAGCATAGTACCTTCCCTTGAACTTAATTATGATATAGATTGTTTTGCTCACATGTTTTTTGCTGACCTTCTCCTTATTATCACCCTGCTCTCCTACTACATTCCTTTTTGCTGAAATATTGAAAATAATAATCAATAAAAACTGAGGGAACTCAGAGACTGGTGCTTGTGCAGGTCCTTGGTGTGCTGAGTGCCGGTCTCCTGGGCCCACTGTTGTTTCTCTATACTTTGCCTCTGTGTCTTATTTCTTTTCTCAGTCTCTTGTCCCACCCGACTAGAAATACCCACAGGTGTGGAGGGGCAGGCCACCCCTTCATAAAAGCATTCCTATTTCTCCACATCCTCTCCAGCATCTGTGGTTTCCAGACTTTTTAATGATTGCCATTTTAACTGGCATGAGATGGTATCTCATTGCGGTTTTGATTTGCATTTCTCTAATGACCAGTGATGATGAGCTTTTTTTGCTCTGTTTTTTGGCTACATAAATGTCTTCTTTTGAGAAGTGTCGTTTCATATCCTTTGCACACTTTTTGATGGGGTTGTTTTTTTCTTGTGAATTTTGTTTCGGTTCTTTGTAGATTCGCGATATTAGCCCTTTGTCAGATGGATAGATCGCAAAAATTTTCTCCCATTCTGTAGGTTGCCTGCTCACTCTGATGACAGTTTCTTTTGCTCTGCAGAAGTTCTTTAGTTTAATTAGATTCCATTTGTCAATTTTGGCTTTTGTTGCCATTGCTTTTGATGTTTTGGACATGAAGTCCTTGCCCATGCTTATGTTCTGAATGGTATTGCTGAGGTTTTCTTCCAGGCTTTTTATGGTTTTACATCTTAAGTTTTTAATCCATCTTGAGTTAATTTTTGTATAAGGTGTAAGGAAGGGGTTCCAGTTTCAGTTTTCTGCATATGGCTAGCCAGTTTTCCCAGCACCATATATTAAATAGGAAATCCTTTCCCCATTGCTTGTTTTTGTCAGGTTTGTCAAAGATCAGATAATTGTAGATATGTGGTGTTATTTCCGAGGCCTCTGTTCTGTTTCTTTGGTCTGTATATCTGTTTTGGTACCAGTACCATGCTGTTTTGGTTACTGTAGACTTGTAGTATAGTTTGAAGTCACGTAGCATGATGCCTCCAGCTTTGTTCTTTTGGCTTAGGATTGTCTTGGCAATGCGGGCTCTTTTTTGTTCCATATGAAATTTAAAGAAGTTTTTCTAATTCTGTGAAGAAAGTCAATGGTACCTTGATGGGAATAGCACTGAATCTATAAATTATTTTGGGCAGTATGGCCATTTTTACTATATTGATTCTTCCTATCCATGAGCATGGAATTTTTTTCCATTTGTTTGTGTCCTCTTTTATTTTGTTGAGCAGTGTTTTGTAGTTCTCCTTGTAGAGGTCCTTCGCATCCCTTGTAAGTGGTATTCCTAGGTATTTTATTTTCTTTGTAGCAATTGTGAGTGGGAGTTCACTCATGATTTGGCTTCTGTTTGTCTCTTATTGGTGTGTAGGAATGCTTGTAATTTTTGCATGTTGATTTTGTATCATGAGACTTTGCTGAAGTTGCTTATCAGCTTAAGGAGATTTTGGACTGAGACGATGGGGTTTTCTAAATATACAATCATGTCATCTGCAAACAGGGACAATTTGACTTCTGTTTTCCTATTTGAATACCCTTTATTTCTTTCTCTTACCTGTCCAGAACTTCCAATACAAGCAAAAAACAAACAACCCCATTAAAGACACAGACACTTCTCTAAAGAAGACATATGAGCAGCCAACAAATATTGAAAAAAATGCTCGACATCACTAATCAACAGAAATGTGAATGAAAACCACATCTCACACAAGTCAGAATGGCTATTATTAAAAAGTTTCAAAGCAACGTATGCTGGCTAAGCTGCAGAAAAAAAAAAATCATGTGTATACATTGTTTGTGGAAATGTAAATTAGTTCCGCCACTGTGGAAAGCAGTTTGGAGATTTCTCAAAGAACTTAAAATAGAAGTACTATTTGACCCAGCAATCCCAATGTTAGCTATCTATCCAAAAGAAAATAAGTTGCTCTACCAAAAAGACACCTCTACTCATACATTCATCACAGCACTATTCGCAATAGCAAAGACATGGCATCAACCTTGGTGCCCATCAATGGTGGACTGGATAAAGAAAATGTGATACATATACACAGTGGAATACTAGGCAGCTGTAAAAAAAAAATAATGAAATCATGTTCTTTGCAGCAAATGGATGAATTGGGAGGCAATAATCCTAAGCAAATTAACACAGCAACAGAAAACCAAATACCACATGTTCTCACTTATAAGTGGGAACTACATGTTGGATACTTATGGACATAAATATGGGAATGATAGACACTGGGGACTACTAGAGGGGTAGGTACAGATATGAGTAACCATTGGAAATTTGACTAATATATACCATACTCACTACCTGAGTGGCAGAATCATTTGTATCCAAACCTTCAGCATCACACAATATACCAGTGTAAAAAACCTGCATACGTACCTGAATCTAAAATAAAAGTTGAAATTATAAAAAGAGGAACAAAAACAATGCTCATGCACAGATATGCATGTAAAAATGCCAGGGAGGGTTAATTCATAGCAATAGTTACTATTTAACCTACTTTACTTGAGGTTGACAAAGAAATCATTTTTTAAATATTAATTTCTGTTTAGTACAGATTGTCCTTAGTCAGGGCTCCTAAACAGACTGCAAAGTTCTGATTGTATAATTACATACTATTGTAGGATGAAAGAGAATTGGTAAACAGGCTCCTGCTGTGGCTATAGTACTAGACTGAAGTAGGACTAAAATTGCTCTAGGACTTTCTCTGGTAGAGAAGGTAGACCTATCAATGGGGGAAAAAGTCATAACTAACATGATGTAGAATTTTTTTAAATTGTCATGTATATGAATTGAGAAAAAAATCATGCTATGGATATTATGAGACCAGTCTCCCCAATGGAATAAAATAAAGTACTTGAACAGCTGCCATGTTAGCATCTGTTTGTCCATATCATCATCCAGTTAATAGAAAGACATAATTCCCACTCCTCACTCAATATATAGATGGAAGTGGTTTTTATGGTAAATAAAATTAGATTGCAATAAGACAAAAGTAATGATTCAGGGCTTGGTTAATGTTAAGTTTAAATATACATATCATGTTGAGAATTTTCTTTGAACACATAACAAAAAAAAAGTGCTACTGAATGAACATTATTGCAATGTAGTAAAGCAGAATGCAAATTCCTTGAGGTCAGCATTCAAGTCTGTTTTCCTCGCAGCGGTGCCCACACCCCTAGCATACTGCCTGGCACACAGTAAATGCTCATTAAATATTTGTGAGGTACATGGACAGGGGAATGTGGTAGACAGCTGATGAAGCTGTTCTCCCACTGTTCCCCTAGGTGGATCATCCAAAGTCAATCGATTCTGAACTCTGAGGTCCAAGTTCTGCCCTCCCCCTTCACTCTCCCCACAAGTGGGCGGGACAATCCTCCCATGACTTAAGCACAGGTGGACAGGGGTGGTCAGAGAGAGGAAGGGGCACTCAGAGATCCAGCAGGTGCTGCACCATGAGTGTCTCTGTCCTGAGCCCCAGCAGACGCCTGGGTGGTGTCTCCGGGATCCTCCAAGTGACCTCCCTGCTCATTCTGCTTCTGCTGCTGATCAAGGCAGCTCAGCTCTACCTGCATAGGCAGTGGCTGCTCAAAGCCCTCCAGCAGTTCCCGTGCCCTCCCTCCCACTGGCTCTTCGGGCACATCCAGGAGGTAGGGAGGAACTCAGTGGGGGAGTGGGAGGGCAAGGAGGGATGCGGCTCTGAGACCCTGGTCACAAAATCCATAGAGCAAAGCCTTGTTTTGTAACAAACGTGAGGCCTCATAGGAACACCCAGCCTACCTCTCTGGTTTCAGCTTGTCCCAGTCATGAGGAGCTCACTCCTCCCATGAAGCCCATCCTGCTGGTCCTCAGCTCTATCACACATGCCCTCCTTCTGCAGATATCAAGTGTGTCTTGGCAGTCCTGCACATGGAGGGCAATGCCTGATTGTCTCCAGACTGATTACCCCATAAGCCTTGGCTTTTCTCAAAGAACAAGGCTTCTAGATGCTCCCTGTCCAGTCACTCAATGCCATTGTCTCTGCCTGGCCCTGCATTTGCCTGGGAGCACAGACACCCATCTGAGGACTCTGTGCCATGAGGAGTTCATGGTCTGTGAAGAATACAGGCAGGAATTTGAGAAGGTGTCAGACTGCAGGAAAAGAGCTCACTCTGCTGGGGTGGATATCTGAGGCAGAGATCTGCTGGTGTAGGGGACCAACTGGCTAAGTAAGTTTCCCCAAGGCTCACGGAATTTCCACAACAGGTGATTTAGGACCTGAAAACCTGACAATTGTGGGTACACATGAAGGGGGCAGCCTGCACAATGTCCTCCAAGTGAGGAGACTGGTGTTTGAGTTGCACATTGAACAGGGTGTATTGACCTCCTGGCTCTCCTCCCACGCACCCAGACTGTGAGCTCCCTGGAGGTGAGCATGTCATCCCCTTCCTGTGCCCCGGCAATCAGCAAAATCCTGGCACAGCTTGATGGTCAGCTCAGGTGAATAGAGCAAGCTTGTCCAACCCATGCCCCATGGGGCTGCATGTAGCTCAGGATGGCTTTGAATGTGGCCCGACACAAATTCGTAAACTTTCTTAAAACATTATGAGATTATTTTGCAATTTTTTTGAGCTCATCAGCTATCATTAGTGTTCGTGTATTTTATGCACGGCCCAAGATAATTATTTTTCTTCCAATGTGGCCTAGGAAAGCCAAAAGATTGGACACACCAGGTGTAGAGGAACAGAGGAAGAAGAGAAAGGAGCAGCAAGAGGGCTGAGGAGGGACACAGCCCATCCCCTGTGCACTGCTATCCCTGCATGGGGAGAGGGGCGGGTAGGAACAGAGCAAGGTAAACGGCTGCATGGAGAGGGACTCACCAAGGTGCTATGAATTGAACACACTTAAGTAGAGATAGGGGTTGCAGGGAGCTGAGGCCTATTGTTTCTCAGCAAAGGAGGCAACATAGTTCTCAGCAGAGCAGAACCAATGTGGGGACCTGACAAAGTTCTAGCCCTATATGGACTGGTCCCAATACCACTCCACCTTCTTTCCCATTCTCCTCTTTTACCATATGTTACTCACTACCTCACTACCTGCCTCTGCATTTCAACCTCTAGGCCTCTGATCACAATGTGCTTGCTACCTGGAATTATTTTCTCACTCATATCTATCGGTCAAGGCCCAGCACCAAGCTACCTTCTTCAAGAAGGCCTCCTGGGTCTCCCAGAAGTGAAGGGCCGACTCTTTTTTCTATGGGCTATCCTCAAGAGGCCAGAGCAGTGTTAACTTGACTTAGTTACTGTTCTGCAGTGTCATAAGTGTGGGATTCTTCTGGGAGAGACCATCTCTGATTTATGTTTGTAACCTAATAGTCCCTCAGTAAATGATGACTCAGTGAGTGAGGAAGAGCTTTCTAATGTTCAGTTCTGAGTTAGGTCCCTCTTCAAAGCTTCCCCAGATGCTTGTCCTTCATTCCATCTCATGTCCATTATCCCCTACTGCACAGCCTCTAATCTTCCTTACCCCCCAACTAGACTGAAAATTCCACACAGATAAGGACCACAGCTGTGTCCTAACGCAGTGCCTGAGCCACACTGGGCACATAGTATGTGTGCAGTAAGCATGGGCTGAATGAAGGAGCCTACCCCACAGTAGGGCAAGCTGCCTCAGAGCTGGACAATATGATTATCAGAAGGAGGTGGGCAGACATTAGATACTTATGTGGTAGACAGTTGCTTTGAGTTACTAGAAGCAGTTGAAATAAAGAAGAGTTGGCTACATGGAACATCACTAGGACCCAATGTCTTTGAGGGTTCCAGATGAGATTAAAGCAAAGCTGAGTCTTGAAAGCTGAGGAGAGGTGGCTGCTCTGTGGCAGATGGAAGGGCATTCAAGGTAGAGAAAAGAGCAAGTGCCAGGGCCCAGAAGAGTGAGCAGGTGTAGCTGGTGTGTGAATCAGCAGCAGTGGTGGCATCGGCGTTGGAGCTGAAACAAACGGGTGATGGTGGAATTGCCAGCAGGGCTGGAGGCAAGAAAAGAGAAGTTGAAGCCAGAAAGCCAAGGGCTTTGTGATCCACATCGAAGAGTTTAGAAAGATGACTGCAGGCAGCAGGGAGCTCATAATTCATTGATAAGTGAAAATGAGAATAAGAAACCCAAATCTCAAAATTATAGTCCAACACCAGCACCATATGCATATACTCAGACTCCATCCCATAAATCTGTACATATTCAACATGTAGAATACTATTATGCACACAATTTTATAGTTAATCTTTTTTTGCTTAGCCATACACATCCCAAATGCTATTTTATCTCAACAAATATTTACCATATATTCTGGGACAATATTGAAAATATAACAAGTATGATTATATAAAATTATTGTGTAATTTAAAATGTTCACATTAATTCATTTTATTCTCTAGATATACCAAATGATTTTACAAATCTGCTCATCAAGTAATACGAGTTATGCACATTGCCCAAGGAAATTGTTGTATTTATGACTTCCAGAGATGTTACACAACATGAAGACAATGGCTGACTTAAATTTCTGCTGGCAGCATTGAGTGAGGGCTCATAGCGCTTGGCCTAAGGTCAAGTCCTGGGGAGATACAAAGAATCTGGATCACAGCTCAGGTCATCAGAAACAGATCTAAATCCCTAACCCGTGCTACATGGCTCCTGTAGTTGTCCTGCCCTTCACTCCTGCTGCAAAGACTAGAAGTAAATGAAAGTGTTCATCTGTCTACCCTCGTTGACAGTTCCAACACGACCAGGAGCTACAACGGATTCAGGAACGGGTGAAGACATTCCCAAGTGCCTGTCCTTATTGGATATGGGGAGGCAAAGTTCGTGTCCAGCTCTATGACCCTGACTATATGAAGGTGATTCTGGGGAGATCAGGTGAGATCGAACCCCCATCCCAACTGCAATTTCTCTTCCCTCTTGACACATGCCCCTGGGTCTGTAAAATTCCAGAAGAGAGTGGCTGTTCAAACATCAATATCTGAAACCTCTCCCACGCATCCACCAAGCCCACCATGCCCAGGCTGTAGTCAAAAATATTTACTGAATACTGAATGTTTAAAACAATATGTGGGGCTGAATTTTCTATTCTTTTTTCTATTTCTCTATTAAGAAAATTGAGGTTTTCTGAAACGTAAATTGCCCCAGATCTGTAAAACAAATTTCATACCCACATTGACTTGGGTTTCGAAGCTCTAATTGTTGCCTGTCCTGGTCAGGAGGTGACTAGGAAAACATCAATGTAGAAAAACCCATGGCTCTGTATTATTCATTGTCATTGAAGACCTAGCCTATGTATCTCACCAATTCACCTTCCTAGCCCTCTGGGTGTTTTCCTGCTGGAACACTGAGTCTGTCTTCCTGAGCCCACATTGACCTTCAGGACAGAAATAGAAGTGGATGGGAGTCAAGTGGGAGGTGACATGGGTCAAACTGCCAACTGACAGACACCAAGAACTGATGCTGCCTCTGAGACTGCCTTCTTAGTAACTCCTAGTTTCCTATAAAGCCCTTTCTTACTTTTCAGACCCGAAATCCCATGGATCCTACAAATTCCTGGCTCCACGGATTGGTATGTGTGCAAACTAGGACTGCAGCCCACTCCCTAGTTAGGTTTGAGTTATTTATTTGGCTCACAGAGAACAACAGATTAGAGGCCACCACTATCATGACCTCATCCCCAAATCAAGCCTCATTTCCCTCTTCTAACAAGACCCTCACCCCTTCCTAATGCTGGTGCAAACCTTCCTGAGGCTCAGCTTCTTCCATTTCATGTCTCAGTTCTCTCCAGACATCCTTGGCTTCACATTTATTTTACATCTGCCCACAACCCTTTTCAACCTTTATCTCACAGCTGTCATAATCACATGGATGTAGCAGCTCAATTAGAAAATTCACATGCCTGAAATATACCTCCTTTTCCTGCATTTGCCCATGATGTGGCTTCTTCTGGATAGTTCTTCCCCCAGGAAGCCACCTTTCTCCCTCCCAAATTGTCACCAGTCATCCCTAGGTCCGTGCAGCCTCTGATACACACACATACACATATTCGTGTCTACCTTAGGGTACGGCTTGCTCCTGTTGAATGGGCAGACATGGTTCCAGCATCGACGGATGCTGACCCCAGCCTTCCACAATGACATCCTGAAGCCATACGTGGGGCTCATGGCAGACTCTGTACGAGTGATGCTGGTGAGTCCATGTCTCTCTCCTCTCCCCACACCCACTCACAGCACACACTCTCACCAACTCCACTCTCAACCCTGTGTCCCACAGGCAGCCATAGACATAGACACATGGAACAACACTCTCAGGTCATTGCTGTGAGAGTAGAGGGTTCCCCAGAGTTGTATAAGGTAGGAGAACACCCAGGCATCAGGTCATATCCACACTTTGTTCCCCACCATAGGAATAGAGATTCATGGTGAACACAAGGCCCTTCTCCTCCCACTTTGGAACCTCAGCACAAGGGACTGGAGGCATATGCAATCTTGTTGGACAGTAGGACTTCCTATGCTGGCTGGCCTGGGCAATGGCAGCTTCAGTGGCAGCATGGACAGGCCAAGATGTCACCCACCCAGGCTCTGGCCTGGGGCCCCAGGTTTCTGCATGGATTTAAGCCACCCTGGGAAGGAAATGAACACCAGGTCTATGTTCTCAGAGCAATACCTTCCATAGATAGCATCATCTCCAGTCAGGACTCTGATTTCTCACCCAACTGTGCCCAGCACATTTTGATGAATGGAAAAGAATTGAAGTCCCTGTTTTCTCTACAACACAGTGCCCATACTAGCCCCTTAAGCTATCTTTGGCACTGAAACTTTCTGCCCTAAAGTTGGTGTCCTACTAGTCCCTCAGAACTAGCTCAGCTCTCAGAACACTGAAGAGTCCCCCATTATTTATCCCAGAACAACAATAACAACAAAATTTTCACAAGCATATGTCCTAACTGAATCTCAAAATTCAATACTTAATCCATGCTATTGTGAGAGGATCTGTTGAATGTTGTATTAAAAGTGTGTGAGAATTAGGTGTCAGTTTACCAACACTGGCTTTACAGTCCCAGTTTCTACAATGCATCTGCTCTGTAAAGTGAAGAATCCCAACCAAGATATCTGCAAGCTACAGGAAAAAACAAGATATCTGCAGGTACATGAAAAAGCCAGGCCTTATTAGCAAAGCACTTCTTGGAGATTAAGAAGGTCCATGCCCCCTCCCACCACAGGACAAATGGGAAGAGCTCCTTGGCCAGGATTCCCCTCTGGAGGTCTTTCAGCACGTCTCCTTGATGACCCTGGACACCATCATGAAGAGTGCCTTCAGCCATCAGGGCAGCATCCAGGTGGACAGGTCAGTGACAACCCTCCAGCTGCAGGGCCCTTGTTCTTATCAAGTGGAGTGCACATACCTGAGGGGCAGGTGGGGCAGCGTGAAGGCTCACCGCCACACAAAGGAAGAGTCAGTCCCTGACCAAACTCTAATTCCTGTCCAGACCAAACAAAGTCTCAGGAACAGATGCCTAATTCCTAGCACAGGTGGACCCTGGATGTTCATACCATCTGATAAAGGCCAAAGGATAATAGGGCTGTAAGATAGAAGAAACATTGCCTCAAGGCTGCTTGTCCCCATTATCCGAGGCTGCCTCCTCTCAGACCCCATTCTACTTCCGGGTAATGGGCCCACCCCTACTGCGGTCTCTTCTTCATACTCTCCCTCAGGAATTCTCAGTCCTACATCCAGGCCATTAGTGACCTGAACAGCCTGGTTTTTTGCTGTATGAGGAATGCCTTTCATGAGAATGACACCATCTACAGCCTGACCTCTGCTGGCCGCTGGACACACCGCGCCTGCCAGCTGGCCCATCAGCACACAGGTTCTGTCTCTTCCTCTTGTCTCCCAGCCTTTCCCAGGCACAGTGAAAGTACCTGCCCTGACTCCTCAGGCAGAGAAGGTCCCTAGTAATCCTGCAGAAGCCAGAACACACTCAGCCTGGGGAATTCCCTTGCTCAGGGGCTGGGAGCCAAGATGTGAGGGGCCGGATTCTGTGCCTTGGTTTATCAATGTCCCCACATGGAGATAACTGAATGAGACCCTGTCCAAACAGCATTCAAGAGGAGCCTCCATGAACTGTGCCACTGGTGGGAGGGGTGCCCTGCCTCACACAGTACTAGAGCTTCCACCCCTGACCCTGCACCCACACTCACATTCATGCTGAGATCTACCAGGCACCCACACTGGGGCAGTTGGGCAGCTAGGCCTCCTGGGGGCTGCTGACGGTCTCAGCTCTGCCTGGTAACCATTGTTCTGGTACAGACCAAGTGATCCAACTGAGGAAGGCTCAACTACAGAAGGAGGGGGAGCTGGAGAAGATCAAGAGGAAGAGGCACTTGGATTTTCTGGACATCCTCCTCTTGGCCAAAGTGAGTATGTGTAGGAGAGGCCTGAGTCTTTGCCCAGAAGTACATAGCAAGAGACAAGCCCTGCACTTTCACCACGGTCTTCCCAGATGGAGAATGGGAGCATCTTGTCAGACAAGGACCTCCGTGCTGAGGTGGACACGTTCATGTTTGAGGGCCACGACACCACAGCCAGTGGGATCTCCTGGATCCTCTATGCTCTGGCCACACACCCCAAGCATCAGGAGAGGTGCCGGGAGGAGATCCATGGCCTCCTGGGTGATGGAGCCTCCATCACCTGGTGAGTGAGGGCTCAAAAGATGGGGTTCCCTGCCTTCTCCACAGGGGCCCCTGGTCTGCCCAGGCCTTGCTGGTGTTCAGGATGGAATTGTTTCAGGAACCACCTGGACCAGATGCCCTACACCACCATGTGCATTAAGGAGGCACTGAGGCTCTACCCACCGGTGCCAGGCATTGGAAGAGAGCTCAGCACTCCCGTCACCTTCCCTGATGGGCGCTCCTTGCCCAAAGGTATGAAGTTTCCCCACCCTCTCACCCAAAGTCTCCACGGGGACGTGTGGAGGGTGAGAAATCCATGTGTGCTTCAGAGTTCTGCACATCTCTGGGTCTCCCTTTTGTTCTAAAAACATCAAAAACATACTTTGTATTTAGGATGAATTTGAAAAGTCTGGCCGAGAGCTTGAACCCACCGAAAGTTCAAGAAATAAATGTTAATCTCTGAATGTGGCCTTGGGTCAGTAACTGTAAAATCCTATTCCTTGAGATGTGCAGGGCTGGAAAGAGAATCAGACAAGGGCAGAGAGGGATGTGTTTCTTTCCTCATGGGGTCAGTGCAAAAGAGGCTTATCAGGAATCTCATTTCCTGGGTCAGCTGTTGTCCAGTCTCTGAGGAACCCTCAGGTTGATGGCAGAGAGCAGCCAATGACCAGATCTGGGGCCACCAAGCCTCAACTCCCCCAGTTCTGGTCCCAGTCCTGCTATAACCTAGTTGTGTGAACACAGACAAGACAATTGGTCTCTCTGATACTCAGGTATCTCCCCTGAAAACTGAGAGCAAAAGAATGTCTTCCTTGGAGCATTGTTGTATTGAGTGAGTTCATGTATATTCTCCAATGACCCTTGGAGAATATTTGATGAATGTGAAATGTCACTGGACTTACTCTAAAGAGTAATGCTCTGATTCTTTTTTGCTTCTCATTCCTGCATAAATGGTTGTCTATTCATCATCTGAACTCACATGCTTTGTCAAGCCTAACCCACCTGCATAATGGCAGAATCATCCTAGTCAAAGTGACAATTTATAGAAAGTAGGTGTTTTGGGCCTTCTTTTGCCCCTGCAGGCTGAAGTACCAGGCCACCCCATGCAAATGATCGGTCTTCTCTCTCTTTCCAACCTGCACCACAGGTATCATGGTCCTCCTCTCCATTTATGGCCTTCACCACAACCCAAAAGTGTGGCCCAACCTAGAGGTATGTGGTCCTTGAGAGGAGGAAATGGGGTGATCTCTCAAGACCAATACCTTCTCCTGCTTCCACCTCTGGGAGTACTGTACCCTCATGGGTGGCAAGTAGGTGCTGGATCCTTAACTATCCTGGCTCTGGTGCTCTCTCTGCAGGTGTTTGACCCTTCCCGTTTTGCACCGGGTTCTGCTCAACACAGCCACGCTTTCCTGCCCTTCTCAGGAGGATCAAGGTGAGACGTCCTGTGTGGTAATTGGAATAGAGAAATGAGGGAAGTCTCTGGTCAACCCTCTGATCTTTGTGAGCCCGATGTTCATATGTGGCATCTTCAGGTGTGCTCTTAAATATTGGTATTTGTGGGAAAGTCAGGCACCTGGTGTGGGCGTCTCTGTGTACAAAAGGAAGGTGGCATTCAGAGCACCCCATGGAGACTTTGCTCCCTCTGCTTCTTCAAATGGGCAGCCTGAATTCACTGTCAGTGCATGTTCCAAACTTCAGTATATTCATGTATTTTCCTCACTTTAAGGATATGAATTCTCAAAATTAGATATTCTCCAGTAAATTCAACTTCAGCTGTTTGCTTTTCTCAGTTGTCAGGAATAGTAAACTGTAGATTTCTCTCTCCCCACACATCCTCAATGCAGCACACTACCTTCCCTATTTAATTCACTAGTCTGTCGTAGAGATGAATCATTGAAATCTTTGCATCTGTTTATAATACAGATGACCTGCAAGTCCTACCTTTCAAGCCATATAAGGGAGAGGTTAAGGTAGCCCTTTGAAGAAAGTTTTACAACAGTGTGTGTCATATCATACATTTTTCTGTCTTGCCCAATGACATTTTTACTTCATTATATAGTGTTCACATATTTACATCTATTTCCCCATTTGGCAAATTCTGTACATGCCTTGAGATCTTTATACCATAGTCCTGTAATCCACTTAGCACAATATTGGCCAAAAACATAAAAATGTGAACAGTACACTGTCTTGGAGAGAAAAGCCCAATAATTATCATATAACGCACAACATTTGAAGCCTCCTGGTATGTGAAATATAAAACACACTTGAAATAGCTATTGAGCTGGAGAGGAAAACTCCAGAATGGCTGCGGTGGAAATCATCGTGGCATCAGGAATCGTCCTGTGACATACACACAGGCAAAAATGATAAAAATTCTTAGTAGAAACAAAGTTTGTTCAAAGAAATAATTATGTGACTTCTTCAAATGGTGAGTCCACTTACATGGAACAGGAAAGCTTCCTCCTGAAACTCCTTCTCCAGCACTGGTCTGTCTATCCCAGCATGAGGAAGTCCTTGTAAACATTGCCTGCAAATCATGTCGCTGCCACTAGAGAACCGGAGAGCATTCCTAAGCTCCATTTCTAGCTCAGAACTAATATTTTACTCTCAGTGTATTTCATTCTATTTTATTCATTTTAAAACTTAAATAACATCATTCAAATATTAAAGTATTTCTTAAGCTACCTCTCTGGGTCAAGTCCTATGCAGCATGATGAGAAAACAGAGATAAAAGGTACAAAAATGTGTTGTACAGAAATATATCCTGTGCTCCAGACACACATCGTTCCATCAACCATTCTTTCACTCATTCACTCACTGAGTGGCTTGTTGAGTGTCCCTGTCCCTGGTGCTGTCCGTGGCACTGGACTGTGAGTGTTCATGGACAAATCACGAATGCTACCTGGGGGCCTGGGAGGAAGAGGCCCAGCTGGCAGGGAGTGAGAGGCAGCTGGGCTGTGACTTTAGCCTTGAGGATGTGGCAGGCAGAGGTGGAGGGAGGACATTCTCAGCCATCTCCACATGAACAGGGCTAGGATGTGGGCTGGACAGGTAAAATGTGGGTGAGGCAAGAGCCCACGGAGGGCTTGTCTGCCGGCTGAGGCATTGGGATGCTGTCCCACCTGTGATGAAGAGCGTGGGAGGGTCTGAGCTGGGCTGTGGCTTCAGTGTGCAGGGAGGGGAAGCAGAAATCCAGAAAGTCCAAGTGACAAGACTGAGGAAGGACAAGGATGGACGTTTCTGGAGTAGAGTTAGAAGGCTACAGGGGCTGGTGGATGGAGGAGTGAGGTTAGACAGGAGCCCGGACCCTGGGGTGGGAGGCAGGTGGGGCAACACTGAGGATCACCCACCCAGTTCTCCTCCAGGAAGCCTCCCACTGCCCTTCTGACTCCCTTAATACACCCATCGGGGACCCCCTATGAGGATTCAGGTCCCTGTGTGTCCCACTACGTGGGAAGCACCTGAGAGTGTGGCCCACCCTCACCCTACAGGACCTGAACTGACCTCCGCACTGGAGAACAAGAAATGTTTGTGGAGGAGTGAACAAACCATTGATTAACTCTTTATTTATTCATGTGATTAGACTCTGTGCCTTAGAGCCCTGGCCCTGTCTTGATAGAGGGTTTCAGGCTGCTGAGAGCAGAGGTAGAAGGTAGGAGTTAGGAGTTAGCCCAGGAAGACGGCTCTGTCCAAGGTTTGGGACAGTGTGAAGCCAGGATGGGGTAGAAGTGTCCGTGGGCTGTAAGTGTGCAGGGGCTGGACACATGAGGTTGGGCACTGAATGTCCAGCTCAGGGCTGGGGTCAGGGGCCAAAACCTGCTCAGATCAGAATGGGGCCTGAGGACACGTCTCAATTCATTGTCTCCGCCTGGCCCAGGAACTGCATCGGGAAACAATTTGCCATGAACCAGCTGAAGGTGGCCAGGGCCCTGACCCTGCTCCGCTTTGAGCTGCTGCCTGATCCCACCAGGATCCCCATCCCCATGGCACGACTTGTGTTGAAATCCAAAAATGGAATCCACCTGCGTCTCAGGAGGCTCCCTAACCCTTGTGAAGACAAGGACCAGCTTTGAGGGCCTCCACCTGCCATCCTGTCTTCCTGACCCCCACTCCTATCTCCTGCCTGTCTGCCTCTGTCCTGCTTTCTGTCTGCCCACCTTCCCTTCTTCCCACCTGCCTGCTGTCCCCCAGTCTGCCTGCCCTTCTCTCTCTCACCTTTCTCCAAGCTCCCTACCTGCTTGTCTACCTGTCTCCTACCCACCTGTATATCTTGTTGGGAGAAAAGCTGAGTGTTGGGAGAAGCTGAGGCCGAGCTTGCATGTCTGACATAATGTAAAAGAGTCTTGAATCATGTCCAGGATCCAGGGTCTAAAACCCCTTGTGGCCTTTGGAACACCAAGCTCTGTGCTGAAGGGTGGAAGGCTACCCTGACGCACCATAATCTAAGCCCGGGGCATAAAACCCCTCGTGGCTTGGATAGAATCCAGGGCTCGTGGCTCTGGAATGTGTCTGGACTTGCTGGCTCCTCGCTCCTTGCTCTCCCAGGATCAATTGTATCTTGAGTTAAAAGAACCTGCTCTCCATTATCTCAAGTAACAGAGCAGATGCTAAACCGTCACAGCTGTAAATCATGTGCTTAATGCAACATGCCCTTTCGACCCACCCCCCATTCTCACCACCTGTTTCTTTGTTTGATCACCAATAAATAATCTGCACTTCCAGAGCTCGGGGCCTTCACAGCCTCCATACTTAGCTTTGGCGCCCTGGACCCACTTTCTCTCTCAAACTGTCTTTTCTCATTCCTTTGACTCTGCCGGACTTTGTCACCCCCACAACCTGGTGTTGGGTCCGATAACCCCAACATCCCTGAATCTCCACCCACCTCCCAAACTCCTGCCTGCCCTCCAGACTGTCTGCCCATACACCTGTCTCCTTCTTCCTGCCTGCTTGTCTGTTCCTATATTAGTTTCCTATTGCTGCTGTAATAAACTATCACAATCTCAGTGATTTTAAATAACAGCTTTTTATTCTCTTACAGTTCTGGAGGTCAAAGTCAGATATGGGTTTCACTGGATGAAAACAAGTTCTGGACAGGGCCAAACCCCCACCCCTAGAAGATTTCAGGGAGAGCCCTTGGCTTTTCAGCTCCAGAGCTGCCTTTTTTTGCATTCCTGGTACTGTCCCCTCCTTCCTCTTTAAAGCCAATGGCATCTTCAAATCTCTCTCTCTGTGACTGTCTTCACATCTCTTTCCCTCTTATAAGGACCCTTGTGGTTAGTTACATCAAGCTTATTAAGATAATCAAAGATAATGTCACCACCTCAAGATCCGTTACTTACTCAAAAGTCCATTGTGACATATGCAGTCCCACAATCACAGGTTTCATGAATTAGGATGTGGACAACATGGAGACCCCATTGTTCATCCTGGCACAGCCCCTACCTGATTGTCATCTGATGTGTCCATCTAAATCTCTCCTGTATGCTACCTACCTATGTACATGATTGTCAGCCAGACAATCCCTCTATCTTCCCTCCTCTCTAGAATAAGGTTCACAAGCTTGCATGCTTTGTCTAGCTTCACATGGAAGGTGATAGGGTTAGAAGAGGAGACACTAAGGCAGGGAGATAAATCCCTACTGAAGAGGGAAAACGGAGATGAGGTGTGCCCATTGGTGCCAGAACCCTAGCAGGGCCTGATTTGATCCATCCCCCTGCACACAGCCTCATACCATGTCTCCCCTGGTGCCCACACCCTCTCCAGCTCCTGGGGCTCCCATGGTAGCTGAGTTTAGACAAACGATATTTATCTAGGAGATCAGAGGGAGAAGCTCACACCTGTAGGGAAAAGACTCCAGGCCTCCATTCCATTCAAGATTTAGATTCAAGATGAATCACAGCAAGGCTGAGCTAAGAGCCTGTCTTGCTGTGTTTTGTGTTACTGTAACCGAATACCCAAGGCTGGGTAATTGATCTAGAAAAGAGGTTTATTTGTCTCATGATCTGGTGGCTGAAAAGTTTAAGTTTTGGCAGCTCAATCCGATGAAGGCCTCATGCAGCTTCCACTCATGGCAGAAAGCAAAAAGGGAGTGGCATATGCTGAGATTGCATGGTGACAGAGGAAGCAGGAGAGAGACTAAGGAAGCAAGACTCTGTTTTGATCCCGATGTCTTGGAAACCTGTCCATTCCAGATACAGCTAAAACTCAAGCCTGTGAGGTGGAAGGGGTCACTAATCTCTTCATAAAGGATCTGTCTCCACGATCTAAATATCTCCCACTAGGACCCACCTCCCAACACTACTGTGTTGGGGATCAAGGCTTCAGGAGTTTGGTTGGGAACATCCCACATCCCAGCTATAGTGAGGCTGCACTGAGCTGAGCAGGAAAGCCTCAAAGGCCTGGTCTGTCATGAGGACCTTGTAAACTCAGCTCTCCACAGTCCCAGTGAGGTGCAGAAAGAGACCCCAGCCTAGCAACGTCACCAGGTACCTGTCAACTTCCTTCATATATGGAACCTGCAGGCTTCTCAGGAAGCTCATGGAGTGGGCAGCTGTCCAGTCAGGGGTGGGAGGAGCCCAGGTAGGCAAATGGGTCTGGCTGGTGGAAGAGGCTGTTAGACCCCAAGCAGCTCCTTCCCAACAGCACTTCTTGGGAACCAACTTCTTGGTTGTCCTCTGCCTCTCTGGCTGGCCACCCTGATGGGGCAGGGGCATCCTCAACCCTGTCCACACTTGGTGACTGCCTGGGTGCTGGTACTGCTGACCCTGGGCCCTGTTCCAGCACCCGGGCCCCATGTACTACCCCTGGGATAGTGTCACTGATTGTCCCAGCCTCTCTTAATGCAGACCTTGCTTCTCTTCCTAAATCTGAACCCAAATGTTCCTCCCACCAATTGCCCACTCCTAGCCCAGGACCTTGGATGCCATAGAGAGAATTTCCTCTGCCTGAGGTCTGAAAGCTCATTCTGTTACTCTGAAAGGGCTTCTCTTCTAGTTTTTGCCTGCAACTAGGACCTCCCTCCAAGTCCCCTGAGTTCCCCGGTCATTGGATTAATTCAGTCCTGCTCTGAGAATGGGCAGGAAAGGGGAGGGCTGGACAGTCGGTGGTCAGCCAGGAGTGGAGGGAGATGGAAAAACTCGGAGAGGAGAGTGACCTGGGAACATCATGGACAGGATGGCCAGCCAGTCCCCTGGCATCAGGGGATTTACAAGGGCTCATGTTGGCCATGCTCAAAGACCACAGGACAGTGGGCACTCACTCCCATTACTACCCCTAATACCTGGTTGAAAAGAGGAAGAGGAAGCGAATCAAGTAAGTGAAAGTCTCATTGCAATTGGAGAGGTGGAGACCTCAGAGTGATCAATGAGATAGGGAAGATGCACAAGGAGGGGGAATCTGAATATCTCTATGTAAAAGAATGATGTTGAACTTTTACATACACGATATACAAAGTAAAAAAAAAATGGATAGAAGGGTTGAAAGATAGCCCACAGAATGGCAGAATATATTCACAAATCAAATGAGAACATGTAAAGGACTCCAACACAAAACAACAAAATACTACAATCCCATTCAAAAATTCAAAGGACTTCAACAGAAACTACTGCAAAGAAGATATGCAAGTGATCCATAAGCGCACCTGGAAAGATGCTCAACTTCATTAGTCATTGGGGAAATGCAAATCAAAACCACAGTGAGATACCACTTCATATCCTTTAGAAAGGCTATAATTATTTTTTAATGGAAAATATGAAATGTTGGACAGAATATGGAGAAATTGAAACTCTTATGAATTGCTGGTGAATGTAAATTGGCATAGCCTATTTGCAAAACCAATTTGTGGTTCCTCAGAAAAATAAAATCACAATTTCCATGGGACCCAGTAATTCCACTTTTGGATGTATACCCAATGGATTTGAAAGCAAGGATTTGAACAGATCCTTGTAAACCAAAGTTCACAGCAACACTATTCACAGTAGTCATCAGGTTGAAGAGCCCAAGTGTCCATCAACAGATGAATGGGTTCACAAAATGTGGTATACAGATAATGGAGTATTATTCAGTCATAAAAAGAATGAAGTTCTGATACACACTACAGCAGGAATGACAGTGATAACAGTATGCTAAGTAAAATTTGACAGACATAAAAGGAAAAATATCATATGATTCTACTCATAAGTGGCAAATTCATAGATTAGACAAAGTAGTAGAGAATAACAAGGACTTGGAGAAGGCAGAGTTATCATTAAATGATTACAGAGTTTCTTTAGAGTGATGAAAACCTTTTGGAAATAGGTAGTGATGATGGTTGTAAAACGCTGTAGGATCTGCTGCCAAGATGGCCAAATAGGAGCAGCTCCAGTCTGCAGCTCCCAGAAAGACCAACGCAGAAGGTGGGTGATTTCTGCATTTCCAATTGAGGTAACCTGTTCATCAGTTTGGGACTGGTTAGGCAGTCAGTGCAGGCCACAGAGGGTGAGCAGAAGCAGGGTGGGGCACAGCCTCACCGGGGAAATGCAAGGACTGGGGGCCTCCCTTTCCCAACCAAGGGAAGCCATGAGGGACTGCGCTATCCAGCCCAAATACTACATTTTTCCCACGGTTTTGCAATCTGCAGACCAGGAGATTCCCTCATGTGCCTACACCACCAGGCCTCTGGGTTTCAAGCACAAAACTGTGTAGCTGTTCAGGCAGACACTATGCTAGCTGCAGGAGGTTTTTCTTCATACCCTAGTGGTACCTGGAACCCCAATGAGACAGAATTGTTCACTCCCCTGGAAAGGGGGCTGAAGCCAGGGAACAAAGTGGTCTCGCTCAGTGGGTTCCATTCCCACAAGGCCCAGCAAGCTAAGAACCACTGGCTTGAAATTTTCACTGATAGCGCAGCAGTCTGAAGTCAACCTGGGACGATTGAGCTTGGTTGGGGGAGGGGCGTCTGCCATTACTGAGGCTTGAGTAGGCAGTTTTCCCCTGACAGTGCTAAAATGGCCTGAGAGTTCGGACTGGGCAAAACTCAACACAGTGAGACAAAGCGGCTGTGGCCAGTCTGCCTCTGTAGAGTCCTCTTCACTGGGCAGGACATCTCTGAAAGAAAGGCAGCAACTCCAGCCAGGAGCTTATAGATAAAATTCCCATCTCACTGTGGGCATAGCTTCAGCAGACTTAAACGTTCCTGCCTGCCAGCTCTGAAGACAGCAGTGGATCCTGACAAGCAGGGTTCTACCAACACAGTGCTTGAGCTCTGCTAAGGGACTGCCTCCTCAAGTGGGTCCCTGATCCCCATGCCTCCTGACTGCCAGAGACCTCCCAACAGGGGTTGACTGACACCTCATACAGGAGAGCTCCGACTGGCATCTGGCGGATGCCAGCTTCATCCTCTGGGATGAAGCTTCCAGAGGAAGGAGCAGGCAGCAATCTTTGCTGTTCTGCACCCTCCACTGATGATACTCAGGCAAATAGGGTCCAGAGTGGACTGCCAACAAACTGCAGCAGACCTACAGAAAAGGGGCCTGACTGTTAGAAGAAAAATGAACAAACAGAAAGCAATAACATCAACATCAACAAAAACAACCTTCACAGAGAAACCCCATCCAAAGATCATCAGACTCAAAGATCAAAGGCAGATAAATCCATGAAGATGAGGAAAAACCAGTGCAAAAATGCCGAAAATTCATAGAACCAGAATGCCTCTTCTCCTCCAAATGATCACAACTCCTCTCCAGCAAGAACACAAAACTGATAGATTGACAGAAGGAGCCTTCAGAAGGTGGGTAATAACAAACTCCTCTGAACTAACAGAGCATGTTCTAACCCAATGCAAGGAAGCCAAGAACCTTGAAAAAGGGTTACAGGAACTGCTAAGTAGAATAACCAGTTAAGAGAAGAACATAAATGACCGATGGAGCTGAAAAACACACCACAAGCACTTTGTGAAGCATATTCAAGTATCAGTAGCCAAATGAATCAAGCAAAAGAAATCAGAGATTGGAGATCAACTTAATGAAATAAAGCATGAAGACAAGATTAGAGAAAAAATATGGAAAAGGAACAAAGCCTCCAAGAAATATGAGACTATGTGAAAAGACCAAATCTAGGTTGATTAGGGTCTCTGAAACTGATGGGGAGCATAGAGCCAAGCTGAAACACACACTTCAGGATATTATCCAGGAGAACTTCCCCAACCTAGCAAGACAGGCCAACATTCAAATTCAGGAAATACGGAGAACACCACAAAGATACTCCTAGTGAAGAGCCACCCCAAAACACATAATAATCAGATTTCCAAGGTTGAAACGAAGGAAAAAATGTTAAGGGCAGCCAGAGATAAAAGCCAGGTTACCTACAAAGGGAAGCCCATCAGACTAACAATGGATCTCTCTACAGAAATCCTACAAGCCAGAAGAGAGTGGGGACCAATACTCAACATTCTTAAAGAAGAGAATTTTCAACCCAGAATTTTATATCCAGCCAAACTAAGCTTCATAATTGAAGGAGAAATAAAATCCTTTCCAGACAAGCAAATGCTGAGGGATTTTGTCACCACCAGGCCTGGCTTACAAGAGCTCCTGAAGGAAGCAAAATTATGGAAGGAAAAAAACAAGTACCAGCCACTGCAAAAACACACCAAAATATAAAGACCAATGACACTATGAAGATAACGCATCAATTAAAGTGCAAAATAACCAGCTAGTATCATGATGACAGGATCAAATTCACATGTAATAATATTAACCTTAAATGAAAATGGGCTAAATGCCCCAATTAAAAGACACAGACTGGCAAATTGGATAACGAGTCAAGACCCATCAGTGTGCTGTATTAAATAGACCCATCTTACGTTCAAAGACATATAAAGGCTCAAAATAAAGGGATGGAGGAATATTTACCAAGCAAATGGAAAGCAAAAAGAAAAAAAAAGCAGGGTTGCAATCCTAGTCTCTGATAAAACAGGCTTTAAGCCAACAAAGATTACAAAAAAAAAAAGACAAAGAAGGACATTACATAATGGCAAAGGGATCAATGCAACGAAAAGAGCTAACTATCCTAAATATACATGCACCCAATACAGGAGCACCGAGATTCATAAAACAAGTTCTTAGAGACCCACAAAGAGACTTAGACTCCCGCACAATAATAGTGAGAGATTTTAACACCCCACTGTCAATATTAGACATATCAATGAGACAGAAAATTAACAAGGATATTCAAGACTTGAACTCAGCTCTGTACCAAGTGGACCTAATAGATATCTACAGAACTCTCCACCCCAAATCAACAGAATATACATTCTGCTCAGCACCACATAACACTTATTTTAAAACTGACCACATAATTGGAAATAAAACACACCTCAGCAAATGCAGAAGAGTGGAAATAATAAAAAACAGCCTCTCAGACCAGAGTACAATCAAATTAG
Source organism: Homo sapiens (assembly GCF_000001405.40). NCBI lineage: Eukaryota > Metazoa > Chordata > Mammalia > Primates > Hominidae > Homo > Homo sapiens. Next base: position 47,156,141 of record NC_000001.11, read on the forward strand.
AACTCAGGATTAAGAAACTCACTCAAAACCACACAACTATATGGAAAGTGAACAACCTGCTCCTGAATGACTACTGGGTAAATAACAAAATTAAGGCAGAAGTAACTAAGTTCTTTAAAACCAATAAGAACAAAGAGACAATGTACCAGAATCTCTGGGACACAGCTAAAGCAATGTCTAGAGGGAAGTGTATAGCACTAAATGCCCACTAAATAAAGCAAGAAAGATCTAAAATCGACACCTTAACATCACAATTAAAAGAGCTACAGAAGCAAGAGCAAACAAATTCAAAAGCTAGCAGAAGACAACAAATAACTAAGATCAGAGCAGACCTGAAGGGGATAGAGACATTAAAAAACCCTTCAAAAAATCAATGAATCCAGGAGCTGGTTTTTGAAAAGATTAACTAAATAGACCACTAGCCAGATTAAAAATAGCCCAGGACCAGATGGATTCACAGCCAAATTCTACCAGAGGTACAAAGCAGAGCTGCTACCACTCCTTATGAAAGCATTCCAAACAACAGAAAAACAGGGACTCACCCTTAACTCATTTTATGAGGCCAGCATCATCCTGATTCCAAAACCTGGCAGAGATACAACAATAACAAAAAAATTTCAGAACAATTATTCCTGATGAACATTTATGTAAAAATCCTCAATAAAATACTGACAAACTGAATCCAGCAGTACATCAAAAAGCTTATCCACCACAATCAAGTTGGCTTCATTCCTGGGATGAAAGGTGGGTTCAACATATGCAAATCAATAAATGTAATCCATCACATAAACAGAACCAATGACAAAAACTATATGATTATCTCAATAGATGCAGAAAAGGCCTTTGATAAAATTCAACACCCCTTCATGCTAAAACATCTCAATAAACTAGGCATTGATGGAACATATCTCAATTTAATATGAGCTATTTATGACAAACCCATAGCCAATATCATACTGAATGGGCAAAAGCTGGAAGCATTCCCTTTGAAAACTGGCACAAGACTACCATCAGAGTGAACAGGCAACCTACAAAATGGTAGAAAATTTTCGCAAGCTACTCATCTGACAAAGGGCTAATATCCAGAATCTACAATGAACCCAAACAAATTTAAAAGAAAAAAACAAACAACCCCATCAAAAAGTGGGCGAAGGATATGAACAGACACTTCTCAAAAGAAGACATTTATGCAGCCAACAGACACATGAAAAAATGCTCATCATCACTGGCCATCAGAGAAATGCAAATCAAAACCACAATGAGATACCATCTCACACCAGTTAGAATGGCAATCATTAAAAAGTCAGGAAACAACAGGTGTTGGAGAAGATGTGGAGAAATAGGAACACTTTTACACTGTTGGTGGGTCTGTAAACTAGTTCAACCATTGTGGAAGTCAGTGTGGTGATTCCTCAGGGATCTAGAACTAGAAATACCATTTGACCCAGCCATCCCATTACTGGGTATATACACAAAGGACTATAAATCATGCTGCTATAAAGACACATGCACAAGTATGTTTATTGCAGCACTATTCACAATAGCAAAGACTTGGAACCAACCCAAATGTCCAACAATGATAGACTGGATTAAGAAAATGTGGCACATATACATCATGGAATACTATGCAGCCATAAAAAATGATGAGTTCATGTCCTTTGTAGGGACATGGATGAAATTGGAAATCATCATTCTCAGTAAACTATCTCAAGGACAAAAAACCAAACACTGCATGTTCTCACTCATAGATGTGAATTGAACAATGAGAACACATGGACACAGGAAGGGGAACATCACACTCTGGGGACTGTTGTGGGGTTGGGGGAGGGGGGAGGGATAGCATTAGAAGATATAGCTAATGCTAAATGACGAGTTAATGGGTACAGCACACCAGCATGGCACATGTATACATATGTAACCGGCACATTGTGCACATGTACCCTAAAACTTAAAGTATAATAATAATAATAATAATAATAATAATAACAAAATAATAATTAAATAAAATTAAATTAATTAATGAAATATTTTTTAAAAAAAGAAAACTGGCACAAGACAAAGATGCCCTCTCTCACCACTCCTATTCCACATAGTATTGGAAATTCTGGCCAGGGCAATCAGGCAAGAGAAAGAAATAAAGCGTATTCAATTAGGAAGAGAGGAAGTCAAATTGTCTCTGTTTGCAGATGACATCCTTGTACATTTAGAAAACCCCATCGTCCCAGCCCAAAAACTCCTTAAGCTGATAAACAACTTCAGCAAAGTCTCAGGATACAAAATCAATGTGCAAAAATCACAAGTATTCCCATACACCAATAATAAACAAGCAGAGACAAAACATAAATGAACTCCCATTCATTATTGCTACAAAGAAAATAAAATACCTAGGAATATAATTTACGAGGGACATGAAGGACCTCTTCAAGGAGAACTACAAACCACTGCTCCACAAAATAAAAGAGGACACAAACAAATGGAAAAAAATTCCCTGCTCAAAATTCCATGCTCATGGATAAGAAGAATCAATATAGTAAAAATGGCCATACTGCCCAAAGTAATTGATAAATTCAATGTTCTTCCCATCAAGCTACCATTGACTTTCTTCACAGAATTAGAAAAAGCTACTTTAAATTTCATGTGGAACAAAAAAGGCCCAGTATAGCCAAGACAATCCTAAGCAAAAAGAACAAAGCTGGAGACATCACCCTATCTTACTGCAAGCTATACTACAAGGGTACAGTAACCAAAACACCATGGTACTGGTACCAAAACAGAGATATAGACCAATGGAACAGAACAGAGACCTCAAAAATAACACCACACATCTACAACCATCTGATTTTCGACAAACTTGACAAAAACAAGCAATGGAGCGAGGATTCCCTATTTAATAAATGGTGTTAGGAAAACTGGCTAGACATATGCAGAAAACTGAAACTGGACCCCTTCCTTACACTGTATACAAAAATTAACTCAAGATGGATTAAAGACTTAAATATAAAACCTAAAACTATAAAAACTCTAGAAGAAAACACAGGCAATATCATTCCAGACATAGGCATGGGCAAAGACTTCATGACTAAAACACAAAAAGCAATTTCAACAAAAGCCAAAATTGATAAATGGGATCTAATTAAACTAAAGAGCTTCTGCTCAGCAAAAGAAACTATCGTCAGAATGAACAGGCAACCTACAGAATGGGAGAAAATTTTTGCAATCTATCCATCTGACAAAGGTCTAATATCCAGAATCTATGAGGAACTTAAATTCACAAGAAAAAAACAACCCCATCAAAAAGTTGGCGAAGGATATGAACAGACACTTCTCAAAAGAAGACATTTATGCAGCCAACAAACATAGGGAAAAAAGCTCACTCTCACTGGTCATTAGAGAAATGCAAATCAAAACCACAATGAGATACCATCTCAAGGCAATTAGAATGGCGATCACTAAAAAGTCAGGAAACAACAGATGCTAGAGAGGATGTGGAGAAATAGGAATGCTCTTACACTGTTGGTGGGAGTGTAAATTAGTTCAACCATTGTGAAAAACAGTGTGGTGATTCCTCAATGATCTAGAACCAGAAATACCATTGGACCCAGCAATCCCATTACTGGGTATATATCCAAAGGATTATAAATCATTCTACTATTAAGACACAAGCACACATATGTTTATTGCAGCACTATTCACAATAGCAAAGACTTGGAACCAACCCAAATGCCCATCAATGATAGACTGGATAAAGAAAATGTGGCACATATACACCATGGAATACTATGCAGCCATAAAAGATGATGAGTTCATGTCCTTTGCAGGGACATGGATGAAACTGGAAACCATCATCCTCAGCAAACTAACACAGGAACAGAAAACCAAACACTGCATGTTCTCACTTATAAGTGGGAGTTGAACAATGAGAACACATGGACACAGGGAAGGGAACATCACACATCAGGGACTGTCATGGTGTGGGGGAAAAGGGGAGGGAGAGCATTAGGACAAATACCTAATGCATGCTGGGCTTGGAACCTAGACGACTGGTTGATAGGTGCAGCAAACCACTATGGCACATGTGTACCTATGTAGCAAACTTGCACATTCAACACATGTATCCCAGAACTTAAAGTAAAAGAAAAGAAAGAAAGAAAAAGAAAAGAGATTCTACAAAAATTCATCAAATATTTTTAGATATTTCTATAGTTAGAACCCAACTAGAATTGATCCCTCTCTCCTTGGGTTTATATTTTCTATGTACCTCTCTAAACTAAGTTCTCAAAATTCAAATGAGCTAAAATAAAAGGAGGGAAATTGTGAATGTAATTAATGCCATTGAACTGTACAATTAAAATGGGTTAGAGTGTCCAATTGTAGGTTCCGTATGCTATGCTAATTTTTAAAAAGTAACATAACACTAAGATCACTGAATTTTAAGTGTTAGATTTTCTGGTGTGCAAATTATATTTTATGAAAGCCTGTTTTTTTTTTTAACAAAAGTGATCTATATGGGCTATTCAGTTTTAGTAGAAGAGTAAAGGTAAATAAGATATGTAAAATTGCATCAACATTAAACTCAACTTTATCAAAGCCCAGGAAAGAAGTGCCTGGACTGATCTACCCACAGGAGTAACTGCTTCAAGCTGCCACCATGGGAATAGACTGCTCCTCCTCTGCCTTTCTTGGCCTAAACCCTGAACCAGGAAACATCCAGCAACAAAACATGGATTTGCTTTTTACAATGTGGCACCCAAAACTGAACTGAGTCTCTTCAAAATGATGATGTAACCACTCCAAAGTCTGACTCATTCCCACTCTCACTCATTGATCCAATCAGTGGGTATTTATTGGGCATCATCAACTGGCACAGTCCTCTGCTTCATGCCATGGGAAGCAAAGGACATAGCAGCTGAGATACCACCTTCCAGGAGTCTTTGCTGGAGATGTCTAAGTAGCAAATGAATGGGAAAAATATGTTTTAATAAATCTTGACAATCACAAGTACACTTTTCTAAGAGTTATACTTTTACATAGTTTTATATTCTCCTTTATACTTTCTTATACACTTTATTCATATCATTAAACATTCTCCATAATGTTCATTATCTTCAATGACTGTGCTACTCCTAGTCCCACAGTTTGCCATTCACTTTCTCACAAGAGCTGCCCTGGATAGTGAGACTTCCATGTATGCCAATATGTGCAGTTCATAATCTGACACATCTCCTGTTGTTTGGAAACACGGAATAAAACACAGCAAACACGAAATGCCCCCTCGAAAGTTTAGGGGCTGCCATCTGGACTGGAGGCTCAACCTAATCATTACCTCCTTTACATGAATGATTAACAGCAAAGTCTCTGGAGCCTGACTGTCTGGGTTACAATCCCAGCCACAGCTCTTACCAACTGGGGGATCCTAGACAGTTAGCTACCCTCTTTATGCCTTAGGTTTTCTCACCCACTGTAGGCACATTTTTTAAGAATCCCTTTTGTAGGGTTGTTGTGAAAGAAACCATGTAAAGTTTTTGCCTGGTGGACAGAATACAGTAAGTTCTCACTAAATGTTGGCTATTACCACATTACACACCCAACTCTAAAGAAGAAATTGGGGTCTCAGGGAGGGAAAGCAAAACTCACAACTAGAATTTAAAACCAAACTGTCTGACTTCTAAGCTCTTCTCACTACTGTTCTTCATACTATGCGTGAAATACAGGTGCTGACTCAAGGCGGGAAAGAGTCAAGGTTCAAAAGTCCCTGGTTGGGGACTGGGGAGGCAGAGATGGGTGGTGGAATGTAACCAGAGAACTGGTGAAGGTTGGGGGGAATGTAGTGTTAAGTGGTTACATGTCCCTACCCTTTGGCTTAGATAGTAGCCCAGTATTTCAGGCCTGAAGAAAAGAACGCTGACCCTCTGTGTTCTGTAATGAATCACCTGTCATGAGGTGGGGCAAAGGAGGAGGGTGTTGGGAGTAAAAGTTTAGATGGATTCGGGAGCAGTAGGAAATGGGACCCCTTGGAGAGCTGACTTCCATGGAATCTCCCTCATAAATATTTTGGTTTAGTTTCTGAATTGGTGCCCTTGGCTATGACCTTGGGTAAATAACCATGAAAAAACTACAAGTAGTGATTATTCCAGTATGAACTTGTCCCATTTCTACTCTTTCGCATATGATCTTCATGGATTTGCCAGTGCTATTTCCTTTTACTAGTATTTGCCAACTGTTAAACTTCTCTTCATCCTTAAAGACCCCATTGTTTGTTCATTTTCTTCTTTGCTGGGTGGCCCAAGCCCACCATTTATTCCTTCAGTGCATAGTTTATAAGGTTTTAGCGTAAAAATTTATTTTTCTGCCTTGAGCAACTGAACTGTGACATTGAAAATATTTCATTTTGAATAAATAAATGAATAGATAAGTGAAGAATTATGAGATATTAACAGCAGTGATTGTTATCCTACCTATTTTAGTTTCCTTAGGCTATTGTAATGAATTACCAGAAACCTGGTGGCTAAAAACAATAGAAATTTATTATCTCATAGTTCTGGCGGCCAGAATCTGAAATCAGAATTACTAACCAAAAGCAGGTAAAAGCAGGGCCACGCTCTCTCTGGAATCTCCAAGGCAAATTCATTTCCTTCCACTTATGGCTCCTGGTGGCTGCTGGCATTCCTTGCTTTGTGGCCACATCACTCTTTCTTCAAAGTCAACATCTTCAAATGTCTCTCTGCTCTGTCTCCATATGGCCTTCACCCACATGTATGTCAAGTCTTCCTCTGCCTCCCTCTTATAAGGGGATGCAAATGATTTCATTCAGGGCTCACCTTGATAATCCAGATTAATCTCCCAATCTCAAAATCCTCAATATAATCACATCCTCCACGATCATTTTTTTTAAAAAGATAACATAGAAAAGTTTCAGGAGTTAGAACCTGACATCTTTGGGGATCACTACTCAGGCTTCCACAGTCTGCCTTCTGTTTCCCAAAGACTCACATCCAGACCACATGCAAATATACTCATCCCTTCCCAACAACCCAAAAGCCTCACTTCTTTATAGCATCAACTCATGACCAAAATCTCATCTAAATATCATGAGCTCAAAAGTATCAATTTTATTTTCTAAGTCATCTAGTGTAGGTATATGTGAGGCTCTGGGTATAAGGCATCCTTGGATAAAATCTCTCTAAAAATCTGGAGCTGTGAAATCTAATTATATCTAATATCTAATTATCTAATAAGATATAATATATAATAATATCCATTTATAGAATATCTAATTATTCTATAAATCAATATAAGCTTTTTCATCCATGCTTCTCACTTCCCTCTGAGCCCTCATGAGAAGCATTTTAATGTCCATATATCTACTAATACTGTGTTTAAGGCAGTCTATGCTTTTCCTATCATGCATTTCAAAAATCTTCCAATCTCTATGTATTCTTCAATTCCAAAGCCAATTCTACATTTGTGAGTATTTATTACAGCACACCTCACCTCTACTACCAAAATCCTAGGGCTTCTGTCACAAATTAACACAAATGTGGTGATTTAAAATGACAGAGCCAGTTGCAATGGCATGAGCCTGTAGTCCCAGCTACTCTAACAGTGGAAATGGAAGGATTGTTTGAGCCCAGAAGTTTGAGACTAGCCTCAGCAACTTAAAGAAGACCCTGTCTTAAAAAAAAAAAAAAAAAAAAAAGAAGAAGAAGGAGAGAGAGAGAGAGAAAGAGAGAGAGAGAGAGAAAAAAAAAGAAAGAGAGAGACAAAATGAAAGAAGAAAAAAAACAGCAGAAATTTATTCTGTCACTGTTCTGGAGACCTGAAGTCCAAAATCACTAGTTTGGCTTAAATCACAGTGTCAGTGGGGCTGTGTTCCCTGCAGAGCTCTAGGGGAGAATCCATTCCCTGCCTCCTCCAGCCACTGCTGGCTGCCAGCATTCCGTGGGTTATGGCTGCATCCCTCCAATCTTCAAGGTCAGCATCTTCAAATCTCTCCCTGCTCCATCTTTGCATGGCCTTCCCTGTGTGTGTCGTATCTCCTTCTACATTTAGTGCTCACCTTGATAATCCAGCATAATCTCCCCATGTTGATTCTTAACATCATCACCTCTGCTAAGACTCTTCCAAAAAAAGATATCATTTACAGGTTCTATAGATTAGAACTTGATATCTTTCAAGGTCATTATCCAGCATATTATAGTCTTCCTACTGATCCTTGAAGATGGCCCTCCCCCACCAAAATGTGTTTGCCTTATCCCAACATTCCAAAAGCCTCAACCCATTACAGCATCAGCTCAAGTGTAAAATCTTGTCCAACTACCATTAGCTTAAAACTAGCTTAAAACTCATTTTCATGTTTGTAGTGGAATAGTTCATGATACAATGAAGATTGAAATGTGACATACGTAGGGCTAAGTTAAGTGGTAGTAAAGTCTTTGATAGGAAATGAAGGCATTGGCCATAATAAAATACTGGGTATGAAGTTCATACTCATAGAAATAAAATAGTAAGCAGTAAAGTCTTAATAATAAAAGTTATTGTCTAAATTTCTGGAATATGGTTCCTAAAAATAAAATTAATGTAGGAGTATTTATCATGATGATATTTAGCATACTCAGCAAAGAATAGGCAAATGGTCCTGCTGCATATTTAACATTAAAGCCTGACACAAGTTATCATTCTCCTTCAGTTAGGATGAATGAAGCACTCCAGTTCTTTCCTTCCTTCCTTTCTCCTTTCCTTTCTTTCTCTCTCTCTCCCTTTGTTTTCTCTTTTTTTTTTTTTTTGGAGTTTCACTTTTGTTGCCCAGGCTGGAGTGCAATGGCATGATCTCAGCTCACTGCAACCTCCAACTCCCGGGTTCAAGTGATTCTCCTCCCTCAGCCTCCTGAGTAGCTGTAATTACAGGCACCTGCCACCACACCTGGCTAATTTTTGTATTTTTTGTAGAGATAGGGTCTCACCATGTTGGCCAGGCTGGTCTTGAACTCCCAAACTCAAGTGATCCACCCGCCTCAGCCACCCAAAGTGCTGGGATTACAGGTGTGAGCCACTGTGCCCAGCCCCAGTTTTTTGTTGTTGTTGTTTTGTTTGTTTGTTTTTGTTTGAGATGGAGCCTCACTCTGTCTCCCAGGCTGGAGTGCAGTGGCGCGATCTCAGCTCACTGCAACCTCCACTTCCTGGGTTCAAGTGATTCTCCTGCCTCAGCCTCCTGAGTAGCTGGGATTACAAGCATGCGCCACCATGCCCAGCTAACTTTTTGCATTTTTAGTAGAGATGGGTTTCACCATGTTAGCCAGGATGGTCTCGATCTCCTGACCTCGTGTTCTGCCCATCTCGGCCTCAAAAAGTGCTGAGATTACAGGCGTGAGCCATAGCGCCCAGTCCAGTTGTTTCTTGTAAATGTTAATCTTTTTAAATTTAAAGTTTAAGTTCTGTGATGGTAAGTGGCCATGATGGGAAAATTAATCATAAATACCCTTAGTTAATTATAAGAGTAGAGAGTGTAAATGATCCACTTATTCATATAACTGATTGTAACGTAATTACTAAACTTCCTTCGAATGAAATTGTGCTGCTGCTCCTCATGTGTATACTTAAGAAGGCATGTTTTGAACTTGAAGTTCATCCTGAACTTAGCATGGAGTATAAAGCTAGGCTTGAAACTGATAAAATAAATAATGTCCCCAAGTTTATAATAATTAATGGATATGGCATAGATAAGGGAATTCATATTTTTAATGTTAAGGTAAGAGATTGAATTCATGCAAAGATAAATATTAATATAGAGGTGGAGCCAAGATGGCCAAATAGGAACAGCTCCAGTCTACAGCTCCCAGCGTGAGTGATGCAGAAGACGGGTGATTTCTGCATTTCCAACTGAGGTATCACGTTCATCTCACTGGGGAGTGTCTGAAAGTGGGTGCAGGACAGTGGGTGCAGCGCACCAAGTGTGAGCCGAAGCAGGGCGAGGCATCGCCTCACCCGGGAAGCGCAAGGGATCAGGGAATTCCCTTTCCTAGTCAAAGAAAGGGGTGACCAGATGGCACCTGGAAAACCGGGTCACTCCCATCCTAATACTGCGCTTTTCCAATGGTCTTAGCAAACGGCACAACAGGAGATTATATCCTGCGCCTGGCTCGGAGGGTCCTACACCCACAGAGCCTTGCTCATTGCTAGCACAGCAGTCTGAGATCAAGCTGCAAGGCAGCAGTGAGGCTGGGGGAGGGGCGCCCACCGTTGCCGAGGCTTGAGTAGGTAAACAAAGCAGCCGGGAAGCTCCAACTAGGTGGAGCCCACTGCAGCTCAAGGAGGTCTGCCTGCCTCTGTAGACTCCACCTCTAGGGGGAGGACATAGCCAAACAAAAGGCAGCAGAATCCTCTGCAGACTTAAATGTCCCTGTCTGACAGCTTTGAAGAGAGTAGTGGTTCTCCCAGCACGCAGCTGGAGATCTGAGAATGGACCCTCTTCAAGTGGGTCCCTGACCCCCAAGTAGCCTAACTGGTAGGCACCCCCAAGTAGGGGCAAACTGACACCTCACATGGCCAGGTAATCCTCTGAGACAAAACTTCCAGAGGAATGATCATGCAGCAACATTTGCTGCTCACCAATATCTGCTGTTCTGCAGCCTCCACTGCTGATATCCAGGCAAACAGGCTCTGGAGTGGACCTCCAGCAAACTCCAACAGACTTGCAGCTGAGGGTCCTGACTGTTAGAAGGAAAACTAACAAACAGAAAGGACATCCACACCAAAACCCCATCTGTACGTCACCATCATCAAAGACCAAAGGTAGATAAAACCAAAAGATGCGGAAAAACCAGAGCAGCAAAACTGGAAACTCTAAAAATCAGAGCACCTCTCCTCCTCCAAAGGAACGCAGCTCCTCACTAGCAATGGAACAAAGCTGGATGGAGAATGACTTTGATGAGTTGAGAGAAGAAGGCTACAGATGATGAAACTACTCCGAGCTAAAGGAAGAAGTTCGAACCCATGGCAAAGAAGTTAAAAACCTTGAAAAAAATTAGATGAATGGCTAACTAGAATAACCAATGAGAGAAGTCCTTAAAGGACCTGATGGAGCTGAAAACCAAGGCACAAGAACTACATGACGAATGCACAAGCCTCAGTAGCCAATTCAATCAACTGGAAGAAAGGGTATCAGTGATGGAAGATCAAATTAATGAAATGAAATGACGAGAGAAGTTTAGAGAAAAAAGAATAAAAAGAAACAAAAAAAGCCTCCAAGAAATATGGGACTCTGTGAAAAGACCAAATCTACGTCTGATTGGTGTACCTGAAAGTGACGGGGAGAATGGAACCAAGTTGGAAAACATTCTGCAGGATATTATCCAGGAGAACTTCCCCAATCTAGCAAAGCAGGCCAACATTCAAATTCAGGAAATACAGAGAATGCCACAAAGATACTCCTCGAGAAGAGCAACTCCAAGACACATAATTGTCAGATTCACTAAAGTTGAAATGAAGGAAAAAATGTTAATGGCAGCCAGAGAGAAAGGTCAGGTTACCCACAAAGGGAAGCCCATCAGACTAACAGCTGATCTCTTGGCAGTAACTCTACAAGCCAGAAGAGAGTGGGGGCCAATATTCAACATTCTTAAAGAAAAGAATTTTCAACCCAGAATTTCATATCCAGCCAAACTAAGCTTCATAAGTGAAGGAGAAATAAAATACTTTACAGACAAGCAAATGCTGAGAGATTTTGTCACCACCAGGCCTCACCTAAAAGAGCTCCTGAAGGAAGCACTAAACATGGAAAGGAACAACCGGTACCAGCCACTGCAAAAACATGCCAATTTGTAAAGACCATCGAGGCTAGGAAGAAACTGCATCAACTAACAAGCAAAATAACCAGCTAACATCATAATGACAGGATCAAATTCACACATAACAATATTAACCTTAAATGTAATGGGCTAAATGTCCCAATTAAAAGACACAGACTGTCAAATTGGATAAAGAGTCAAGACCCATCAGTGTGCTGTATTCAGGAAACCCATCTCACGTGCAGAGACACACATAGGTTCAAAATAAAGGGATGGAGGAAGATCTACCAAGCAAATGGAAAGCAAAAAAATGCAGGGGTCGCAATCCTAGTCTCTGATAAAACAGACTTTAAACCAACAAAGATCAAAAGAGACAAAGAAGGCCATTACATAATGGTAAAGGGATCAATTCAACAAGAAGAACTAACTATCCTAAATATATATGCACCCAATACAGGAGCACCCAGATTCATAAAGCAAGTCCTTAGAGACCTACAAAGAGACTTAGATTCCCACACAATAATAATGGGAGACTTTAACACCCCACTGTCAACATTAGACACATCAACGAGACAGAAAGTTAATGAGGATATCCAGGATTGAACTCAGCTCTGCACCAAGTGGTTCTAATAGACATCTACAGAACTCTCCACCCCAAATCAACAGAATATACATTCTTCACAGCACCACACCACACTTATTCCAAAATTGACCACATAGTTGGAAGTAAAGCACTCCTCAGCAAATGTAAAAGAACAGAAATTATAACAAACTGTCTCTCAGACCACAGTGCAATCAAACTAGAACTCAGAATTAAGAAACTCATTCAAAACCGCTCAGCTACATGGAAACTGAACAACCTGCTCCTGAATGACTACTGGGTACATAACGAAATGAAGGCAGAAATAAAGATGTTCTTTGAAACCAACGAGAACAAAGACACAACATATCGGAATCTCTGGGACACATTCAAAGCAGTGTGTAGAGGGAAATTTATAGCAATAAATGCCCACAAGAGAAAGCAGGAAAGATCTAAAATTGACACCCTAACATCACAATTAAAAGAACTAGAGAAGCAAGAGCAAACACATTCAAAAGCTAGCAGAAGGCAAGAAATAACTAAGATCAGAGCAGAACTGAAGGAAATAGAGATACAAAAAAACCCTTCAAAAAATCAATGAATCCAGGAGCTGGTTTCTTGAAAAGATCAACAAAATTGATAGACCGCTAGCAAGACTAATAAAGAAGAAAAGAGAGAAAAATCAAATAGACGCAATAAAAAATGATAAAGGGGATATCACCACCGATCCCACAGAAATACAAACTACCATCAGAGAATACTATAAACACCCCTATGAAAATAAACTAGAAAATCTAGAAGAAATGGGTAAATTCCTGGACACATACACCCACCCAAGACTAAACCATGAAGAAGCTGAATCTCTGAATAGACCAATAACAGGCTCTGAAATTGAGGCAATAATTAATAGCTTACCAACCAAAAAAAGTCCAAGACCAGATGGATTCACAGCCAAATTCTACCAGAGGTACAAGGAGGAGCTGGTACCATTCCTTCTGAAACTATTCCAATCGATAGAAAAAGAGGGAATCCTCCCTAACTCATTTTATGAGGCCAGCATCATCCTGATACTAAAGCCTGGCAGAGACACAACAAAAAAAAGAGAATTTTAGACCAATATCCCTGATGAACATCGATGCAAAAATCCTCAATAAAATACTGGCAAACAGAATCTAGCAGCACATCAAAAAGCTTATCCACCATGATCAAGTGGGCTTCATCCCTGGGATGCAAGGATGGTTCAACATACGCAAATCAATAAACATAATCCAGCATATAAACAGAACCAACGACAAAACCATATGATTATCTCAATAGATGCAGAAAAGGCCTTTGACAAAATTCAACAACGCTTCATGCTAAAACCTCTCAATAAATTAGGTATTGATGGGACGTATCTCAAAATATTAAAAGCTGTTTATGACAAACCCACAGCCAATATCATACTGAATGGGCAAAACCTGGAAGCATTCCCTTTGAAAACTGGCACAAGACAGGGATGCCCTCTCTCAGCACTCCTATTTAACATAGTGTTGGAAGTTCTGGCCAGGGCAATCAGGCAGGAGAAGGAAATAAAGGGTATTCAATTAGGAAAAGAGGATGTCAAATTGTCCCTGTTTGCAGATGACATGACTGTATATTGAGAAAACCCCATCGTCTCAGCCCAAAATCTCCTTAAGCTAATAGGCAACTTCAGCAAAGTCTCAGGATACAAAATCAATGTGCGAAAATCACAAGCATTCTTGTACACCAATAACAGACAAACAGAGAGCCAAATCATGAGTGAACTCCCATTCACAATTGCTTCAAAGAGAATAAAATACCTAGGAATCCAAATTACAAGGGATGTGAAGGACCTCTTCAAGGGGAACTACAAACCACTGCTCAATGAAATAAAAGAGGATACAAACAAATGGAAGAATATTCCATGCTCATGGGTAGGAAGAATCAATATCGTGAAAATGGCCATACTGCCCAAGGTAATTTATAGATTCAATACCATCCCCATCAAGCTACCAATGACTTTCTTCACAGAATTGGAAAAAACTACTTTAAAGTTCATATGGAACCAAAAAACAGCCCACATTGCCAAGTCAATCCTAAGCCAAAAGAATAAAGCTGGAGGCATCATGCTACCTGACTTCAAACTATACTACAAGGCTGTAATAACCAAAACAGCATGGTACTGGTACCAAAACAGAGATATAGACCAATGGAACAGAACAGAGCCCTCAGAAATAATGCCACATATCTACAACCATCTGATCTTTGACAAACCTGACAAAAACAAGAAATGGGGAAAGGATTCCCTATTTAATAAATGGTGCTGGGAAAACTGGCTAGCCATATGTAGAAAGCTGAAACTGGATCCCTTCCTTACACCTTATACAAAAATTAATTCAAGATGGATTAAAGACTTAAACGTTAGACCTAAAACCATAAAAACCCTAAAAGAAAACCTAGGCAATACCATTCAGGACATAGGCATGGGCAAGGACTTCAATGTCTAAAACACCAAAAGCAATGGCAACAAAAGCCAAAATTGACAAATGGGATCTTATTAAATGAAAGAGCTTCTGCACAGCAAAAGAAACTACCATCAGAGTGAAAAGGCAACCTACAAAATGGGAGAAAATTTTTGCAATCTACTCATCTGACAAAGTGCTATATCCAGAATCTACAATGAACTCAAACAAATTTACAAGAAAAAAACAAACAACCCCATCAAAAAGTGGGCAAAGGATATGAACAGACACTTCTCAAAAGAAGACATTTAGGCAGCCAACAGACACATGAAAAAATGCTCATCATCCCTGGCCATCAGAGAAATGCAATTCAAAAGCACAATGAGATACCATCTCACACCAGTTAGAATGGCAATCATTAAAAAGTCAGGAAACAACAGGTGCTGGAGAGGATGTGGAGAAATAGGAACACTTTTACACTGTTGGTGGGACTGTAAACTAGTTCATCCATTGTGGAAGACAGTGTGGTGATTCCTCAAGGATCTAGAAGTAGAAATACCATTTGACCCAGCCATCCCATTACTGGGTATATACCCAAAGGATTATAAATCATGCTGCTATAAAGACACATGCACACGTATGTTTATTGCAGCACTATTCACAATAGCAAAGACTTGGAACCAACCCAAATGTCCAACAATGATAGACTGGATTAAGAAAATGTGGCACATATACACCAGGGAATACTATGCAGCCATAAAAAAGGATGAGTTCATGTCCTTTGTAGGAACACGGATGAAGCTGGAAACCATCATTCTCAGCAAACTATCACAAGGACAAAAAACCAAACACCGCATGTTCTCACTCATAGGTGGGAATTGAACAGTGAGAACACATGGACACAGGAAGGGGAACATCACACACCGGGGCCTGTTGTGGGGTGGGGGGAGGGGGGAGGGATAGCATTAGGAGATATACCTAATGTTAAATGACGAGTTAATGGGTGCAGCACACGAACATGGCACATGTATACGTATGTAACTAACCTGCACGTTGTGCACATGTACCCTAAAACTTAAACTATAATAAAAAATATATGTATATATATATAAATAAATTAAAAATAAAATAAAAATTACAGAATTCCCATTTCACTCTTTTTATAGATGGAACTCTTTGATGAGATGCTCCATCTTTCTCTCTATTTTCTAAAACATATTAATCATGGCTATTTTAATATTTCTGTCTGAATACTCAATATCTGTTTCTCCTATGGGATTATTTCTGTTGTCTGCTTTGGTTTTTCTTTGGCTTTTGGTGAATGGGTCATCATGCCTACTGATTTCTTATTAAATGCTGAGCATTGTGTGTGAGAGATCATAGAGACTCTGGTTGGTGTTACCTTTAGCTAAAGAGGGTCAAGTTATCTTCTGGCAGTCACACAGAATACTGTCAGAGCCCCACAGTGTGGTCCATAGGACGTAGGCAGTTTGGACACAGGATTTCCTTTTGATGTTTGCAAATTGCTTTGCTTTACAGTAGTTGTAATTATACTGTACATTTATTTTGTTCAATTTCTCTCTATGTCACAGCCCAAACAAGCACTAAAAGGCACCCATAGAGGTTGGAGTTTCAGGCATATGTAAGGAAAAGGGCCAGTAGACACTGATGAGCATTTTTGTGATGTGATTTTCATCTCTTTCCAGGACAAATGGAAGAAGACCATTGCTGATGCACATCTGAAATCTTCTGAACACATTTCCCAGTGACCCCGAACACTATTATGAAGTATACCTTCAGTCACAAGGTAGTCATTCAGGCTGCTCTCACAAAATACCACAGAATGGATCACTTATAAGCAACAGAAATGTAGTACTCACAGTTCTGGAGGCTGGACATCTGAGATGAGGGTGCAGCATGGTCAGGTGCTGGTGAGGGCTCTCTTCAGCATAGTATTCACAGTTCTGGAGGCTGAACGTCTAAGATGAGGGTGCAGCATGGTCAGGTTGGTCAGGTGCTGATGAGGGCTCTCTTCAGCATAGTACTCACAGTTCTGGAGGCTGGATGTCTGAAATTAGGGTGCAGCGTGGTCAGGTGCTGGTGAGGGCTCTCTTCGGGGCTGCAGACTGCTGTCCTCTCGCTGTGTCCTCACACGGCAGAAAGAGAGCAAGAGAGCTTGCTGGGGTCCCTTTTATAAGGGCACTAATCTCATTCATGAGGGCTCCATCCTCATGACCTAATTTTTTCCAAAAGGCCCCACCTTCTAATAACATCACACTGGGGGCTAAGATTTAAACACATGAATTTGAGGGGGACACATACATTCAGTCTATAACACCAGGGCAGTGCCCAAGTGAACAGGTTATGAGTAAAGGACAAGAAGTAAACTCATTCGCCACCAGTCATTTCATCCGTTAGTATGCTGCTCCACCTCTTCTCTTCCGGAACCCTTAGACTCCTGCCCAGAAGTGGTGTCTAACATTACCAAACTCATCCACCCTTGCCAGAATACTTTCCTGCATCACAACGACCTGGTTTACAAATTCAGCCATCAGAGCTTCCATTTTAATAAAGATTGCCAGGTCGCCATGACCACACAGTTTTGTCTTGGGCTTTGCATTGCCTGAGACCTCTATAAAACAACCAACTGCCTAAGACACAAACCCTGGTGATGGGTGCTTTCACTGTGGTGGTTGGACAAAATACGGCATAGAGATAGTCCTCAAGAAATGAATGGTAGCTGAACTTGAGGCAGGGCAAGGCCAGTTCTAGCATCCCGAACACCTGACTTCTAGCCAGGGTTCTATCTGCCCTCACATCTCCCCAAGGATCCATCAATGGCCACTCCACTCAGACCCCCAGCCTGGGCAGACTCCCCTCTATGCACTGGTAATGGGGGAGTTCCTGGTCCAGTATTGATCTTCTCATCAGTTTTCACATTCAGTCCATAACACCAGGGCAGTGCCCAACTGAACAGGTAAAGGACAAAAAGTAAACTTCACATTCATGGGACGATCAATGCTGAACCAGTAACTATATAAGTTCTGCCATCTTGTGGCTGTTCAAGATATTGCAAGCAGGCCGGGCGCGGTGGTTCACATCTGTAATCCCAGCATTTTGGGAGGCCAAGGGGGGGCGGATCACAAGGTCAGGAGTTCCAGACCAGCCTGGCCAACACAGTGAAACCCCATCTCTACTAAAAATACAAAAATTAGCCGGGCATAGTGCCGTGCGCCTGTAATCCCAGCTACTCGGGAAGCTGAGGCAGGAGAATTGCTTGAACCCGGGAGGCGGAGGTTGCGGTGAGCAGAGATCGCACCACTGCACTCCAGCCTGGGTGACAGAGAAAGACTTCATCTCAAAAAAAAAAAAAAAAAAAAGATATTGCAACCAATACAGAGAACAGGAACTGGTATTACATATGGAGAAAGCAATAAACTTTGGGAACAAGTTTTTGGAAAGTGTTCAGCCTCTGTTAGTCCACCATCACCCCCACGCCCCTCCACACACACTGTTTACACTGTGGTGGAATTGATTAAGTGTAGATGGATTCAACCCTTAAGGAAAACAATAGAAAGCATGTACCTTACAAGAGCCTCGGAAATGCTCATATTCTTTGATAGAGTGATTGGATCTTCATCTCCTGAGAGTCGGTCCTATAAAAAATAGTCATTGCTTCAGGACATTGATGTAAGTGGCACAAGGACCAGGGTCAAGCAGGCAAAGACAGAGGCAGAGACTAGAGATCCATGAGGAGTGGCCAGAAACAAGTGCCCTTACCCCCAGCCCAAGCCAGGACAGGAACTGGACTAGAGTAAAAGAGGACCAGGAGCACAGCCAGCCAGGATGCTTGGTAGGGGTTCAGGGAAGGGGGAGGCTGAGCCTATGCTTTCCAGGCAGATGGGAGCCATCTGGGCTCAGCTGAACCATCAGCCAAGCCTGGGCTCACCCAGCCCAGCTGGGTTGCAAACTAAATCTAGACTCTAACCAAATTGCAGACTCTTTCTAGACCCTACCCTACCAAGTAAAGAATGACCTTTGAGAAGAGGTAAAACTATGTTTAAGACCCTCAGCTGGGTGAGGTAACAGGGGTGAACATAGAGTGGACAATGGCTAGTGGGCAATGGGAATGGGCAATGATTGACAGGCAGCTGGCTGTGCACGGCAACCATGGGTCTAAAGCATGCTAGGTCTTATGCTAGGGCTTTACATTGGATGGTCACCACAGATAAAAGGAGATCCTGAGACCCGGGGAGGCTAAGTGATGTAAGCAGCTGAGCTAGTATTGACTAACCCACATTCATTCATTCAGCAAACACTGAGTACTTGTTCAATGCAGGCACTATGCCAGTTTTCGTGGGGACATCCCGTCCTCCAAGAGCTGAGGGTGAGATGTAGTAAAAGATGTCAGGGAGACGCCCCGAAGACGGTGAGGCTAGCAGAAGGAAAAACATGAACAACACGGGCATGGAGATGTGTGGTGAGGGAGGGGAGGGGAGGCAGAAGTTCCAGCAGTAGTGTTGGCAGCACTGGAAAGGGAGAAGGAGGTGGAGTCATCTAGTGGCTGCTCGAGATATTGCAGGCAAGGAAAGGAAAATCACGATGGCTGTCATTCACTGAGCATACTGCATGCTTTCTTTACATCCATTTACTCTTCACCACAACCTCATAAGATGGGCCTCATTTTATCCCTAATTTGCATATTCAGTCCCTGATATACCCTCGTTGGGGTACATCCCACTAATATAAAATTGGCAGGATGGGATTTGCTCAGGGAAATTTGGCTTCAAGCTCATGCACATAGCCACTAGGCTACACCTGCCTTGAGTTTAGATTCCTCTCGCAGATGTGAATGGCTGTATTCCAGCAGGAAAGGTCTCCCTAGCTGCAGTGTAGAGGAAAACTTGGGGGTAAAAATAAAAACAAGGGAGCAGGCAGCTGCAAACATCAGGCAAGATCGAGGCTTGAACCTGGAGGGAGATGTGTTGGAAAGAACCTGGAGGGAGATATGTTGGAAAGTGAAACTCAGGGACTGAGGGAGAGGGGGATTCTGGGTGACTCCCCTATCTCTGGTCTGGGTGAATGGATGCCACTTACAGGAACAGAGGACTCAGGTTGGTGAAAGATCAAGAATTCCATTTTGGACCTGAGGTACCTGTGGAGCTGTGCAGGAGGGAGTGGAGCTGAAGGCGCTGATCTAGAAGTTGATACTTTACTGGAAGCAGTGTAACTGAGTGCAAGGGATAAGGTCTCCATGTCAACACATAGCTCTCGGAGACCTCCTATATTCCAGGACACTTGCACATTGCAATAAAGAGGTGTATGTGGTCTTTGCCTCACAAAGTTCAGAGTTCACAATCTTGTTCAGAGAGATGGGCGGCATGACCAGGGTGAGCCTGCAGGCTCACAGAAGCTTGATGAGCTGAGGGCAGGTGGTCAGGAACAGCTTCCCAGATAAAATGGTGATCATCCTATTATACTGAGAGCGGAAGAATCAGATAGACCATCTTACCTTTCAACAGGGAGCCGGACAATAGTGTTTTTGGTGACAACAGTCTCAGCAGAGTGTTGGGGAGAGCGACAAGGCTATAGGTGCTGAGTAGTGAGTGGGAAGGATGGAGGTGGACACAGCAAATGCCACCACTCCTCTTAGATGCTTGACAGGGTCCCTCCCCACTTTCCCACATGCATGTTTCCAAATGGACTGCATGCTCTGCAAAGGCAAACACTGTTGGCTTCTTTATCTCCCCATTTCACACACACACACACACACACACACACACACACACACACACACACCCCAAAGAGAACCCTATGCTGGGGTAGAATTTGCAATAGATTTAAAGTCAAAAGGCCAGGGTTCAATGCCACTAGCTGGCTATGTGACCTTGGGCAAATCACTTTTCTCTCTCTGAGTCTGCATTTTTTTCCTCTAAAACTTGGGCTCAGTTGTAATCACCTGGTAGGATCATTGTGAGGCTCCAATCAGAAAGTGTCTTACACATCATACAGTAGCCCTCAGATTCAATGTAGAAAACAGCACCAGCAAATGTAAATTAGTACAACCATTGTGGAAGACAGTGTGGTGATTCCTCAAAGACCTAGAACCAGAAATAGCATTTGACCTAGCAATCCCATTGCTGGGTGTGTACCCAAAGGAATAAATCATTATATTATAAAGATACATGTGGCTGGGTGTGGTTGCTCATGCCTGTAATCCCAGCACTTTGGGAAGCTCAGGAGGGTGGATCATCTGAGGATAGGAGTTCGAGACCAGCCTGAACAACATGGTAAAACCCCGTCTCTACTAAAAATACAAAAAAACAAAAAAATTAGCCGGGTGTGGTGGCAGGCACCTGTAGTCCCAGCTACTCGGGAGGCTGAGGCACGAGAATTGCTTGAACCCGGGAGGAGGAGGTTGCAGTGAGCAGAGATTGCACCATTGCACTCCAGCCTGGGTGAGGGAGTAAGACTCCATCTCAAAAAAAATAAAAAAATAATGATACATGCAAGCATATGTTCATTGCAGCACTATTCACAGTAGCAAAGACATGGAATCAACCCAAATGCCCATAAATGATAGACTAGATAAGGAAAATATGGTACATATATACCATGGAATACTATGCAGACATAAAAAGGAATGAGATCATGTACTTTGCAGGGACATGGATGGAGCTGGAGGCCATTATCCTCAGCAAAGTAACACAGGAACAGAAAACCAAACACTGCATACTCTCACTTAAAAGTGGGATCTTTTAAGTGAACAAAAAAGAGGGGAACAACATACAGTGGGGCCTGTTGGGGCAGGGGTGGGGAGAGCATCAGGATAAATAGCTAATGCATGCTGGGCTTAATATCTAGGTGATGGGTTGACAGTTGCAGCAAACCACCATGTTTTTACCTATGTAACAAACCTGTACATCCTGCACATGTAGCCTGGAACTTAAAATAAAATTAAATTAAAATTAAAAAGAAAACAGCACCACCACCATCAAGGAAAGCCTGTTCCCAACCTCCAATTCCAGCTCACTAGCTCAGCCTGTCTCATTCCCCTTTTTCTCTCTCCCCTCTCCTCCCTGCCCCTTTCCTCACTTTGCCCCCACCTGTCCTCACCATCCCACCCCATACCTCCAAGCTCACAGCTAGAACTGACCAAAGGCCCAGTTATTTATTTACAAAGTCCATGTCCAGAACTGTACCAGCCTCAGCGGTGTGGAATAAACTGGTGTGGCCAGGTCCATTGTGCTGATGCCTCAAGAGATCCAGGCTGGTACAGATGGGTCTGGCACATTCTGTACCTGCCAGCCAAGCAGAGCATCCAGCTTACTTCTCACTCGACTCCTTACATAACGCTCGTCGGGTACTCTCCATTCCTTGGGCTTAAATTCCATAGTGTAATATTAGTAAACCAGGCTAAATGATCCTAAGGATCTTGCTAGCTCTGACGCACCGTGATCTTGCATCCAATTCAGTTCACTCTGTAATAAATAATCATAATAACAATAGTAATTTTCCAAATAGCTAACAGTTATTGTGTACTGTATGCTAAGCACTATTCTATGTATTTCATGTGAATGTTTAACATTCATAACACCACTTATCATGTAGACATCATTTACTGCCCTAATTTACAGTGAACTGGAGCTCCGAGAGTCACGTTGATTTAACCACAGTCCCAGGCTACCAAGTGTCCAAGCTGTGCTGCTTCCAAGCTGCCTGACCCAGACCTGAGCTCTTAACCTCTCAATGGGCATCCAGGTCGAAAGCAGAATCTCTGGCTCAAGTGCCGACTGCCCAGCTGTTTCAGAACTCCACCATGCACCCAACTGCTCCTCCAGGACTTCCCTACGGATGTGTTGCAGGCTCTGAAACGTCACACATCCACGCCGCATCCTCATCCCACACATGCTCCTGCTTGTCCCTGGCATCTGCCATTCTCAGTGCCATTCACTAGCCTATATGATGCCTTCGAATCAGAGGAAGTTACCTCTCCCTCCAGGGATACGGGCCCACACCTGGTCTCAGGGACCCTTTAGTGGAGGCACAGTCTATATAGCCCAGAGCAGTGCCCCTGATGCCATCGTCTTCCAATTTGCTCAGAGCAGACACTGGGATTCATCCTTAATATCTCTCTCTTCTCTCTCTCTCTCTCTCTCTCTCTCTCGCGGAGGCCCCACTGCCCTTGCATTCCACAGGAAGTCCCAGTTGCTGGCATGACCTGAGAGGTTCCTGGGACCACGCCATGGAAATGCGTCCGGTCCCAGTGTGACGGGGAAGAGCCGCGCCTGAAGCTCAACTTCCGAGGCTCTCATCAATCTACGCTTCCTTTGGAGCGTGCAGCCACCAGGTGGCAGCCGAGGCCACGGGCAGACAGAAAAGCTCCCGAAACTGAAGGACTGCCAGGCAGCAGAGTTCCGGAGGGCTCCCAGGACCTTCAACCAGAAAGAGACAGAGCATATGCGCATATGTATGTCTGAGCCCGTGCACGGAGGAGGAGTATGAACAGACACCGCGGGACAGATGGCTGGAGTTTAGTCCCTTCCTTCGGGGCTCTTCACCACTCCTTGGGCTTCCCTTCTCCTGTCCAGCCCTGTCCTGGGTGCACAGAGAGGGAAGTCACTCCATTCCTGCCCTTGAGGAGCTCCCAGACCCAGGGCAGGAGCAGGATGCAGACAAGTAGACAGCACCCTGGGGTGGGTGGAGTGAGTGGGGCAGGTGGGGCGGGTGCAAAGAGAGGGAGGAGCAGGGGCTGAAGTTGCCCGGAGGAAGTGCTGAACCCAGGAGTGGGGAAAGGAGCATCTGGGAAGAAATGGCATCTACGCTGATCATGGAGGGCTTTCTGGCAAGTCTCAGGAGCAATAATAACACGGATGTCATCTCTGTTTCCTCCCAGCAGCCCTGCAAGGAATGTACTATAGAGCCAATTTTACCGGCAAAGGAATGGAAGATCTGAAAGGCTAGGCGATCCCACAAGCATCGAGGAGCAGGCTGGAATTTGAACCAATCGGCATGATTCCCAAGCTCAAGCTTTTGGCCACCCCTGCACTGCCAGGGACAAAAAAAAAAAAAAAAAAAAACCCTGGGAGGAGAGCCAAGCTAGGGAGTCAAGACCCTCCAGCCAGGTCTGGATGGGAGGCAGGTGCCTCCACCCTGGTCCCAGAGCAAGTTCTGCTGGCTTCAGCCACCTGACTTCCCTGTGAAGGTGGGTAGAGGCCAGAGCAGACTGTGTGTGATTCTGGCCCCAGCCCCAGCACCTCTACCCCCACCTTTACTACCCCTAGGCTGCGGGAAGAGGCTTTGCCCAGCAATAGTCCTGATCTAATGGATCCTTGAAGCACAATAAACAGATAGTATTTCTGCATGTGTCACTCTGAGTATGACGGCAGTAATCTTGAAACTCCCCTTGACCACCTGGCACTCTGGAGACGGAACTCCACAGCCTGTTTTCAAAGCCAACTCCTGGCTGGAAGTTCCTCTTCAAGTCTAAATGAAGTAAGCAGTGCTGCAGTCTTCCCTCAACTGTGCAGTTGCTGGGTGGAGGCTTTTCTTTTCTGCCTGAGTTTGGGTATAACCTATAATGTAACCCTATGAAACTTACATGTTTTAGGTGGGAGAGGGGAAAACAAGGTGCAAGCCCTGTTCCAGGAAGAGCAAAAATGTCCTCAACAGTAAGAGGACATTCTGGGCTGAGAGCCAGGGCTTGAGGCAGCCTGCAATCCTGGCAGATAGCTGGTGGAAGGGACCACAGAGAGATGATACCACACACAGAAGTGAGACCAATGAGATCGTGGGAACTGCCCGGCCAAGGGTTGACATCAAGGAAGCTTAGGAGGCAGGGGACAGCTGGGAAGGGGACAACCAAGAGAACCAGCTGGAAACTGAAAAGGGATGCAAGAGAGAAAGAGGAGGTGGGCACTGAGCTCAGGTGGAGGAGGAGAAAGGCAAACAGGAGAGAGAGAGGCAGAGGATGAGACAAAAACAGAGGTGGAGAGACTGAGAAACAGGGAGACAGAGATGGATGGAGGCTGGGAGAGACAAAGAGGAGACAGGCCTGGGCAGGAGAGGTCCTACGTGGGGAGAAAAGGTTGGGAAGAGAGCAGGAAAGAGAGAAGGAGCACAGGTGTCTGGAGGTTCCCACCAGGCCCAGCCCACCCCTCCTGCAGGCTGGGTCTCTCCCTTGTCTGCCAATCACGAAGCTCAGGATCCCCTCCCTCAGGGCTGGGGGTGGAGAGCTCGCCTCCAGCCCCGCCCTAGTCCAGAGGCTCCCCCTCCCCAGGCCCTGGGAGGCTGCCCCTGGGACTGGCTGTGCAGCGATAGATGGTGGGGGCCCAGCTGGTGCGTTATCAGCCTTCTCCAGGAGCGCGCCTGAGCCACTCCGTGGCTGCCAGTCTGAGATTAGGCCCCCGGAGGGTCATTAAGCGCCACCCTGGCCCGGGCCCAGCCTCCTTTCCCTCCCCGATCTGGCCAGGCTGGCAGGTGGGAATGAGCGATAAGGATTGGGGGTCTCAGCAGTTCTGGGGCCAGCAGCTCCCTGCTCCCAGCACTCCCCTCTGGATCAGGGCAGGAACATGGGGTGAGGGTGAAGGGCTGTAAGGTCAGTGCCGGCCCAGCCCCTGCAGGAGCCCCTAGGGTTCCCACTCTCCTAGATCTGCCCATATTGAGCAAGACAGAATGAGAAGGGGGCCAAGGAGGCTCTTGGAGAGGCCTCAGACAGCTGCTGGGGAGCAAGGTGAGCCCAGGCAGAAGCAGGCTTCTCCTGGCAAAACCTCACAGGTGTGAGGGGCTGGGATTCACTTGCTGCAGGGAGACAGGGATGGTGGCTCTGCCTTCTGGCCCTGGCAGGCTGGTGGAGTGACCTGACTCGAACCCACTCCCACCCCCCAGGGACAACTGAGGGCAGAGCTGGGAGGAAATGTGGCCTCGTGCAAGGAGAATCGGATCCGGCAGTCAGAAGCTTCCCACCAGGAGACAGGAAAGGAAGAGGGGACTGTTTGTGCCTTAGCAGAGGCCTGACCCTCTAGGAACCTCTGTCTCTCCTTCAGTGAGTGGAGAAGCTGGGCTGGCTGCTGGCCTGGCTTTGCCCTCTGGTCTAATCAAGGAAGACTTCCCAGAAGAGGAGGAACCTTGGTTGGGTCAAGAAAAAACAATGCGCAGAGTTTAAACTGGCAGAGGTGGGGTGAAAAGGCATGAGTCACAGGCAGCCACGTAAGCAAAAGCCTAGAGTAGAAATCACAAGCCACAGTTCATTAAGCCGAAGCCCAGAGAGGGGAGGTGACTTGTCTCAAGACACGCAGAAAAGCAAGGATAGGCCTGGAGCAAAGCCGCTGCTCCCCGACCCACAGGCCTCTTCCCTCTGCTGCAGGCTGCATCCTAAACCCAATGAGGTGAGAAGAGATGATTCCCATTTAAGATGAGTCTTCCCCAGTGGTACTTGGTGAAGCCTTGGAATAGCAAAACAATGGCCATAACATAAAGCAAGGGGGCTGTGACAGGTTGAGACAAGTGGCAGAGGGAGACCTTTGGGACAAGGTGGATGGCCTCCTACCTTCTGGCCCCACTTCTCTGGATCTGGGAATTATCCTGGATGAGTCTCTCAGGTTATCACCCTGGACAGAGACAGAAGCTGTTCGCATAAGGCCAACAGTCACAGAGGTGAGGGGCCTCCAGGTTCAGCCAGCCAGGCAAGGCATGCCTCCCCTCTCCCCTGCTCCTACTAGGACCCAGTTTCCTGATCCTCCCTTCCCAACCCTGACTCCCACCCCAGGACTGGGCATTGGGAGGGCAGGCATAGGCAAGGACTGGGCTCTCCTCCAGCTCTGCCGTGAGACTGGCCAAATCTTCCACGGAGAGAAAGCTCAGCTCAGAGAGGACAACAGCTTTCCCAAGTTCACACACAAGTTGCCAGAGGACCCAGGACTCAGATCTGGGCTTCCTGAGTCTCAACCCAAGACTGCTTCCTGACACTTCCTATGCCAAAGCCCAGCACGGAGGGGCTACTGGAGGGAGACAGAGCTAGATCTGTGTGAACCCACTGTGACACCTCCAGCACAGAGGCAGAGGGTGAGCGGCGCTGAGCAAGGAAAAGCCCAGAGTCTCAGGGATGAAGGATGTTTGGGGGCGGGGATTTCCAAGAGGGGCGCTACCTGGAGCAAGGGTAGAGTGGGTGAGCTCTCTGGCCCATGGGCCTCTGACATCCTCTTCCTTCCCTACATACAGGAAACTGATCAGCACTAGGGGAACCTAGCTCATATTAGGGTCTGCTCTGCCCTGCCCTGGGAAGCCTTGCCTGGCTGCTCTGGTTGAAGAAAGGGTTTGGCCTGAGGGGACAAAAACCAGCCCATTGGCAGAAATGGGCTCACCTGTCCTGGTCTCCCTGCCTCCCAGTTCTCCCAGGTGTCATCAGACACTCCCATTTGAGGGTGCTTCACTCTCAAACACCAGAAAGGCACCAACCCTCTCTTACCCTCACCCTGGCCACACACTCTCAGCCCCTCCCCAGCCTGGGCCCCCTCGGTCCCAGCTGCCCTGTGGGCACAGGGGCTTCCTGCATAATCCCCCAAAGCCACTACAACAGAGTCGGAAGGTGACTGTCATGATTCAGAAAGCAAGATGGGGACTCACTGGAAGCCTGAGGGGCTGTTGCTGAGCCTCAGCCCCAGAAATACAAAAAGTCTTTATTTCACAGAAATTAGGGCCATTTCCATAGTTATGGGGAAGGACGTGTGAGCAGGATGGGAGGTGCTCAGCTGACTGTCCTCTCCAGAAGGCTCTTCTGAGCTGAGCAGGAGACCCCAGGGCCACAGCCGAGCCCCAACCTAGACACGGTCTGAGCTCCAACCTTGGCTGGCTATACTTCAAGGGCGGGTAGGGCCGGCATGGGGCTGGAGGGAGTCAGCCCACTATTGCAGATTCCACACAAAGAAGGAGGGGGCTTGGGTGGTAGCACTGGACATCCATCCCATGTGCCTGGGAGTCTTGGGGTTGGAGCCACAGAGAAGGTTACATCGGGGTGCTGCGGACCTTGCCTTCCTCCTCGGGCACATTCTCATAGGCATTCTCATGCTCACTGGACCTGAAAGAAGAAGGCATGGGCCTGATGGGTCATCGCTCCTCCCATTCTATCCCCTTCTCCCTGCCCCTTCCTGCACTTGTGACAGTAATAGCTTCCAGAATAAACACTTGACTCCCAGAAGGGGATTGTCCTGACCACATCTGGGCTTATGCATCCGAGACTGGAGGCCTCTCAGCATCCCCTCCCTGACACCTATCTCCCTCCTCCTGTGGACTGCTGCACCACTGGGTCCTACTGAGCCCATCCCCCACCGAGCCCATCCCCCACTGACACCATGCTCCACTAAACCCATCCCCCACTGAGCTCCATCCCCAACTGAGTCCATCCCCACTGAACCAATTCCCCCATTAAACCCATCCCCCACTGAGTCCATACCCTGCTGAGTCCATCCCCCACTGAGCCCATGCCCCACTGAGGCTGAGTCCATCCCCCACTGAACCCATCCCCCACTGAACCCATCCCCCACTGAATCCATCCCCCACTGAGCTCCATCCCCCACTGAGCTCCATCCCCCACTGAGTCCATACCCCACTGAGTCCATACCCCACTGAGTCCACACCCCAGTGAACCCATCCCCCACTGAGTCCATACCCCAGTGAACCCATCCCCCACTGAGCTGCATCCTCTACTGAGCCTTCCCCTCACTGAGTCCCTCACTCATTTGTTCCTTCCTCCATTGAACCCTTTGTCCCCATTGTACCCACTGCCCTATGAGTCCCCTCCCCTACGCTGAACCCTACCCTACCAAGTCTCCGTCCCCTTCTGCAGCCCTCGCCCCACACAGGGGCTGCATTTTCCCCACAGAGCCCTGCAATCCTCACAAAGCCCCCATTGCCTCACTAGCTTTTGCCCACATGAGTCTCCGTCCTCCCCAGCCACCTCCCCCCAGCAGCACCTGTCTTGAGATTCTCCTTAGGCCCTGGGAGCACAGACCGGGCAGCCCTGCCCTGCACCTCACCTGAAACTGGCCGCCATCGAAGAGTACCTTCCATCTGTTCCCACCAGGACTCCATCTGCCTTGTTTCCGACGGTCAGGATCATGTGTGCAGGCTCCCTGGGGATGGGATTCATCAGTGGGGCTCCTCAGTGGGGCCCCCCTCGTCCAAGCAGACCCTATTCTGGGTCCTGGTTCTCACAAGCCCGAAGGCTAGCAACTGCCCTTCCCAGAGCTGTGTGCAACAGGGCATGTCAGCCGCGGCTACTGGCCCCACCCATGGGGTCTCTCACTTTCTCCCCACTCCATAGTGGGGGGCCAAATATTTGCAAAAGATTTATCCTGAGTCCAAAGCCTCTCTCTGTCCCAGACGCCCTCAGTTCAGCCTCCACAGCAGGCCCTGCAGGATGCAGTGTCTGCCCCAAATTTCCCCAGCTCGTGCCTTGGGCAGTGGGCACAGATGTGGTTGGTGGCCCTTCAGGCAGAGCTGGGGCAGGTGGAGAAAGTCTATCTGAAGGGCATTCAACAACAACCTTCTCGTCTCTTACTCAAGTTTAAACCCCCTGCAGTGTGGGCTCTCCCTGAAGCCTCCCAGAAGCTGCTCTCATGAGGGTTACAGGGACCCGAACACCTGCTCATTTCCTTAGACATCCCACAGGCACCCCAGACTTAATATGTCTCCAATTAAACTTAGCAGTTGCCCCTATGTCTGCTCATCCTCCTGTGTTCTGGGCCTCGGTGAGTGATCCGCCATGAGAAACTTAGATGCCATTCCTGCCTTCCTCCCCTCGAGTCCGCTGCTGTCTGTGACGACCAACTCCCAGGGTGCCCACCTCCTAGACAGCGCTCAGACTCGTCTCTTCACTTCATCCTCTCTGCCACCGCTACAGTCCAGACCCCCTCCTGACCTCATGCCCACCCCCTCACCACTCTCCAGGCCTGCAGACTGGAGACTCTTCCACCGCTGCCGTGCATCTGCCACGAGGCAGCCAGAGTCATTCTGCTAAGGCCGTGTCTCATCCCGAAACTGGCTTAAAAACTTGCCACTGGAGGCAGGGCATGGTGGCTCACACCTGTAATCCCAGCACTTTGAGAGGCTGAGGCAGGCGGATCACGAGGTTGGGAGTTGGAGACCAGCCTGGCCAACAGAGTGAAACCTGTCTCTACTAAAAATACAAAAATTAGCCAGGCGTGGTGTCAGGCACCTGTAATCCCAGCTACTCGGGAGGCTGGGGCAGGAGAACCGCTTGAACCCGGGAGGCAGAAGTTGCAGTGAGCCGAGATAGAGCCATTGCACTCCAGCCTGGGCAACAAGAGCAAAACTCCATCTCCAAAAAAAAAGAAAAAAAAAAAAAACTTGTCACTGGATTCCTGCTCACTTAGGTAAAGTCCAAAGCTCAGGTCATTGGTGTGCAAGAGCCTGGTTGGCCTGGGCCTGCCCACCTCACCAGCCTCATCTCAGGTGTCTCCATCCCTGTCTCCACCCACTGAGCCACTGGGGTTTCCTCAGCAACCCTGCATGGGGCTAGCACTCAAGCCACCAGGCCACCTTTGTGAGATCTGGGAAGAAATGCCCCTGGGAACAGAGGCAGCCTTGCCTGAGGGTCCTGACCTGGTGAGTGCAGAGTGAGCTGGATTTCAGCCCACCTGCCCTTCACCTGTGTGTGTCTGTCCCCAGCAGCCCTGGTGCCGTGCCCCTAACTCAGGACCTGGGTGTACCCTTCCCTCAACTGCAGCGCTCTTCCCACGCCACTCTATCCTGGTAGTGACTCCTCCTCGTTAGTCAGGTTTCGGGATAAATGTGCAATGGGGAAGCCTTCTCTGGCCACCCCGGACCAGGTCAGGCCCTGCAGTGTCCTCTGCGCTCTCCCTCAGCAGCAACTCTTGAACTTCTGACAGCTCACTCCAGTCTGAGCCTGTGAGGGCAGGAGGTGTGTCTGTCCCATGCCCTCTCTGTACCACAGCTGACCCACCCAAAGGAGGGACCGCACCTTCTAGAGGTCCTTACAGCCCCCATCACAGGCTGGGCCGCTATCCTGGCTCTGCGGAAACACCAAGACTCCAAGAAGCGAAGCCGTTTCCCCAAAACTCACAGGGAGTGGGCACCAGAGCTGTGGGGCCCACAGTGCCCAGGTCTGGGAGCCAGCAAGCCTAGGCTCTCATTCCCTCATCCCGACTGTCACCAACCCACCCCATGACCTTGAGCCTCAGTTTCCCTTCCCTTGAGCCTCAGGGGGAGGATTGGACACAGGGTTTCTGAGGCCCTTCTCACTGCTACTAGAGCAAGAGCAGTGGTCCTGGGCCCACCCTGCCTGCTCAGGGACCCTTGGGCAGCACTCACGGCTCCTCCTGGCACCAGAAGTGGTTGACTGCAAAGGCGATTGCAACGAGGACCAGGAACACGGCCACCGCGATAAGGCCCTGCATCCAGGGCTGAAGGTTCCCCAGGCCTAACAAAGGGAGAGGGGCTGTAGCAGACGGGGCCACAGTGGGGCTGCATGTGCAGGAGAGCGAGGGGCCTCACTCTTCAAGGACCCCACCTATGCTGAAGGCCCTCAGCCAGCTGCCAGGAGCAAGGAGACATTGTGGGGAGGCAGGGGTGGGATACAGCCCATCTGACCCACTTATGCATCTTAAGCTCCACCGAGCTTAGGAAAAGGAGGGAGCTGGAGGAACAACAGAGGCTCAGAGAGAAGGGAGTTGGAAGGAGTGAGAAGCCAAGGAGGGAAGAGCCTCAGTGCTGTATCTAGGCAGCCCAGAGCCTCTTTCCCTCCCGCAGGTGGGTCACATGCAGCCCCAGGGACCAAAGGGCAGCCCCCTGGACAGCCGGCCTAGGCCTTGCAGCTGGGAGTGGCTCCCAGAAGGCTGAGGAGGACCCACAGCTGACAAGACTGGTCTGGGATCTAGAAGATCCTGTTCTGTAGCAAGACGTTTCTCTGATGGTAGGAAGGGTATGAGAGTGGGAGACTCTCAGGGCTGCTCAGCTGGGGAGATCTGGGGTGCCTGGGGTACCCAGAGAGAGGAGTGGACCAGGACATCTTTAGAAGGGCAGAATGGAGGGGTGAACTCTACTCTGGGTCTTGGGGACCAGGAAAGAAGCCTCAAAACCTGAGCTCCTTTTGATTCCCCCAGCTGGGTGCCCAGGGACTAGGGCCAGAGATTAGGTTGAGGCCCCAACCTGCACCCTTCTCTACTTTTTTTATTTTTTAATAGAGACAGGGTCTTACTACGTTGCCCAGGCTGGTCTCAAACTCCTGGGCTCAGGCGAGCCTCTGGCCTTGGCCTCCCAAAGTGCTGGGATTACAGGCATGAGCTACTGCACCAGGTCCCTTCTCTGCTTTTTGACCCTTGACACCAACACAGTCCCTCAAGATTTTCCTGAAGTCCCTGCCTTCAGGCCTCTGCTTCCCCAAAGGACTTTCCTCTTCCCCAGCATCACTGCACTCCATGAGCCTGCAGGAGCTCAGCCTTGTAGAGAAAAGACCCTCAGCGGGGAGAAGTCCCAGGACAAAACACAGGTCAGCAGGGGGCTTCAGAGGGGTCCTGCCTCCAGGCCAGAATATACCTGCATCCCTATATTTTGAGGGACCCAAGCTGGACATGAGAAAACCTTCCTCTGGCTCACTCCTGCTCAAATGTCCTCCTTTGAGTCTACCAAAAGCTCTCCTGCTGCAGTGGAGGCCTGACCTCTTCTCCGAGCCTGGCAAATATTGGGAAGGAGGAAGGAGGCTAGGAACTCTCTGGCCTGTAGTGAGGTCAGACCTCACTTATCTCCAGGGGAAGCAGAAGACACACAGTGTGATTACCCTCAGTTCCACACCTGCCAAAAAGCAGTATTTGGGAGTCATTGTTTCCCTAGGGGTTCAGACTGCTCCCTCAGGTCAGTGGTTGCTCAAGCATGGGGAGTTAGGGCTCAACCCTTGGAGGCCCCTCCCTGTTTCCTCCTAGACCCTGCAGCCAATTCTCTCCAGTCACCCCAGGGACCACAGTCCCTGCTCCTCCTCCCATGCACATACAGCAAGGGGCAGTGTCTGGGGCAGGAGAAAGGTGGTCTGAACCCTGTCCTTTCTTGCCGTGCTCTGTGACTCAACCTCTCTGGTCTGCAGTTCCCCAGAGGGCTTCCAAGACCTGGGAGACAGAGTTGAAGCAGACACACATAAGAGCTCGGGGTGGGGGTGGGAGGGGAGCTCTGAAAGCATCTTTGCCAGTCCCCTCTGGACCAAGTCCCACCTGCAGAGTCCCCAGACTTTGGCTGCAGATGCAGCCTGACAGTGTAGAATGAAAGCCAGACCTTGGGTTAGTTACTTCACCAGGTGCAAAGCCCTTCTTCACCTCTGACCTGGCAGCAGCCCTGGGAGGTGGGCAGGGTGGGGTTTATTGTTCTCATTTTATAGGTGAGAAAACTGAGTCTCAGGAAGGGGCAGTGATTTGCTCAAGGTCACACATCCATTCAGGCAGAGCAGGACGAAGAGGTCAGATATTTGGGGGAGTCACACTGGGCACTGTTCTCTATCCAAGCCCAAGAGGCCGAGACAAAGCCCAAGTCTTTGAGGGGTGGCTTGGGCCCCACTCTCACCCTACTTGTACCCCCGGGTCCCCTGTACTCAGGACCCAGCCATCCCTTGGGCAATGCCTGCTCTTGGGGCTTGGGCCTCAAATCCTGTTCCTCCCTGAGATCCTAGAACCAACTGCTGCCAGTTTTCACTCGTTGAAAACAAGTGACAGGCAGAGACTTGGTTCAGAGGTCTCTGCCTTGGGACATTCTTTCAGCTAGCGCAGTCCCTGCTCCCCCTCCAAACTGTAAGTATCAAGGCCCTGGGGAGGGGAGCCAGAACACCACCTGTCCACCCCTGGGTCTCCCGTGCCCAGCCCTCTCCTCCTGAGCTACCTTGCTGACAGCTGGCAGGTGGCACTGCCGTGAGCAGGCCCAGAATGAGGAGGCTGAGGGCCGACATGGCTGCAGCAGCTCCTAGCCTTGCTTCTGGCCGCCGGTGTCTGGGCTCCTGGAGCTGCTGTGGAGTCTATTGGTGTCCGCCTGAAATCAACCTGGGCTCAGTCTGGCCCTGGAGGAGAGGAGCTAGGAAGGAGGAAGGCGAGGGAGGGAGGAGACACGAAGACGGGCGTCGGAGAGAACGTGCCCTCCCTCCCATGGTAATGAGCTGCCAGACCTGGCCTCCCCTGGCTGGTGCCCAGCTCACTTGGGCTGGCATTCGAGGTCATCTTCCAGGGGCCAGCTAAGGAGGTGGGTATGAGGAACAAGCAGATGTGGGAGAGTCCCAGCCTCACCTCCATGCCCTGAGCTCCCTTTTCCTGGCAGTGGGGCTGGATTCTAGGGAAAGGGGTGACACACAGTCGCTCCTGCCTTGACTGAGCCCAGTGGGCGGGGCTTCTTGGAAGGCTGACAGTGGGATTAAGAAATGTCCTGGCTGGCTCAGGAGCCTGGGGAAAACCCCAGAAGCCCAGAGAAGGCTCAAAGCTGCCAGACTCCGCCGAGAGCCTGGCCTATTTCCTGTTCTCCCCACCACCTGCCCCTGCCCCGCCAAGCTAAACTCTGGGACTCTAATGCTGGGACACACTACGGCTTCAGTGCCTTCCACGCCCTGGCCCAGCCCAGTAGCTTCCTAAATCCACCCCCTTCTGCAAAGATCTCAATAGAGGGCCTGAAGGTCCCAGTCCCCAGCTTTCACAGCCCATGCCCAGGCCCTGACCCAGCACAGCTAACCTAGTCCCAGTTCGGTTCTTCCTCTTGGCCCCAGATGTGGTCCCTGGAAACCGGGCAGGGCCTCAAAACAAGATACAGCCTTGGTCAGAGGCTTCAACACCCAACTTCAGATCCATCTCCACCCATGGCAGAGGAGAAAATGGGCAAACACAGCCTGCTGTGGGGGACAAAGGACGGACACCCCAGATGGCAAGGTGCGATCTGGGGCCCTGAAGCCCTGGGCCCGTCACCCTCATAGCCAAAAGCAGCATTGAGGAAGGCACACCTAGCCCCTGGAACAGGGAGGCCCTGGAGCCAGAGCCCTCGGAAGAGGCAAAAGCCTCCCCAGGATCACGTGGTGTCCACCTGGCCCTCCAGCTCAGGGAATGAGAATGGCCAGAGTTCCTGTGCAAGCCCCTGACCAAGGGTCATGCTGGTCTCCTTGCCCCACCCCCCACCCCAGAAGTATGGGAAGCTGAGATGCTGACTCCCTAGAAAGGAGCGGGCCAACTGGAACAAAGTCTCATCAGAGATGGAAGGTCCCCAGGAGCCAGCACCTGAGCTGAAGGCACCTCCACAGCCTCTCTTCCCTGAAGCCACCAAACTCCTATTCATCAGGCCTCCTGGGCAACCCTTCCTATGGCAGGTTGATTCTGCCTTCCTGCTCCAGCGGGAGCACTCAGACATCATGCCTCAGGCCTGCTTCCTGTGTGTGTGTGTGTGTGTGTGTGTGTGTGTGTGTGTGTGTGTGTGTGTGGTGTGTGTGGGTGTGTGTGTGTGTGTTCACATGCGTGTGCAGTCGGGCCCATTGCCATCCAAAGATGGAGTGTCTCAAGGTGATCTGGGAGAACTTTGCTTGGAGTTGAGTGATGCCTCCCAAACATGTATATCCTGGCCTCCCTCCCACACCCAACTTGGTGTCCTCAGAATCTTCTAACACAGACTGGAGTAAGCACTGTGCATGTTAATGAACAGCCAGAGAATCACTGATTGGAATGTAAGGAATGGGGCTGAATTTAACAAACATCTACTGGTGCCTTCTCCAAGAATTTTAGGGAGGAGAGTCACATGGTTAGTTTTGCGTTTGGGAAAACACCTCTCCATGCAGTGTGGAGAGTGAAAGGGGCATGCAAAGGCTGGAGAAGAGAAATCCAGGGATCTGCTACAGTGGCCACAACACCAGTGCCTGGACCTGGGCAGGAAGTGCCCATGGGAACAGATCTGAGCCCTGTTGAGGAGGTAGAGAAGCCGGGGTGTGGCTGCTGGAACACAGTGCCAAGCTGGGAGAATGGGTACAGGCAGGAGGCAGGGCTTCAGGTGACTCCCAGGTTTCTGGCGTAGGCAGCTGGGTAGATGCTAGTGCCTCAGTAGGGGCCAGAGCAAGTTTGGGGGGTTGGAGGATTAATGAGCTATAGATTTTGAGGTATTATGCTTGCAGTGCCTGTGGACTTTCCAGAGGGAGACATCTGGAAGGCTGCAAAATCCCTGCATCTGGAGTGGAACATCTGGGAGCCGTCTGCAGCACAGGGATGGTAACTGAGGCCTGGGAGCTCATGGTCTCCCCAGTGTGTGTAGCGGGGGTAGGGGTGTTGAGGGGAGAGCACAGAAAGAAGGAGACACGCCCCCAACACACAAAGGTCTTTCAAAGGAAGAAGGGGCAGGAGGAAACAGGAGGAAGCAACCCCAGGAAAGTGGGGTATCCCAGGAGCCAAGCAAGGACAGACTTAAGGAGGGTGGGGGGGTCACAGCTGTGCCACCCCCTCCAACCAGTGCCCTCAGCACTCAAGTCCCAGGTTCTGCCTTCCCCACCCCAGTATCCTCCACTTCCCTGAAAAACCCAGGGAAAGGAAAGGATCCCCTGGGCTATGCTTTGGGAGTGGTGGGGGAAGGGGATGAACAGGAAGGACACCAGGTGATCAACAGGAGGAAAACATACCTCCTGGGTCAAAGTCCCAAGCTTTAGAGCAAAACAAGTTGTTCCAGAAAAGAGGGAGCATGGGTGGACACTTGGCTTTGAGGCTGGTCCCTCCTCCCTGGAGGTCTTCACACGGGTGGAGGGTCATCTCCCCAGCTGTATGGACACAGCCCTGATCCCCATGGTAACAAGGTGGGCCCCCCTACTGGTCTGGCTGGGGCCCAGGGTCTGGACTAAGGTCTCAGCAGCCCCACAGGGCTGCACCGTGTGTCCTGAGCAGCTGTTCCATCGACGTTCAGTTCCTCCTTCCTGTTCCAGCCCAGCTGTCACGCAAAACCATCAGGCCCCTTAGACAAGCCCTCCATCCAGCCAGACCTTATGCGATTGCCCTTCAGAAAAGCCAAAGTGGGCCTGGACTGTTTCCAGCAGTCTCCTTCCTCCCAACCCCATCTTGTCAGCCATTCCACTCACTGCCAGCAGGTGGCAGTGTCTAGCTCCAATACCAGACTGGGCGTGCAGGGAGCCAGTTTGCTGCTGAAGATTCTGCAACTTCCCCTCCCTCCAGCCCCCACTTTTGCCCTCCTCCAGGGGTGGTCTGAAGAAAGGGACGGTGGACATTGACATGTAAATAGTCTGGGAACAGCATACAGGGAGTGCTCAGGGCTCTGACATAGGGCAGCGTGGTGGACTACATTGCTAAGGAAGGCATCCTGGAGGAGGTAATGCAGGCAAAGTTAGCCAGAGTGTTGTACTCGGCAGACAGTCTGGGGAGAGGAATCCAGGCAAAGAGCTTAGCCTGAGAAAAAGTACAGAGAACATTCAAGAAGGGTGTTTAGAACACAAATATAAAAGCTTTCTTTTTTTCCCTCTCAGTGTCTCTCTCTGTCACCCAGGCTGGAGTGCAGTGGTTCAATCTTGGCTCACTGCAACCTCCGCCTCCTGGGTTCAAGCGATTCTCTTGCCTCAGCCTCCTGAGTAGCTGGGATCACAGGCGCCCACCACCACACCAAGCTAATTTTTGTATTTTCAGTAGAGACGAGGTTTCACTATGTTGGCCAGGGTGGCCTCAAACTCCTGACCTGAAGTGATCAGCCCGCCTCGGCCTCCCAAAGTGCTGGGATAACAGGCGTGAGCCACCGCGCCCAGCTCTTTACTAATTCTTATAATACTTCATCTTGTTAATATCATTGCTGTAAGCCAGAGAGCTCCTGGAGACCTTGTTTTATTCTTTCAAACGTATCTTGCTTAAACCCTTTTATGGCATTCATCAGCCCTTAAAATAATATGCAAACTTCTTTGCATGGGTTTGAGGGCACAGGCAATCTTCCTTACCCACCACTCCAGCTTGGTCTGGCCCCGGAGCCTCCTGTCACTTCCTAACAAAAGCCAAGCTCTTTCCCACATCAGAGACTTCTCTCCACTTGCTCTTTTCTCTGCCTGGAACACTCTTCCACTCCTATTTGCCCAGCAAACTGATCTTCCTTTACATCCCTTTCTTCAAGAATACTTCTTTACTTCCCTTCTCTCCCATCTGAAGTCACTCCCTTCTATGAGTCTCCTTTGCTCATCTCCTCACAGCCATGATCACAAGTTGCAATTACACACTGATTTGTATGTTTACTCATTTAATAACTGTCTCCATGGAGGGAAGGTATCATGTCTATCTCTCCCTCAGCAGCCAGTACTGAGCACAGTGCCTGAGTACACACTCGACACACATTTTATGAAATTAAATGTCAGTATATGCAGTGCCTACCACTGGCCTAACAAAGAGCAGAAGCTCAGAGAAAGGTTGTTCAATGAATAAAACATTTTAGCTGTAGTTGAGTCCTTGTCTCTCTCCACTCTCTATCTGTGGGGCAAGGACTGTGTCTGATTCATCTCTGTATGTGAAGGAGAAGACAAGGCAACCATTCCTCTGACAGTTAGAGCTGTTCAGCCTGATATGAGGGTGTCCTGGAGGGTGAGCTCTCCTTCCCTAGACATGTAAGAGCAGAGGCCATGGACCAGGTCACCCAATGAGGTGTCTGCAAAAGGGGTTTGTCTTAGTCTCTTTGTACCACTTTAATAAAAATACCCTAGACTGGGTAATTTATAAAGAACAGAAATTTACTTTCTGACAGTTCTGGAGGCTGGGAAGTCCCAGATCAGGGCACTAGCAGGCTTGGCATCTGGTGAGAGCTGCCCTCTGCTTCCAAGATGACACATCTTGCTGTGCCCTTACACGGTGGGAGGGATGGAAAGGTGAAAGGGGCAAGGACACTCCCTTCAACCCCGTTTTTGAGAACACTAATCCATTCACGGGGGTGAAGCCCTCCTGACTTAACCCCTTTCCAAGAGGTCCCAGCCCTCAATATCACCACCTTGGGGTTTAAGGATTTTTTTGTTTTTTTTTGTTTTCTTCGAGACGGAGTTTTTGCTCTCATTGTCCAGGCTGAAGTGCAGTGGCACAATCTCAGCTCACTGCAACCTCCCCCTCCTGGGTTCAAGTGATTCTCCTACCTCAGCCTCCTGAGTAGCTGGGATTACAGGCCCCCGCCACCATGCCCAGCTAATTGGGGTTTAAGTTTTAACATATGAATTTTAGAGGGACATATACTGAAACTGTAGCAGGGTTGTAGCCCTTCCAGGTCTGGAGCCTATGATCCTGTGATTCCGTTAACAGAATATGATAGCTTTTCATATTTTGATAAGGTCCCAAGGAAGCAGGCTGGTTAGGACTGTGGTGAGCCCCTCTCCTCTCAGACTTAAGAATTCATTCACCTGGCTCCCCTTCATGTAACACTCCCTTCCCAGAGGGCTGTGGACAGAACTCTAGCTCATGAACATGGACAGGGAAACATTATATCTGTATTTCACTAACCTCTAACTTAAATTTACCACTTTCGGCCAGATGTGGTGGCTCACACCTGTAATCCCAGCACTTTGAGAGGCCGAGGCGGGTGGATCACCTGAGATCAGGAGTTCGAGACCAACCTGGCCAACGTGGTGAAACCATGTGTCTACTAAAAATACAAAAATTAGCCAGGCATGGTGGTGGGCGCCTGTAGTCCCAGCTACTGGGGAGGCTGAGACAGGAGAATCACCTGAACCCAGGAGGCAGAAGTTGCAGTGAGCCAAGATCACACTATTGCACTCCAGCCTGGGCACAAGAGCGAAACTCCATCTCAAAAAAAAATAAATAAAAATAAATAAAATTTACCATTTTCTTCCGTAGGATGAAGGCAACAAACCACAGACTGTCTGTGATATTTTCATATCACCATATAATTATTGCAGATATCTAGATATATCTTATACTCACCACTGTAGAAGTACAATAGTCATTGGACCTTCCACAAGATCTTGTTGTTGAATACATTATAAATGGACACATAAATCACTATATTACAAACTTATATTTTTAGTATTTTGATAAGTACATTTCAATATAACTGACTTCCTTTGCAATGCTATGCATTTTATTTTATGCACTTAAAAACATTATTGTGAGAGGCCGGGCACGGTGGCTCACATCTGTAATCACAGTACTTTTGGAGGCGGAGGCGGGCAGATCATCTGAGGTCAGGAGTCTGAGACCAGCCTGGGCAACGTGGCGAAACCCCATCTCTACTAAAAATAACAAAAATTAGCCAGGAGTGGTGGCATGTGCCTATAGTCCCAGCTACTCAGGAGGCTGAGGCAGAAGAATTGCTTGAACCTGGAAGGCAGAGGTTACAGTGAGCTGAGATCGTGCCATTGCACTCCGGCCTGGGTGACAGAGTGAGACTCGGTCTCAGAAATATATTAATTAATTAATTTAATTTATCAATAAATAAAAATATTACTGTGAGAAGGGGTCCTTAGGCTTCATCAGACTGCCCAAGGGTTCCATGGCACAAAGAGAGTTAAGTCCTGGCTCACCGGGAGCCTAGGGCATATCTGCTCAAAACAATGCCATGTGATCTTAAGGTCAGACCTGGAGAAAGATTGGCAGCTCTCTGGACAGAGGCTTTCTGGAGCACAGAGCTAGGCTCTATGATCAGATTGAATGGGTGCTAACGCCCACAGGGTCTCCAGTGTCTGGGAGCTGGAAGGGGCAGAAAGCACCAGCCCAGAGCCAGTCAAGCCAAGGAATGCACTGGCTGTGACTCCTGGGTCCTAGGCGACCCCATTGGGCTGAGGAGATTTATGGCCAGGACCCCACAGTGGGGGAAGATCAATCAACCCATCCTGCTGCCCACTCATCCAGCCAAGAAATTCAAGGGCTGGCCCCATGCCAGAAGCCCGGCCTGCCAGCAGAGGTCCCAAAGCCAAATCTTACCCTACTGGTTCCAAGCACATCCTTTCCCTACCCAGGGCTCCAGG
This sequence comes from Homo sapiens, assembly GCF_000001405.40. Taxonomy (NCBI): domain Eukaryota; kingdom Metazoa; phylum Chordata; class Mammalia; order Primates; family Hominidae; genus Homo; species Homo sapiens. Next base: position 47,196,941 of record NC_000001.11, read on the forward strand.
CCAGCAGTGGAAGCAAGCTGGGAGTACTGGGTTCTAGAATCACAATCTCTTCAAGCCTGAAAGCTCATTCTAAATGATGTAATCTTGCTCCTTATTTTTCAGCTGGGGAAACTGTGACCCAGAAATGGACAGTCATCAACTAAAAGTCACAGAGCAAGTCAATGGGAGAGATGGGGCTAAACTCCAGGAGTCCCTATGTCCAGCCCAGGGTTCAGTCCCTCTGTCAAGCACCTGCTATTGGTCAGTTTCTCAAATAACATCCTAGCTTTCTTTCATTCATTCACTCAACACATGTTTAGTGGCTACTATGGGACTGGAAATACAGTAGCCCTTATCTGAGATGCTTGGGACCAGAAGTGTTTCAGATTTTTTATTTTTTCTGATTTTGGAATATTTGTACACACATAGTGAAATATCTTGGGGATGGGACCCAAGTCTGAGCATGAAATTCATTTGTTTCCTATACACCTTATACACATAGCCTAAAGGTAATTTTTAGAATATTTTAACTAATTTTGTATGTGAAACAAAGTTTTGACTGTGTGGTTTCTTTTGTTTGTTTTTGTTTGTTTATTTGTTTTTTTGAGTCAGAGTTTCACTCTTTTTGCCCAGGCTGGAGTGCAATGGCGCAATCGTGGCTCAACGCAACCTCTGCCTCCCGGGTTCAAGCAATTCTCCTGCCTTAGCCTCTTGAGTAGCTGGGATCAGGCGCACAGGCGTGCACCACCACGCCTGGCTAATTTTGTATTTTTAGTACAGACGGGGTTTCTCCATGTTGGTCAGGCTGGTCCAACCTCCGGTGATCCATCTGCCTTGGCCTCCCAAAGTGCTGGGATTATAGGTGTGAGCCACCGCACCCGGTCTTGACTGTGTTTTGTCTATGACCCATCACATGAGATCACATGTGAAATTTTCCACTGGTGGCATCATGCTGATGCTCAAAAAGTTTCAGATTGAGAAGCATTTCGGATTTCAGATTTTTGGATTAGGGATGCCCAACCTGTAGAGAATAAGATCAAGATTACATTATACAGTTTTGTAATTACAGTTGCAGTAAATGTTTCAAAGGGAAGGTACAGTTGCTAAAAGTAAATAAAAGAGTTTGCCATCTAGTCTAGGAAGTCAGGAAAAGGTAGTATGAAATCTAAGATTCATTCATTGAACAAGTAATTATTGAGAGCCTCCTGTGGACCAGGCACTGTTCAAGATGCTAGGGATACAGGAATGAACAAAACAAAGCCCCTGCCTTTATAGAAATGACATTCTAGAGGGGTCAGCCAGGAAACAGACAGATAAAACAGTTCCAATGACAATATGGAAAAGTTCAGGATCAGGAAAATGGTGGGGGGGGGCTACAAGAAGAGGGTGTGCTATTTTATACAGATTCTCAGGGAAGGCGCCTCTAAGAAGTGACATTTGAGCCAAGAGTTGAAAGTGAGGAAGTAAGATGTTCAGCGGTGGATGGGGGAAGACCCCAGGCAAGGAGACAGGCAAGTGCAAAGGCCCTGAGGAAGGAGGCTGGAGGGAGTCAGTGTGGCTGAAGGGAGTGCAGGGAGAGCGGAGGAGATGAGGTTGGAAAGCAAGGGTGTGGCCCCCTCATCTGGCGTGTTGTGAGTGGTTGTAAGGACTCTGGCTTTTACTCCAATGAGACCAAAGAGCTACTGGAGGGATCTGAGCACAGGAGACATGATTTGACTGCCATGTGGAGAAGAGACAGTGGGAGAAAGAAGAGAGAACAGGGAGGCCGGCAAGGAGCCTTCCACAGTGCTCCAGGTGAGAGGCGAGGACAACTCAAGGCAACTGGGATCTGGAGCAGCTGTGGAGCTGAGGATCCGTGCTCTGAGTCTAGATGTATTTTGCGGGTAAACCCAACCTGGTCTGGAATGTGAGAGGAAGAGAGAAGCCAAGAATGGTTCTGAGGTTTTTAGTCTGCTCAGCTGGAGCAGACTGAGATGGAGAAGATTGCAGGAGGAGGAGGCTTTTTTTCTGAAGGAGGGGCAGGATTCACGAGTTTGGTTTGGAGAAAGGAATGTGAGTCTGGAGGTCAGAACTGAGGTCCAGGCTGGAGACGTACATTTGGGACATGTGGGTGCAGCCGTGGAGGCACTCCTCTAGGACCTAGAGAGAGAAAATCTGCAACAACTGGGGTTGGGGAGTGGTGTAGAAGAGAGCACCTCCAGGTTGGGAGGAGCAGGGAGGGAAAGTCACACCACACAATGAGCTGATGGGAGATGGGCCTGGCTGGAGAGCAGAGGGTGGTCAGGAAAGAGGTCTCGAGAGCCTTGCAGGACCTAAGAGATGCGGTCATCATCACCTTAGAGATAATACAGATAATACAGGTTTTAGGCAAAGATGCGATGTGGGAAAGTCTTGCATTTTGGCAAGCTCTCTCCAACTGCAGCTGGAAGAATGGTCCGAACAGGGAAGTGGGCAGTGAGCAGGCTGTGGAAGGGATCCAGGAGAAGGATGGTGATGGCTTGGGTTAAAACAGTGCACAGAGAGAATTGGAGGATGGAAGAGCAATTTAAGGGGTACAAGTGGCAGGATAAGCTAGCTGCATAGACGCAGAAGTGAGATATTCAAAAGAGTACAATCAAGGAGGTGCCTCGTCTTCTGATTCAGACAGTGCTTGAAACTTGGTGCTATTTTTTTTCTTTTCTTTTCTTTTTTTTTTTTTTTTTGAGAAGAAATATCTTGCTTGTCCCCCAGGCTGGAGTGCAGTGGTGCAATCTCGGCTCACTGCAACCTCCGCCTCCTGGGTTCAAGCAATTCTCCTGCCTCAGCCTCCTGAGTAGCTGGGATTACAGGCACCTGCCACCACGCCTGGCTAATTTTTGTATTTTTAGTAGAGATGGGGTTTCACCATGTTGGCCAGGCTGGTCTCGAACTCCTGACCTCAGGTGATCCACCTGGCTTGGCCTCCCAAAGTGCTGGGATTACAGGAGTGAGCCACCGCACCTGGCCGGTGCTATTTTTTAAACTAGAGGAAACTAGAAGAGCAGCAAGCTGGGATTGAGGAGAGGGCATGTGGTTATTCATTTAACACACCTTTCGTAGGTGTCTTCCTGTGCCAAGCACTGTTCTAAAGTACCATAGCTCCACAGCCGTGCCAAAGGGAGCTCACAGGTTAGTGGGTGCAGTGAGCAAAGAGCAATGCGCCGATGACGATGAGTCCCAGTGTGGACAGGCTGTTTGCAGCACCCGGAGGACATCTCAGGACGCAGCTCCATGTTTTGGTCTGGCATTCCTGGGAGGGATCTGTGCTGGGAATAGAGGCTTGGAATTCAACAGCTTATGGATGGTGACTGAGGCCTCCGGCAGGGATGACACGGTCCAGGATAGGGGGATGAGAAGCTGGGCTAACACCCGCCCTAAGCAACACCTGCTTAAATGGATGGGGAGGGGGTATCTATCTGAACTGAGGAGTAAATAAAGAAGCAATATACATTGTCTTCTAGACCACTTAGGGTAAGACTACAAGCATTGGCCACACCTCACATTTCAGGGCATGTGGAGTCATGGAACTGATTTCATTCAACATTTTAATTAACTAAAACTGTTTTCTTCCCTTGTTACTAATTTTGCCTTTAGTCTGTTAAATACTTGGAGGAGCTGAAATTTCCAGCCTGAAGAGTAGCAGTCTCAGAGGCCTCTGTCTCCAGATATCTGCAGGGCTGCACCAGATCAGAGAGAGAAACTGTGCTCTGTGCCCTCTGAGCATGGAGCTGAGGATGATGAAAAGAGTCACTGGGAGGCTGGATTTGGTTCAGTGAGAGAAAGCTGTCTAGTGATGACAGAGATGACCCTGAAAGGTGGTGAGCTTCCCATTCCCAGAGGTATGTGAATAGAAACCTTGAGCTTCCAGAAGGAGGTGGGCAGTGAGAGGTGTTGCAGGCATGTTTTGCCAGCCACACATTGGACACCCCTTGCTCAGTCAAGAAGCCACATCCAAACCCTCGGACCCTTTCACACTTGGAGCTTTTGTTTGAAAGGTCAGACTTCAACCCTCAAAATGAAGATGACTTTAAAAAGCTGGAGATGGACCAAAAAGTAAACAAAATGCAATTATAATTTCATAGATGGAAAGTAAAACAAATTTTTTTAAAAAGAAGAAGGAAATAAAATAATACATAAATGGGTGATCTGGGCTGATTCTGTGATTTTTTTCTTCTCTTTCTGTTCTTTCCAGAGTTTCTATAATAAAGATTATTTAGTTGAGGGGAGGGACAAATTTGTAGTTTCCAACTAAACAAAATAAGTGTGCATTAAAAGACAAAATCAAGTCATTTTTCGGATTTTTACTAATGCCTTTAAATAGCCCAAAAGTTGAACCAGAGGCCCACTTTGCCAGAGAATCTGTCCACAGCCAGGCAGGGCTGCTAGGGCCCAGTCTGCCTGCTTTCTGTAATTGGAGGCTTCCCCTCCCACATTCTTCCGCAGAGGCTTCCACGTGCCAGCACACACACAGGAGACAGCTGTGGTCCTGCCTCCAGCACAGTGTGGCGAGAGAAGCATGTAACTTCTTGAAGGAATGCCCACTATGTGCCAGGCACTGTGCAAGGTACTTTGGATTCATAACCCATTTATTCCCCACAATATAAGGTGAGTGCTATATCCCCATTTTACTGATAAGAACACGGAGGTTCAAAGGAATTAAGCTCAGAAAGCAGAATTTTAACCCAACTTTATTTGATTCCAAAGCAGAAATTGAAATTTTAACCCGTCTATTTGTTTCCAAAACTCTTAAGCATTATATTATACTATCTCCTCACATTTAAAATAATTGCTATTAAACAGTGAGCGCTGTGAAGGAGGCATATAATCTGAATGCCAGGAAAGGAGTCATTAAGTTCTTTTGGGAGAGGGGAAAACCAGGGAAAGCTTCCAGGAAGAGGTGACACTTGAACTGAGCTTTGAAAGATGATTAAGAATTTATCAGAACATAGCATATAACCTGACAGAGCAGATAGATGTTCAGTAATTTTTAATTAAATCAACTAATAAAGATAGTAACATTTACAGATGAAATAATATGAAGTTTGAGATTTGCTTCATAATAAGCCATTGTGGGGAGAGGGAGCATGGAGACAGATAGAAGTATAGGCAAAACAAGATTACTCACATGTTGACAATTGCTGAAACTGGATTCATGCCATTTATTATTCTCTACTTTAATATATGTTTGAAAATGTCCATAATAAAAAATTTAAGACAATTTTAAAAGATGCTTAGTGTTGGCCGGGCGTGGTGGCTCAGGCCTGTAATCCCAGTACTTGAGAGGCCAAGTCAGGTGTATCACCTGAGGTCAGGAGTTTGAGACCAGCCTGGCCAATACAATGAAACCCCATCTCTACTAAAAATACAAAAACTAACCGGGGAGGTGGCATGCGTCTGTAATCCCAGCTACTCAGGAGGCTGAGGCAGGAGGATGGCTTGAACCTAGGAGGCAAAGGTTGTGAGCCGAGATCACACCACTGCACTCCAGCCTAGGCAACGGAGGGAGACTCCGTCTCAAAAAATAAAAATAAAAATAAATGCTGAGTGTTCACTCTAACTATACTTTGACCTCTTTCAAAAATACTTGAAAGCTAAAGGTAAGTATCTTGAAAACCAAAAAACAAAAAAAAAAAACAGGAAGGGAGGGGGAAGGGAGGAAGGGAAGGAAAGGAGGAGGGAGGTGGGATGGAGGAGCACAAAAGAAGAAATTGTATCAATAAGGCAATCCCATTTATAATAGCTACAAAAAATAAAATAAAATACCTAGAAATAAATTTAAGGAAGTAAAAGACCTCTACAAGGTCAACTACAAAATACTCATCAAAGAAATTGAAGAGGACACAAACAAATGGAAAGACATCTTATGCTCATGGATTGGAAGAATTAATATTGTTAAAATGACAATAGTAATTGAAAGTAATTTATACATTCAATGCAATCCCTATCAAAATACCAAGATATTTTTCACAGAAATAAAAAAAATCTAAAATTCATATGGGACCAAAAAAGAGCCCAAACAGCCAAAGCAATCCTAAGCAAAAAGAACAAAGCTGGAGACATTACACTACTTGGCTTTAAAATATATTACAAAGCTATAGCAACCAAAACTGTGTGGTATTGGTATAAAAATACGTACATAGACCAATGGAACAGAACAGAGAAACCAGAAATAAATTCATATATTTATAGTCACCTGATTTTCAACAAGGATGCCAGGAACCTACATTGGGAAAAGGATACCCTCTTCAATAAATGGTGCTGGGGAAATTGGACATCTATATTCAGAAGAATGAGATTGTACTCCTATCTCTCACCATATACAAAAATCAACTCACGATGGATTAAAGACTGAAATGTAAGGCCTAGAACTGCAAAAGTACTGGAAGAAAACATAGGAGAAACACTTCAGGTTGATCGATCTAGGCAAAGACTTTATGGCTAAGATCCCAAAAGAACAGGCAATTAAAACAAAAATAGGTAAATGGGACTATATTAAACTTGAAAGCTTATCCACAGAAAAAAAAGAGTGAAGAGACAACCTACAGAATGGGAGAAAATATTTGCAAACTAGTCATTTAACAAGGAACTATATCCAGAATATACAAGAAACTCAGGAGCAAAACAAGAAACAATATCATTAAAAAGTGGGCAAAGGATCTGAATAGACATTTCTCAAAAGAAGATATACTAACGGCCAACAGGCATATGAAAGAACGTTCAACATCACTAATCATCAAGGAAATGCAAATCAAAACCACAATGAGATATCATCTTACCCCAGTTAGAATGACTATTATCAAAAAGACAGAAAATAACAGATGCTGGCAAGGATGCAGAGAAAAGAGAACTCTTATACACTATTGGTGAGAACATAAATTAGAACAGTGTTTATGGAAAACAGTATGGAGATTTCTCAAAAAACTAAAAACAGAACTACCATATCATCCAGGGAGCCCACTATTGGGTGTTTATCCAAAGGGAAAAAAATCAGTATTTCAAAGAAATACATGCATCCTCGTGTTTACTGCAGCACTATTCACAATAGCAAAGACATGGAATCAACTTGTGTCCATCAATGAAAGAACGGATAAAGAAAATATGGTGAATATACACAATGGAATACTATTCATCCATAAAAAAGGGTGAAATCCTGTCATATGCAGGAACATAAATGGAACTGGAGGTCATTATGTTAAGTAAAATAAGCCAGATACAGGAAAACAGATATTTCATGTTCTTATTCATATTTGGAAACTTAAAAAAATTGATCTTATGCAGGTAAAGTAGAGTGATAGTTACCAGAGGCTGAGAAAGGTGTGTGGGATGAAGAGAGGTTGGTTAATGGGTACAAACATCCAGTGAGATAGAAGGAATAAGTTCTACTGTTCAATAGCAGAATAGGGTGACTACAGCTAACAACGGTGTATTGCATATTTCAAAATAGCAGCCGGGCATGGTTGTTCAAGCCTGTAATCCCAGCACTTCCTAGCACCTTGAACCCCTGTCTTCCCCATTATCCAGCACTCCACACCTCCCCACTCTTCTCCTCCTTCTCTGGTTGCTCCTTCTGTCTCCTCCAGCTGTTTCTCTCCCCTTGCCCAGCTTTGAGATGCTGCATTCCTCAGAAATCTTGTTCCACTTCTCATTCCACACCCTCTTGGTGGGTGAATCCCATGATGTAAATTACCACCTCTATGTTGATAACTTCCAAATCTATATTTACAGGCTTGGTATTTCTGCAGAGTTTCAAGTCTGCATATCCAACTATGTTGTCAACATCTCCACTTGATTTCACAGACATCTCAAGCTCAGCATACCCAGAGTGAATTTACTCTTTCCCCTAAGCCTGCTCCTCTCCTTGTACCCCCTGTCGTTCTATGCTCCTCAGTAAATGGAACCACCATATAACTGGTTGTTCAAATTAGAAAAATTGACACCATCCTTGGGAGGCCGGGGCTGGTGGATCACCTGAGGTCAGGAGTTCGAGACCAACCTGGCCAACATGGTGAAACTCCATCTCTACTAAAAATACAAAAATTAGCTGAACGTGGTGGTGGGCACCTGTAATCCCAGCAACTTGGGAGGCTGAGGAGGAGAATCACTTGAATCTGGGGGGTGGAGGTTGCAGTGAGCCAAGATCGTGCCGTTGCACCCCAGCCTGGGCAACAAGAGCCAAACTCTGATTCAAAAAAAAAAAAATAGCTAGAAAAGAGGATTTGAAATGCTCCCAACACAAAGAAATGACAAATACTCGAGGTGATGGATGTCCTAAATACCCTGCCTTGGTCATTATACATCCTATGCATGTAACAAAAATCACATGTACCCCATAAATATGTACAAATATTATGTATCAATAAAAATAAAATAAAAAAGAAGAAATTACAATAGTATATATGGGTTACAGAGCTTGAGTTTTGAAATGGGACACATATAAGTTGGGATCCGGTTCTGCTTTTTCCTCGTGGTGTGACTTTAGTGAGTCCCTTGCCCCCTTGGGTTTTAGTTTATCCATCTAAATAATGGGGGTGATAATAGCACCCTCCTCTTGGGTTTGTTGGGGGAGTGAGGTGAGAAGGTGCTAGAAAGCACTTGGCATAGTGCTCACTGAGCACTATGACCCAGCCCTGTCTGCATTATACACCATCCAAATGCAGATCTCTCCCAAAGTTACATTTCCAACCCAGACCACTCCACTGACAGGGTCTCAAACGTAAGATGTCCTGAACTGAGCTCCTGAGCTCACCCCACTGAAAACCAGCTCCTCCCACAGCCTTCCTGCTTAGTATGCGGTGTTCTGGCCCTCCAGCGATTCAGAGGAAGGATCTCATAGTTGATTTTGACGTTCCCCTCTGACGCTTTCCACACTGGATCCATCAGTAGATCCTCTTGGCTCTTTCTAAATATATCTAGACTTCTATAATAATACTTATTACCACCTCCATTGCTGCAACATCCAAGCCCCTTATCGCTCATTAGCCTTATCACAATAGTGTCCTAACTGATCTCCCCAATTTTGCTATGCTCCATTCTGTCTGCTCTCACCATGACAGCCAGAGAGATTCTTTCGAAAATTTAGTCCCTTGCCTATTCAATATCCTCTGATGGGGCCAGGCGCAGTGGCTCACACCTATAATCCCAGCACTCTGAGAGGCCGAGGCTGGAGGACTGCTTGAGCTCTGGAGTTCGAGACCAGCCTGGGCAACATAGTGAGACCTCATCTCTACTAAAAACCAAAGGCATGGTGGCGCCTGCCTGTGGTTCCAGCTACTCAGTGGGCTGAGGTAGGAGGATTGCCTGAGCCTGGGAGATCAAGGCTGCAGTGAGCTATAATTACACCAGTGCACTCCAACCTGAGCAACAGAGAGGGACCCTGTCTCAAAAATAAATAAATAAATATAAATAAAAGAATAATAAAACAAATCCTCCAATGTTATTGCATCCCACCCAAAGTAAAAGCCAAAGTCCCTATGTGGACTAGAGGCTCCATGTGGTACCTCTCCAACCCATCTCTCACTCCTCTCCTCCTCATTCCAGCCATTCCTGCTTCCTTGCTGCCCTGAACCAGTCCATGCCAGGCACACTGCAGCCTCAGGGCCCTTGCACTAGCTGTTCCCCTCCATTACACTCTTTCCCCAAATATCTGCATGGCTTATTGCCTCATCTCCTTCAGGTCTTGACTCCGGTGACCCCTATTCTGCGAGACCCTCTTGCTTACTTCCAAAAAAGGCCCTCCCTTCATTGAAAACCCCCTAAAACACACACACACACACACACACACACACACACACACACACACACTCACTATTCCCTTTCCCAGCTTCATTCTTCTCTTTGGCATTTATCCCCATCCAATCCACTAATTATTTAACTTATTTTTCTTATTTATCATCTGTCTCTCCACTAAGAATATAAACTTCACCAAAGAAAATGTTTCTTTTTCATTGCTCTATTCTGGTCATTGCTTTAAGAACAGGACCTGGGAATACAAAAAATTAGCCAGGCGTGGTGGCGGGCGCCTGTAGTCCCAGCTACTCGGGAGGCTGAGGCAGCAGAATGGTGTGAACCCGGGAGGCGGGGCTTGCAGTGAGCCGAGATCGCGCCACTGCACTCCAGCCTGGGTGACAGAGCGAGACTCAGTCTCAAAAAAAAAAAAAAAAAAAAAAAAAAGAACAGGACCTGGCATGTGTGATGTGCTCAACACATATTGATTTTAAAAGTGACATGCCAAGGGGCTACATTGGAGCATTGAAGCCCCCTTCAATCACACAAGCAGGTGCCTACCTCTCCTGCAACTTTCCTGCAAAATCAGGATGCCAGTGCATGATGCAAACCCTTTCCGACTAGAGATGGAGCCGGGAAAGATGCAAGCTCTGGGCTGGAGGGTCAGCGAGGACACTCTGTGCAGAGGCTTTGGCCTTGTGTACCATGGACCTCTGGGGCAGTGTGGTGGAGTCTATGATCCCCTTAAAAATTAATGCCTTAAACACATAAAATAAAATACATAGAATAATGAAAATCAAAGGCATTGAAATACAATTGTCAAGATATTTTAAATTTTTATGATGTAATTATATGTGTGCCTCCTTACTCATGGATTAAATGAAAAGATCTAGCAACAAGTCTAATACCAACCATAATTTCAAAATAATGATTGGGAACAATATTTCAAGGTAATCTATCATCTGGGATGTAATTTCTGTTGGTAACGAAAGTCGCAGACACTCTTTGCTAGTGCTGTGATTTGCTGCCTACATTAACAATGGAAGGAAAAGCTATGTTTCAGTCACAGGGTGATGAAAATAAAGATGTAACATTTTTCCCATTTAGGTTTATGTCCCGTTGAGTTTTCTCCTTGGAGTTCTTGGGTGTCCCTGGACTCACCTTGGAGATGCCCTGCTCTAGAAGAGATCTGGAGCTGATGCTGGGGGTGCTAAGTCACTCACCACCCTGCGTGGCCCTGTACAAGTCACATCCCTCCCCATCTGTACAATGAATCATTACAAACTTTAATGATTCATTTGTGCTCGCCCACCCTGGAGTCTGATGAGTAAATATTCACTAAGCACCTCCTGTGGGTGAGCCCCACACACACTGGGCAGGATGGGACCATTAGCGACCAACCAGTGACACATTGCCCCAGGACTGAGCAGCTCATGAACAAACAGGGCGATGAGGCCAGGACTCGAATGTAGGGGATGGTGAGTAGCACCTAGACACAGCTCAGGGACTCTGTGCATTCAGAAATAGGAGAGGCCCCAGTTCCCGGGGTGGAGGGAAGCAGCAGTTGCAGCATCTGAGACTGAGTCTGACCCAAAACCTGCTCCTGGCGTGGGAGTCTACAGAAAGGGCATCTCAGGTGTGGCAAAGGCTCAGAGCTGGAAAGTCAGAAAGGATGCACTGGATCCCTTGGGGAGCTCGAGGGCCCTTCAGGGAGAAGAGGATGGAGCAGTGTTGTCACTCTGGTCTTGACTCAGTGCGGTTTTTTTGGACGCTCCCTGGAAAGCACAGGGATGGGCACGGGACCAGGCTTGCTTCCCTTCCCTCCCCAGTCCCTGTCCACGCCCCTCAGAGCACTGGGAGCCATCAAAGGGAGTGATTGAAGGCTAATCACAGCCACTTGGGTCTGAGGAGGGACCTGTCTCTCTCTCTGAGGACCCTCCAGCAAGGACAAGTGCAGGACAAAAGCCGTGCCTCCCTGCCTCATTAGCATCACACAGCCTGCCAGCCGGGCTCCCTTCCTCGCCTCTGCAGCCCGGCAACTGGACCAGCCAGCCGGGCTCTGGCTGAGCCCCAACCCAGCAGATGTGGACCCTAAAGGGGCCCATGGCCAACAGCCTCCCACCTCCCCTCAAAAAAACAAGCCAGGCAACCACCGCCTGTCCTGCCTGCCCCACCCCGTGTAGGCCTCTCCTTGTATTGTGGCCAGAAGCTGCTGCAGTGGCCAAAAACCCAAAGGACGCTGGAGACACATAGAATCCCTGAATGTCGGTGCTTAGGGTGATGGAAACTGAGATCTTAGAGATCCCAACTTTTACCTGCTACTAGGCTCGCTGAGCAGAATCTTACAATCTGAGGGTGTTGGCGCTGAGTTTACACTGCTGCTTTAGAATATGCTGTTGCCAAACAATAGAATGGCAGCCTCTTGGAGTGCCAGCCGCCCAGGACTTTGAGTCTTGAGCAGGGCTAGGCAGGTAGTGCATCAGAACTGTGAGGTCCCAGGCGATCCTGGGAAAGATTGGCTGGGGACTTGGGGCTGGGAGTGCTTGTGTGGGTCTGGATCCCACCTATTCAGGGGTAATGGAGGGGGGCGTGAGAGTGATGGGGAAGCCTGATAGCCCATTGAACACAGTGGCTCCCAGGGGATTGCTGGAGAGAGGGGCGGAGTGCAGAGAGTAGGAGCCTCAGCCAGCCCGTGTGGGAACTGCCAGAGGGCAGAAGGCGCAGCCCCCTCTGAGATCCCACAGAGCCTGGGACACAGGAACACCACAGGTCCCAAGCCGCAGAGGGTTAGCTGGGAAGAGCTGAGGACTCTGGGCTCCTGCGGCTCAGCTGGCTGAGCTGTCACCAGGCATAGGGTGGGAAAGGGTTTTCCAACTTGGTCCCGTAGCTCTACTCGGTCTTGGAAAGGCAGGGGTCTTGGGGACTCTTGTCATGGGATGGCAAGGGTGTGGGAGCCAGGCAGGGGCAGGTGATGTTATCATCAGACCACCATCTGCATAAGTGAGACTGGGTCAGGAGACATTGTGTCTCCCCTAAATCAGGGAACTCATGAAATAATGCAGAGCCAAACTACCCCTCCCCCTGTATATGGGGCCCTCCCCTGATTTCCCCTCAGAGAAGTCCTGTCCTAATAGCCTGGAACTGTGCAGTGCCTGTCTATAGTGATCATGGCAGTATTCAAGGGCTCACCTGATGTAGGGTACGGGTACTGGTTCTCCAAACAGTCCAGAATGGAATCTCAGTTAGGCTTCTCTCTTAGCCACTTGACCTTGGGCAAATCACTTCTGTGACCTCAGTATTCCTCATCTGTAAAATGGGAGTAACTGTCCCCTCTACCCTGGATTCTAGGGAGGGAACAGCAGGACAACAGAAATGAAAGCACAGCCCTTGGACATAAACAGCACAAGGCTTAGAGCAGGTGAGGCTAAACTTTGGTGACTCACATCCTCTTTCTGAGCTTCCCAGGTCTGGGATGTGGAGGCCCCCGGCCTCCTTCTACCAACACTTGCTCTTTACAGAGGATTTGCATAAAGTCTTTTTACTCTGACACATCAGAGACTCAGCTCTGCTCTTCTCTGGGGACTGGCATCGTAATAGGAATGAAGTAGGATGGTGGAATGGGTGGAGAGGTTGGGGAAGTGTGCTGGGAAAAGAAAGAGCTGACTGAGGCTTGGCTGCAGGAGGATTCCAGGCTCTCCTGAGCTCCGGGCCTTCAAGTCCTAGGACCATAGCACCGCAGTCTTGCTTTTCTCAAACATATCCTGCTGTCTGACTCTGTGGAAGCAGGAAGACAAACTTTCCTGCCTCTCTCTAAGCAGCCTCGCTGTGCCATGCTGTGAGGGCCTGCAGCTCTCTGACTCCTCGGTGGTCTCCCTGCCTTCAGTCTGGCCTTTCCACATTAACTAACCAGAGAGTCCCTAAAACACAGATCTGATGTCTTCCTACCTGCTCACAACCCTCTATGACTTCCCATTGCCTTTGCAGCATTCAAGGCCCTGAGACCTCATCAGCCCCAACACTCTCCACCGCAGGTGCCTTACCAGCTGCCCAGGCTGCAGCTTCCAAAGCACAGCCCACTCTTTCCCAAGGCTGTACCTCTGTCCTGCTGTTCCTGCTACCCTGAATGCCATTCCTCTCTTTGCATACCTGACAAATTCCTATTCATCCTTCAAGAACCAACTTCTTCTGGAAGCCTTGCTTGACCCCCAAGTGAGTCAGACTCCTGCCCTGGCTGACTTCTAGGGCAGCACTCCACATGCCTGCAACTACCTGATTGGCCTGCATTCCTAGAACTGCCCGGTTCAGCAAAGATGACAGTAAGTGTACAATGACTTAATGAATTAGAGAGGCTAAAACTGCGTTGTCCAGCATGGCAACCACTAGCCACACATGGCCCTTTACATTCAGAATAATTCAACTTAAAATTAATGTTGTTGGCCAGGTACGGTGGCTCACATCTGTAATCCCAGCACTTTGGGAGGCTAAGTCAGGCAGATCACGAGGTCAGGAGTTCGAGACCAGCCTGGCCAACATGGTGAAACCCCCACTCTAATAAAAATACAAAAATTAGCTGAGTGTGGTGGCAGGCACCTGAAGCTACTTGGGAGGCTGGGGCAGGAGAACTGCTTGAAACTGGAAGGCAGAGGTTGCAGTGAGCTGACATCGCACCACTGCACTCCAGCCGGGGGAAAAGAGCAAAACTCTGTCTCAAATAAATAAATAAATCATTGTGTTAAATGAATAAAAATGCAATGAGCTGCACTAGTTGCACTGCAAGTGCTCAAGAGCCACATATAGTTAGTGGCTATAATATTGGACAGGACAGACACAGGACATTTCCATCATCACAAAAAGTTCTATTGGACAGTGCTGACCTAAGAGTGGTGATAGAACACCAGCAGATCTAGGTTCTAGCTTCAGCTTAGTTCCTGGTTCCTACTTTGCCTCTCTGAGACTTTCCTCATCTGTGCAGCCCATCCCACATGCTGTGCAAGGCCAAGCATAGACAGTACCTGACAAGGACATTCCACTGATTCCATCATCCCACTGCTTTGGATCAGACACACGTGGACTTGGGGAAGCAGATGGGCAGGCGGCACCTGGCTGCCTAGAGGTGAGGGACCCACCCTCAGGCTCCAGCAGCTCAGAATAACCCAGGGTCCAAAGCTAACCCAGTGAGTCTCCTAGGAAGGCAGGCTCTGCAGAGAGCACGGCCAGTGTGCATCTCTCCATAGGCTTGAACAGGCCAGAGTGGGCCTGATGATCCCAAACTCATCTCTTCTGAACCCAGAGGGAGACCCAGGCAGAGCCTAGGGGAAGAGGCAGCTGCAGGGGCTGGTCCAAAGGGGAGGGGAGGAGTGGAGAGTCAGAAACGCGCTATCAGCACTGCCCGTCCTCCCCACTTCCTCTCTTCGAACGGATCACATCCTGTTATTGTGTGGAAAGAAAAGGCCGGGAGCTGGGGAGGGAGGCAGAGCTCGGACCAAGCAAGTGGGGAGAGGTAGGAAGAGAAAGGAGGAGCCAGAGGAACAGGACAGTGGGCAGCAGGGAGCTCCACCAGCTCCGCCCTGAGCCAGGTGGCCTGGGCAGGAGTAGGGGACCCAGGAGGGAGGATGAGCATCCATGGGGCGGCCTGCATCCCCCATTGAGAGATGCTGGGGCCCAGGACAGAAAATGGCACTCCCTCCTGGAGGCTTTCCCCAAGCCTCTTCCTCAGGCTCCTTCAATTTAGCTAATGTTCACCCTGGTCTCTACTGCCAGAGCAGGATCTCCCGTGGCTACCAGGCCTCTCTCACACAGCACTTGCCTCCAGGGTGGAAGGGCTCTGTATCCATTCCCTTCACCCCACTTCCACCCAGCCTGTGAACCCCTGCAGACAGGGCCAGGGCAGTCCCTTGCTGGCTCCCCTGCACTGCTCAGCAGGAATTCCTGTTGCTGTGAATGATTAAGTTTCCCACATCTTCCTCTTCTTTCTGTCTTCTGCCATTCCCAAGCATACCCCCTATCCAAATCCCATTTCCACGAATAATAACGGCTGTTTTCTATAAAACATAAGCACTTCACATCCATTATTTTGAAATCCCATGACAGCTCTGCAAGATGGGTGTTAATATCTTCATTTAACCAATGAAGAAACTGAACCTCAGAGAGGTAAAGTGATTTACCCAAAGTCACACAGCTGGAACTTAAACCCAGTGGTCTGACTCCAAAGATCAGCCTCTTTCTGTTGGCCCAGTTGCCCTTCCCATTCACTGCCTTCTGTGCCCTGGCCTCTCTCTTCTTGAACTGATACCAAATTGACTGCCCTGACTGTCCACTGGGCTTGTCCTCAAGTCGGGCCCACTGCTTGAGGCAAGCTGTCCAGCGCCCACACTGATTGCTCATAGTCCTAGCAGATTGCTGGGGCAGGCTGAGCTGCTGTGTCCCTGCACAGCACAGGCCTATTTGCTCTAAGGACACCAACTACCTGTTGACTATTTTGTCTTCCTTTCCTGAGAGGTAGTGAGCACTGGCTCTGGACTCAGATCTGACTCCAATCCTAGGTAACCTTAGTCAAGCTGCTTCCCCTCTAGGCCTCATTTCCTCCTCCCCACAATGGAGAGGATGACTTGGGTGACCCAGACTTACTCCCTACCTTACTCTGACTCACAGTTGCAGAGCCTCTGTTGCTGGACACCATGCCCAACACCATGGCCTGTGTCCCCATGGGCTGGTCAGTGGTACTTTACTCGTTCGCAAGGGCAGTGCGGCCAGAGGGGGAACACTGGCTTCTAGGGAACAGTTAGTTGTTTTGCACATAGGGAAGGAGGTAGCGGGCAGGCATGAGGAGGCTGGGCTGCCATGAGCAGACCAAATCAACAGCCTCCCAATCTTCCTATCTCCCCACCTCACCCCACCCAGCTCCAGTATGATAACCAGGCAACTGCGGCCCAGCCCAAGAAAGCCCACACTTGTCCTCCCTCTGCCCACAGCAACAAAAGCAGTGCAAGGGCAGAGCTGTACATCTGCCCCTGACTAGCTCAGGACCATGGCTACAGCAGAAGGCACTGGAGCTGCATCTCTGTAACAATGATTCTGCCTCCCACCCATCTCCACTCTTTCATTCCATGCCGGCCTCAAAACTGAGATTCTACACAGGGGAACCTTCTCATTCGGCAAATGCTGAAAGGAACCTGTGCCAGGTCTATCATAGGGTGCTGGAGGCGAAGAGATAGATCGCACGTGATATTGCCTCAAGGAGCTCATGTTTTAGTGGGAAAGCAGACAAGGAAAGGAAGGCCCGTGGGGGGCACCAAGGAGGCAGTTGACCCCATAGAGTAGTCAGGACAGTTTGCTGGATGTTGAGGACAAGTTAACCAAATGAAAGGAGGGCAGAAAGAGAGGATGGGTAGATTGTCCTGGGAAAAAGAAACAAAAGGTGCAAAAACTGGAAGGTCATTAAAAAAAATAAAATAATGTGATCTGGAATAGAAAGGATGGTACAATCGGAGCAAAGAGAATAAAAAAGTGGTGAGGGTTGAGGCTGACCGGGTCAGCAGGGCCATTTCAGGCAAGGCCCCAGTTGCAGCTCTTTTCCCTGGAGGACAGAAGGGCCCCCAGTGCCTCAGGGACTGAGCTGTCCTGGGAGGTGGGAAGTCTGGTCCTCCCCTGCCGATCACTATGGGATGTGTGGCCCTGGAAAGACTCTTTTCCTCTCTGGCCCTGTCTCCTCTTCTGGAGACATGTACACTAGCCCACATGGCCCCCCAGGGTCAGGCCAACCTGGACATTCTATCACCTCATCGTTTCTGCCTTGCTGGCCGCAGAGTTCACGGGCCCTTCCAGACCTCAGCGTGGAATGCCTTGCCCTCTCCTGGGAAAAATCCTTCTGGAAATGGTGCTCCTCTCTTCCCATTCTTTAGTCCAGGACAGTGAGGCTTCTGCCTCTATCCCTCCCCTGGTGTCACTGTCATCCAAGTCATCAGTGACCTCCATATTGCTAAATCCAATCAACACTTGCAGGCCTTTCTTGCCTGACCACTCAGCTGCGCTGGACTTGCCTAACCACTTCCCTCACCCTTTTCCTCTGAAACGCCACAGTCTCTAAAACAGCACACTCTCTGTTTTTCTCCTTCCTCTCTGATTGCTCTTTCTCATTTCTCTCCCTCAAGCCCTTAACCACAGGTCCCTTCCTCATACTGCTCCTCTCACCTGTGAGCACAGACCAGGCCAACACCACCACTGCTGAGATCCACAGCCAGCTCACCCCACGGCTAAATCTCACCATCCTATCATCCCAGGTACCTCCTTGTCCTGTGCCAGGGAGAGGCACACCTGGGAGCTTCCAAAAACCAAGGAGCTTCTCTACAGGGCAGAGCATGGTCCCCAAGGACTACCCTGCCTCTGCCCTCCTATCTGTGGTTGGAAGCACCCTGAGGACAAGAGCAGCCAAGTCAGAGCCTAGCAAGATGAACAAGGCTCACCCCAAAAAAGCCAGAGTTATCTGTGAGGTCCTTGAACTCACCTCTTGGCACAACTTTTTTCTTAATACTAATCACTTTGTAACTTACTACAGAATCAACATATTTATTACAGTTGTGTGTGTCTGTGTGTTTACCGTCTCCCCTGCTAGAAGTTAAGCTCCACCAGAACAAGAACAGGGATCTTTGTTTTATTCAGTGTGGGATCCCCGGTACGTAGAACAATACCAGGCCCATACTAGATGCTCAATAAATATTTGTTAAATGAAACAGGGTGCCAGTTCCACATGCTGTAGTCCTAACTACTCAAGGGACTGAGACAAAAACCTTCTGGTTTTTGCACCTTTTGTTTCTTTTTCACCTTGATGGCCCTTGAACTCCTGAGCTCAGTTCAAGATCAGCCTGGGCAAAGGCTAGAAGAAGCAAGATCCCATATCTTGAAAAAATATATAAATAAATGAAAGAAAGAAAGGAAGGCATGATACTTCATTAGAAGTGCCTGCATGACCTACTGAAATCCCTGAGGATCAAATGGTCCACATGCAGTGGCTTCCCCCAGACCCAGGTGCTGTGCCCTTTGTTTTATTTTTGGAAAAGAATAAGGGTTGTATCATCTAAACCACATTTCCATTCCTGAGCCTCCAGGGAAGTCCTCCCAGATGATATGGAGCCTGCCACAGAGCCTCCACTCTCGACTTCCATTACCTTCAGACTTCATCTCTGAGTCCCCAATCCTTAAGAGCCAGGCATAAGAGCTGCAGCCGCCGCTGCAGCCGTTGAGTCATCAGGGAACCTGGGGCCCTCCTATGGTATGGCCTTAATCTGTCCTGAACCTAGGATACATACAACTGTCCCAGCCATGGAAGCTCACCCCAACACAAAGAGGGGATGTCTGCTGAGGCTTCCTGAGATACAAGCATGGGTGCATGAAGCCAAGGGGACAGGCCCCCTCTATGAGGCCTGTGGAGAGAAAGAATGGAAACCCTGGGGAGGAAGGCTGTCTCCTCCCCACCAGGCCTGCCTTCAGGGTTGAGGGTGGAATCCCACTTCCTAAGACTACAGCTGAGTCTTGGAGGCTCCCCATGTCAGGAGAAACAGGTTCTTGCCATGACTTTTCTTTCAATATCCCGTCTCAGGCCTAGGGGTGCAATGCAAGCACAGAGTCCTAAGGCCCCTTTGTAAAACTTTTATTTAGAAATCTTCCCGATACATCCTCACATATATATACACATCATCACCACATGGGTTTTTTTTGCTAAAGAGTCACACACCCACAGTGTTGGCCTCTGGGCTGTACAAAGGTCAAGGTACCTGGAGCGGTTACTCCTCTTCTGCAGAAAAATGCAGAGACCAACGCAATTCATCACATACAGTACAACGTTGACGGAAAGTGCTGGGCCCGCCCACAGAAACAATGCACTATGTACACGGGCAGGGGGCAAGTCTTCAGCAGAGGGTCACGTACCATCGAAATCACAAGTACGGCCAGACCCACCCCCAAAAGGCCGAAATAGTTGTCGGCTGACTACAGATGCTGTGCCCTTTGTTTTATTTTGGAAAAGAATAAAGGTTGTACCATCTTGTCATCTGCCATAACAAATAAAAGAATATGAATTTGTCTTAAAAGATGTGATTCCCTTCAGTGGTTATGGTCATCTTTGTTCTCAAAATGTTGTTTTGTTTTGTTTTACCTTTATGTTCTTTCCCCTTTGTACAGATGCTATTCTTGGAATGTTGCCAGTTTTTCATGGGTAACAAGGAAGGAGAGGAAGGATAAGGTCATGGGGTACAGAGGGTGAAAATAAAAATTACAGATCTTCTTTAGTTCTTACAAAGACCTAAAGACTTGCCCTTTCCTACCAGGCTTGTTTTGGGTAGTTGCATTACATTTTACACAGTCTGCCAGTGTTCCCATATCTCTTTTCCATTCTTATTACTGTCCCTGGCCTTGGAACAAGATAGAAATTAAGACAATCTGGGCTGGGTGCAATGGCTGACACCTGTGATCCCAGTGCTTCTGGAGGCAAAGGCAGGAGAATTGCCTGAAGCCAGGACTTCAAGACCAGCCTGGGCAATATAGCAAGACTCCATCTCTACCAAAAAAAAAAAAAAGTAAAAATTAGCCAGGTGTGGTGGCTCACACCTGTGGTCCTCCCTACTCGGGAGGCTGAGGTGAGAGGATTGCTTGAGCCCAGAGTTCAAGGCTGCAGACAGCAATGATGGCACCACTGTACTCCAGCCTGAGTGACAGAACAAGACACCGTCTCTCACACACACACACACACACACACAAATAGATAATCTGGAGAAATGAGGACAATCTCAATAACTCAGGCCAAAGCGGTTTACAATCTAAATTACCCAAATGCTGGGCAGTCAGGCACACCGGCCTACTGCCTAGGTCGTGGACTCAGGCTGCGAAACCCCACTGCAGGATTGAGATTGAGGGAAAAGAAAAAGTTCTTTACGTTCTCAAAACTGTCTACTTTCATGATCCCATTCAGTCCACACCATAGCCCTAGGAGATAGGCCAAGCCAGAGTCACATGGCAAGTCTGAAAGAAGAGGGAGCCAGAAGTTTGAGTTCTTAATAAAATATGTGATCCATCTCATAAAACCCATCCACCCATCCATACTGTGGCTACTTCTCATTCCTAACTCAAGCGAATCCACGGTGAAGCAAACAGCCTTAGATCCTACAGCAATGACTCTATCTTTAGACAGATGGGGCTCCTCACAGGATCTTCCAAACGTTGGAAAGGAACCAACCCTAATTTTCACCAAAACATGATCTGGGGAGCCTGAAATTGAATGGAGAGCCTGAGTGCTACAAAGGTGAACAATGTTGCCCCAAGCTCGAGAATTGGACCTTACTTAAAAGGAAGGGGAAAGGAGCAGACATATTCTCTGTCTGTACATGGCTGAATTAGGGCCCCATCATGGTGAGGACAAGCCACTAGGCTGAAGCCCAAACTATAAGGGGGGGCTTTCCAGACAGCCACAGTGATGAGTTCTTGCATGGCAGGACAGGGCCACAGGCTATCTCTCCTCTGACCTCGAAGGCAGAGCCTAGAGGGAGAGGGCTAGGGTGACTTAAGGGTACAATGACAGACATACAGGACTTCTGTGCAATTTGTCCCATGGGCTTAGATGCAGGTCACAGACAGGCCTCACCTTAAGAAAACCACATCCCACCATCTGGATTGACACAGGAAATCAATGAAGGGGCAGTGGTTCATTCTACAAAAGGATTCTTCACTTTACAAAAGGACTTGCAGTGGTTATTTCTTTAAAAGATGAAGGATAAGGATGTGATTTACAAAAATTTCATGTACAACTTTCAGAGGGGAGCACTTCTATTGCATTAAACCAACCTCCCAGACGCACCCTTGATGACCAAAAGCTGCACAACTGAGGGGTGTTTAAGGTTCTGCTAAGTGAATGTGCATATGTTTGGGTCTTAGCCAGGGCCTGGTCTCTGATTGGATTTCCCATACCCTAGAAGTGAGGCTGGATCCTGGTCCTATTGAGCGCTAAAGATTCCACCAATAACTGAAGTCAAGCAAAAATTCCAAATGCAAAGCATTCATAGGACAGGTTTTGTGCTCAATTCGGAACATAGACCAGACCATCAGCAAACAGACATCTTACAGCAAAGAAATCCCTCTAAGCATCCAGGAGAATGCACAGATGGGGCTGCGCATCTACTCAGCACCAGCGTACGCCCATCAGCACACTGGCATTCACTCGCCAGCATGAACAGTGATGTCGAGGAGTTGAAGCCCACATGCCCAAAATATCTCTTGCTCCATATCACTCTACTATCATTGTCCCTTTCTCTGCCTTCACACAAAGCCCGACAGGGCTTTCTCAGGGCTGCAGACATTGTCTCCACAGCCACAGGCTTAGGAAGGCAAGTCTCATTGGGGAGAAAGCAGAACTTTGATCCCCAGGGCAAGAAGTAAGGGCGACTGGGTTTCCTGACCCTCCGGCCCAGCTCATCTAGAGCAGACTGTCCACTGATCATCTTCTTCAACCAGGCCCTGAAGAAGGCACCTCGAGGCTTGTGACTCTGCAGCATCTGGCAAGCTGGATGGATCAACATAGGCCTGGGTGAAGATGGGGCTCACGAAATGGGCAGCTATTGGGTACCTATAAATATGGACAGAAGTGGCCACACAGGCCACCCCAGCCAGCTTGGGAGGGGCTAAAGGCAAGGCAGAGACTGCTGGATGCCTCAGATGAGAGCTGACAACCCCAGGTCTTAGGAAAGACAGGGATCCCAAACTCCAGGCCAAAAGCAGTGACAACTCCAGCCTCTTACTTGGGAAGGATTTGGGACTGAGGGAAGAGGGAAGACCGTGCCGTCTTCACAAAAAGTACCTACCACTTTGCTCCATTTTTCTGATCTCCTACTGGTACAGGAAACAGAAAAGCCAGCCCCAGGGTCAGTAAAGGCTTCCCAAAGTTCAGACATCCAGGAAAGTTCAAGTCCACCGCCTTGCTTCAGAGCCGCCCAATTCTCACCCCACCTGCCCTGAAGCCCACCATCCCAGCAGCCTAAGAACGCCCTCCTGGCTGATCCTGGTGGCCCAGACCCATCACCGAGGGCCGGCTCCATCGGCGGCAGGCAGCATGGCAGGATGGAGGCTGCGGGCCGTGTGCTTGGGCGCGGGCTCCTCCGTGTAGCTGTCCGGGCTGGCTGCCCCATCCAGGGAGCTGCCGCAGCTGGAGTTGGGGGAAAGCACGTCTTGCAGGAGGTCATCTGGGGGCGCGCCGCCCCCTCCCCCACCTCCACCCCCACCAGCCCCCACCACAGGGTCCTTGCCAGTCTTGGCCCGCTGGGTGCCCTCCTCCTCCTGGTCATTGAGCAGCTTGGCCAAGAAGTTGATATACTTCATGGCCAGGCGGAGGATCTCATTCTTGCTGAGCTTCTTGTCCGGGGGATGTGTGGGGATCAGCTTGCGGAGCTCGGCAAAGGCCCCGTTCACATTCTGCTGCCGCCATCGCTCCCGGCTGTTGGTGAAGATACGCCGCACAACTTTGGTGTGGGGACCTGGAGATTAGGAGGACAAGAGTTAGGAGAATGGGCTTGAGATTCCTTCCCCAAAGGCATCTCCATACATTGGGAAACTTGGGAAGCCTAGAATGCCTACTTTCCTTTTACTTAGAAAACATCCACCCTTCAAATTCAAGTTCCTGTGCTTCCTCATCTATGGGAACTTCCTCAACCCCTCCAGACAGATGTAACCAACCACCACGATACCGCAATCCCTGGAGTTCCATCACTCTTGATCATTACTTATGTTTCTGTGCTTGTCTCCCTCCCTGGGCTGTGATATATTTGAGGACAGGGACCGTATGTTATTCATTCATCCATTCACTTGTGCCAAGAGGCCTTACAGCTATGTCTAAGGAGACAGACTCCATTCCTATTTGACTACCCCTACCTAAATGAATGACTCTGGGCAAGTGACATAAAAACTTGTGAAGTGCCTTGGCTTCATCACCTGCAAAATGGAGGTAATACTACTAAGTCATGAGTTGTTACATGGGTCTAGTACCTAACACAGGTAAAGAACTTAAGACAATGCCTGCCTCAGCTTAGCAGTCAATAAATGTTAGCTATTATTATCCATGTATCAGTTTTTTGCTAACAACCAGGCACTGTGCTAGGCACTGAGGAATAATGGTGAACTAAATTGAGTGCCTGCCCTCATGGAGCTTACATGTTAATGGGGAAACGAATATTAAAAAACAAACAAACCAGGGCTGAATTGTAATGAAAAGAAGCTCCATGTTTAGCTCCAGTGGCTGGGAAGGCTTGTCTGAGGCTGTGAAGAAACAGCCAGGCACAAGAAGGGGAGAGGAAGAAGAGTATCCAAGCCAAGGGAATGCACAGGCCCTGCACTAGACAAGGCCTGAAGCCAGGCTGGCTGGAGTCCTGTGCACAAGATCAGAGTAGGCAGGGTCCAGACTCCACAGGGCCTTGCAGTAAGGCGGGGGGACTTTATCCTAAGGGTGATGGAAAGCACAGAGTAGGGGCTTAGAAAATGTCTGCTAACTGACCCATCATGGTGGCAGGTGGGGAATGGAGGGGAGAGCAGAGATCGATGCAGAAGGGCTCTCATACCCAGGAGAGAAGTGAAGACACAGCTATGCACAGCCATGGCCTATAGCTCTAGGCAGGCTTCTGAAGGCTGCCTCAGTCTCCTCATGTCTACAATCCACTGACTATGGCTTGGCCCAATAGTCACTAACATTCCATGTATAAAGACTTATGGAGCAGTGGCAGATACCAGCACACATGTCTAGGGCACTTATGGTGTGCAAAGCACTGTGCTGTGTTCAAGACTCACTGGGGATTTGTAAAGCCAGGGGAAGACAGTGAAGGGTCCTACTAGTGCTCTTGAACTTCTGGGCTGAGGAGACTGCTTCTCTCCCTAACATCGAGGCACAAGCCAGGGTCACATAGTCCAGGAAGCTCTGAGCACTGAAGGAACTGCCAGTCCTAGGATATTTATTTTCCCTCTTCTAGTAACCCCTGGAACCAGACCTCAGAGTGTGAAAACCGAGGTAGAGGAGAAGAGCTAAGACCTCACCTAAGTCCCACTGCCCATTTTATAGCTAAGGAGACTGAGGCTGGGATGGAAGCAGACCTCACCTCAGTGGTCAGTCTGTGAATCAGCTCATCCATGCCACACTTACTGCCTGATCATCTCTTTCTCTCTCCTACACGCACACAGGCATGCACATGCATGTGTGGGTGTTCACACACACACACTTTTAATGGGAAGGATCACCATCCCCTGCCCATGGTACCTCTGAAGCTGCCTTTCCAAACCATAGCAGGCCCTAGCCCAGCTGACTGTTTGCCAAAGGCCAGACCCAGCCTGGGAAAAACACAGCACAACTGCAGGGCAGTTCTACCCTGGGCGGCCTCTGAGGAAATTACTTGCTGCTTTCAGGCCTCCAGGCCAGACAGAGAGCATCCCTCAGCAGTGACATAGGGAGGACAGTCCCTCCACCATGGCTAATGCTGGTGATCTTGAGGGAGCTCCTAGTTGGGGAGGGGGTACTTATGACTGCTGTCACAGCTGGAGCTAGACTACATCCAGAAGGGGAGATGGTGGGGAAGTGGTCAGGACTTATTCCAAAGCTTAAGACCAGTGTTATGAGGGTGGTCCAGGACTTAGCTGTGTGACCCAGGACTTAGCTGTGTGACCTTGATCAAGCTGGGTAACCTCTCTCAGCCTCAATTTCCTTATCTGTGAGATGTAAACAATAATATTGCCCTCATGAGCTTGTGGTAAGGAATAAACAGAAATCAAGCACACATAGTCCATGGCACATAGTAGGTGTCCAATACATGGTAGTAGCAATTCAGCAACAGGAATCCACATCAAGTCCTAACTCTAGATCTTGCATTAGTTCTACTTCTATGGACTCTTTTTGGGTTCAATCTCTAATTTCAGTGTCCCCTAGACACATCCTGCACACTCATACCCTACCCTTCGCCTACATGTCTGCCTATTCCTCTCTGGTTTTATTCCAGAGAACCACCCCCTCTCCTCACCTTCCTCTTTCCTGAGTCTGTCTACCCCTCCTGGTGTCCTCTGCCTCTCTCTGGCCAGCACTGAGTAGGTGCTCGGTAAATATTGCCAACACTTATGGATAATGACTGCCCTACACTCCTGCACACCCCACAAACCCTCGCCCCTATGCTCTGCCTCTTCTGCCTATTGTAGAAAATGCCTCATCCCTGGGGAACTTCAGGGCTGGTCCTGTCTTCTTCCTGTTTGGTACACCCACCTCTCTTAGACTAGAGAACTCCTCTCTAATCTAGCAGAAGGCACCCCTGCCTCTCAGCCCTGCACACCTGTGCCCCAGGCTGCTTGGGTCTTTTGAAGTCTTTTCTGTTGTGCAGATCCCAGCCCCGCTCCTCTCCAGAACACCACAGAGGGCTCCACTCCAGAGGCTCCAGCTCCATACTCATATTCCTCCCACCAGTTTGGAGCATAAATCCCAGCCTTGCTCTGAGGCCTTGGGCAGCCTTCCTACAGGAGCCCCAGGCCACAGCCAAGCTGAAGTTCTGGGGGCATCTGGGTCTGGCTCAAAGTCCCTCAGCTCTGAAGTGCCTGCTCTCCTACCCCTGGTGCTGGGACCAATCTACTATACAAGGTCAACCTTGGAAAGATGGCGAGGGTCTTCCAAATCTCCCATTTGTCCAAACCACCCCTGCAAGTTCAGGGAATATTCAAGTACCTCAAAGGAGCAGTGCCAAGGCCCTTCTCGGGGAATCCAGGGGGCAAGGTAGAATCCATGATGTCAGGAAGGGAACTCCAGGTCTAAGCCCAGAATGTGTTAACGGGAGACAAGGGGAGCCTACTGTGTAGGGACCTCGGAGAAAACCCTTGATGACTCCATTGCAGGGAGGAAGCAGACTCCAGACTCTAAGGAAGACTTGGGAGGAAGTGCAGGGAATCCCTGAGGGTCAGTGCCTAGAATGGGGGATCGGGGGACACTGTGTGATTCTGCGCCCACTTGGGATCCTTGCCAAAGTGTAGGAATGGAGCCCGGACTGGGGACTGGAACTAACTCCAAAGGTTTGGGAACTAACTCCAGAGGTTTGGGCTAAGCGCCATTATGTGTCTCTCTCCCATGCCTCCTCTTTGCAGGACTGTGAGTGTGGTCCTGCTAGCCCCATCCAGGACTTTACTTAGCCCTAGCTCAGCTGCAGGGTGAAGGGCTTCGGCAGTTTGGGTTTGGAAAGTGGCCCGCCCATCTTTGTGAGATACCTACGGAGTAGTCCCAGATGTTCCCTCCTCCAGAGGGCTCTAACCAGCGTGAGGGGCAGGTACAACGGTGGGGTGGGGCAGACTCACCATCAGTAATCTCCATCTCATAGGGGGAAGGTCTCCTCTTCACTCGATTGTTGGTGGTGAACATAGGGAAGGCATCCGGCTCCCCAAAGAACCCGCTGTGGGAGGGAACGGGCAGATCACAAGATCCCATGTTGAGGGGAGGGGAGAAAGAGCTTCCTTAGGGATCCTCCCCACATGTCTTGAGCCCCCCACCTCTGGGCAACCCTGGTCCCTTCACACTTGAGCTGGGAATAGGCACACACAGACACACACACACACATACACACGGAATGCCCTCACTCTGTCTGTCATAAAACAAGCAAAGGGAGGAAAAGACACCTAACCACACATCCCTCCACACAAACACAGGCACATATGCAGAAGCAGAGGTGAATAACACATGGAATAAACACAAAAATGAACACACACACACACACACACACACACTTCACAGATAGAAACACTCTCCATTCTCCCGCCCCAGAAACAAGCACATAATCCACACACACCTCCACTCCCAAACACATGCCCACTCAGGCAAATGTAACCTTCACACCTGATGGTGTGCATCTTGGTCACCACAAAGGGGCACACTGTCCCCTCTCCCCACCTCACCCCACCCATAAGGGGCTGTAGATACACAACAGACAGGAAACCCTGACTCCCCTCAGCTGAAATGCTCCGCCTAGCTCTCTGCCCTCACCCACCCTAAGCTCCCCATAGCTCTGTCTCGGGTGCCCGCCAGGTTCATTGACTGCCCCACACTCTATCCCTGCCCCATCTGCCGGTTTCTATTCCAACCCTATGGCTTCTCTCCCTCATCATCACAGTAGCGCCAGCAGGGAAACGGATGCCCTGACACCAACCGGAGTACAGGCTGGGGCCAGAGACCACGGCTAGGAGCAGAGGGGCTGGGAGTGGAGGGACAGGTCAGTCCTCAGGCGGGCCCTCCAGCAGAGATTCGGGGGAGGGTGCCTCTGCCACCACCCTCAGATCCTTATCTCTTGCCTGTCCAGCTAGCGCTGAGTTTCCGAATGAATTTCACACCACAAACATCTACCTCTGCTCACAGCAAAGCACATGCAGGCACACTCTTTCCTGGTACCCACGCTCAGGGGACTCCTTCCTCTCCGTCCCCCACGACACCACCACCAAGCACACCAGCCACATGCCTGCACCCGCGAAGGTGTCCACGTCCTCCTCTCGGCTTCCACACAGCCATGCACCCCGCAGCCACACGCACACTCTCTCTCACAGAAGGCCCCTCCCTCACTGGCACTCACTCGGGGGCTCCAGCTTGAGGCTCTAGAGCCACTGGGTTTAAAACGACCTCCTCTCCCTGCGCTCCACCCGCTCGGCCCCCAGGGCAGGCCGCCGCCGATGTGTAGAAGGAAACCCCGGTGGGGGTGGTCGCCCTGCCCACCCGCCCAGCCCCTGGCCCCTGGCCCCTGGCCCCTGACCTGCCGAGAGAGGCCAGCGGCTGGCTGAGGCTGTAGAGCAGCGCGCGGCCGGGGGCGGCGGGGGCAGCCAGCGCGGGAGGACTCAGCTGCACCATGCGGCCGTCGCCGGGCAGCTCCGCTGTAACCGAGGCGGGCGCGGGGGCCGGGGCGGGCCCGGGAGGTCTGCACAGCTCGGTGGTGGGCACCCGATGGCGCGCTTCGGCCGTCGCCGCGTCGCGGCCCTTTAAGTCTCTCGCGGCGCCGCCCCCACCGGCAGGGCCGCCCCCCGGGCCTCCGCGCGCGCCCAGTTCGATGACTGGGGGCTCCGCTGCGGCCGCGCGGCTCGTCTCCTTGGCGACGCCGTTCAGCAGGACCAGGTGCGGGGGGGCCATGCTGGCCTCGGCCGCGTCCCGTCCCTCTAGCTGGGGGTCACTGCGAGCCGCCTCGCTCGGCGGCCGCTCGGTCATCCTGTGGGCAGACAGACAGACAAGCGGATGCCCGCTCTGACGACCGCCCCTGACCCACCGACGTGGGCTGGGGTAAAGGGGAGAAGGGCAGAGAGAGGAACTCACGCACCGAGACGTGAGAAGAGGCAGACAAAGTTAGCGCCACGTGGGGCTAGGGCGGGAGGCCGGTTGGGGCTAGGGTGGGAGGGAAAGAGGGTCTCTGGATTGGGAGAAGGGAGGGGTGCCTGGGAGACACAGAGACTGAGGGCCAAAAGGACAGAGATGGAGGAAGACGACAGAGACACCGGAAGAAAAGGAATACAGCCAGCGACAGAAACACAGAAGGGGAAATCAGGAGGAAGGAAATGTACAAGGAGGCAAGAAAGAGATTACTCTGTCCCCTTTCTCAGGCCTAAAGGGAAGAGGAGGGAACAAATTCCGGATCGTGCTCTTTGGTTTTAGCGGGGAATCTGTCAGGCAGGGGTTCGTTGCTTTAGGAACCTCCCTTGGCCTCTCAGCAATATTCCCAGCCCACCTACAGGCACACACCCAGAAACCCGGTGCGGATGGAAGTAGGGAATTAGAAAGTGGAGGCTACGGGGACTGGGATCCACTCCGCCAGAGCTGGCAGAGAATAATCCCGAGGAACCAGCTCCCTCCACACACACACACACACACATTCGCCCCCGCTGGGGAGTGAGGGAGTGTCTGTCTACACTGAGCAAATCCACTGTGAGTCCTCTGCCCGCCCAGCGGATCTTTACTCCCACTCAGACAGAGATGAGAGGTCGCCAAGGGAAGAAGATGGTGCTGGCCCAACCTCCCTGCACAGTCCACCTCGTTCTGCTCAGCTGGACTCTGAAGTGAGGTCGAGTCTCAAAGAGAGGCCTGGCTGAGGTAGAATGGAGCTGGGCATTTGAAGGGTTCCCTGAGGCCAGTGGGGTCTGGACTCCCATCCAAGAGCAGGACAGGATGTCATGAGGCCCTTGAACTCTTCCAGCCCCCCTCACCGCCATCTCCTGCCTTGGTGTTCTTTGGGAAATGGGAGGAATACCTCCTTTATGCATTTGAAAGTGCTGTGCAAACGTTCAAGTAAACATTATTAACAAGGAGAATGGGCCAGTGAGAAAACTGCCTGGCCGAATGTCAAGTCACTCACAGCCTATCTGTGAGAGAGCCAGACCAGAGCAATAATCTCACTTTGCTCAACCCTCCTGTATTCCCAGAGCAGTGAAACCACCTTGTGACCCCACAAGCATACTCCGAGATGACCACAGCCACTCTACTTCCCACAGGTGTGCTGGGGCTCTTCCATCACCTGGCTTCATCCAGATAGAGCTGGGCACCAGCAAGAACCAAAACAGAAAAATCAGGAGACTCAAGGGCCAGAGTTTGTGAGTTGTGAGTTGTACATATATGATCAACACCACATAAGTTGTTTAAAATAAGCTTTCTGCTCTCTGAATTATATAATTGGGTATTTAAAAGAAGAAAACAAATACAAAAAAACAATTTACCCCCATGCAGAGTCCATCTAAATCATACATAGCAGCCATTGAGCTCCCATACTGCCACTGCAATGCTCTGGACAGGAGTCATCCTAGGAACCATCCCTCCCACCCCAGAAGGGAGAATGGATCATCTGCAGCCTCCTCTGGAGCTTGGCTCAATTGCCACTAGACACCCAGGATGACAGAGAGTCAAGATTCAGACTGCTGTACACCTTCTTTGGGAATGCCAGCCCCCCAGGTCTGGCACAGAAACCACAAAATTCCCTAAGTCCTGGTGTATACAAGCTGTAAAGGCAGTAGGTCCCTGACACTTCATTGGAAGTGAGTTTATGATTTTGGTGGAGACAATAGGTCTCTATCCATAGAATGCAACCACCAAGACACCAAGGCCACTGGAAATGCACCAGAAGTATATCAGCCAGGTCCTCTTGCTCCCAGCAGCAGCGAAATGTGCCAGAAATATACCAACCCCTGGGAAACATACAAGCTTCAAGGTATTGGTTCCCTACCTCACTGCTCTCCGTCCTGACACACCGGTGTGAGCCCAGTGATCCATGCTTAAGCCCCAGCTTCTAACCGAGTGACAGTGTGCACTGCAGTTGCAGACTGAGCTCAAGCTCTGTTATGACACATTTTTACCCTCCAATTAATTCTTAGGCTCCTGCTCTAGCGGTGGATTCCTGAGAGGCAATGGGAGTACATATTCCAGATGAATTGACCCTGGCCACAAATGTCCTCTCCAGACACCTATAAATATCCCATCGCCAAGGTTCCTTGTAAGAAATATATGATTGGATCCCAGGATCTGTGGAGGACCTCTCCCGGCTCCTCCCCACATTTTAGGAAAATCCTGCCGGTTTAGGATTACCAGCCAGAGGTCCATGCCCCAAAGAAGCCACTCACAAACACTGATGGTTGTTGGCGACTAAGCTGCATCACTTGATTTGGATTACAGAAAGGAACGCCCGAGAGATTTTGTTTGTTTTTATTTGGGGAGAATGAAGGAGGAGGGAGATTTTAGACTGAATCGTTCTAGAGTATTTGACGACTACAGCTCCTCTCTCTTTGTACTACGGAGACCCTGCTTATAGCCCCCAACAGGAAATCCTCATCTGCAGTTGCCAGACAGCCAGAATATTTCCACCTGTGCCAGAACAAGACAGAAGACCCCAGGAGATTCTTCCTGGGGACAGGTCTCAAGCAGACCCAATCCCCCATACAGAGAATTTCTTAGATGAAAACAGCCTCAGGCCCTTAGACCCAGCCTCTGGTCTCTCTTCTGGGCCCACACCAGCACAACACCCTGGAGAAGCCCCAAGCCTGCACAAGTACCAAACCCACCAGGGAACAGCACCACCATCCTCGCCTCTACCGGAGAAGAGGGGTGTTCCTGCCTCCCCACCCTAGGCCTCAGGCCTGGGATCAGGGCCCACTCGAGCTGGGACTGCACTAGCCAGGAAGGCTGCCGCCTTCCTCCTGCGGGAGCTCCAGGCACAGTCTGTACCACCCGGATACAGCCGCCCCAAAGTTACCGGCCTTGGGAAACGTCCACAGAACCGGGACCAATGGGAAAG
Source organism: Homo sapiens (assembly GCF_000001405.40). Lineage (NCBI taxonomy): Eukaryota > Metazoa > Chordata > Mammalia > Primates > Hominidae > Homo > Homo sapiens. The sequence goes on from NC_000001.11 coordinate 47,228,953, forward strand.
GCCTGGACGACTAAGTCCAACTAGCTGGTTTTACCCTGGGTGGAAAAGGGAAAAAGCCGCTGAATGCCACAGAGGCAGCTACAGCAGTCAGATCCCGATTCCAAGCTCTGGCTGGTCCTCCCCTCCCCCCACCCCCAATCTGAGAATGGGCTCTCCTCTGTCCTGAGCCTTCCTCACCCCAGGCCGGAACACAAGGCCTTCCTAGACACCGTTTCCACCGGCACCATTCCCCTGAAAACTCACCTGGGGCATATTTAGAGAGACCGGCCCCTCTGAATAGGATCTCCACTCCGCCGGAAAGGGGCGGAAGCCGAGGAAGAGGATGCACACCCGGGTCTTTGCTTTCCCCCTTTTTCGCTGAGAGGCCTGCAGTTACGCTGCGGTGTGGTCCTGGGCGATCTGCCGCGCCCAAAGCGAGTTTCCAGGAAAGATAGGGGTGGAGAGAAAGAGGCAGGGCAAGAGGGAGGGAGAGAGAGAAATGGGGGTCAATGGCTGGGAATTACCTCCTGTCCCCGACCAACCAGTCCAGGGAATCGCAAACAGCTTTCCGCCCCCAACCTGCAGGTGTTTGGAGCCTTTCCTCTACCCCCTCCTCCCCCCACCCGCCTTAAAAAACCCTATACATGACCAATCAGGAATAGCTATTTAGTCCAACAGCAACAACAACCCCTCCCGACAGGCTGTCTGGAACATTTTCGAACCCTCCAACTGGGATCGGTCTGGTTCAGTGTTTGTTTTCTAAGCAGGGAGGTGTCTACGCGGTTGCCTCCTCAGCCAGGTCTCCGGCTGCCGCTACACCGCGAAGGGATAGTCCCGGGCCTGGATGGGCGGAGGTCCGTGTTGGGAAAGGCGAATAGTCTTCAGACTCTGGTCGGTGGGACAGAACCTTGAAGTCCCCCCCACCTCATTCTCTCTCTGACCCCCATCCACCCACCTCCAGCCCAAAGCGAAACCAGAACCCAATTCCAGGGGCTGTACTTTCCTACAGAAATGGAGTTGGGAAGGGGGCTTGGAGAGAGATATCTGATCTGTTCAGGTCCTTTCTCGTCTCCCTACTGATTAAGAGAAAGAAGAAAGAGAGAGGAAGAGAGAGACAGAAAAAGAAAAGGAAATAAAGACCAACAAAGGGGGAAAGAAAGAAACAAAGGGGAAAAGTCCCCCACCTTCCCCTCCACCACCCCTACGAAATGATTTTCGATTTTTCGGGGTTTAGACAGAGTAAGGGAGAATTCTAATGATTTGTTACAGCAATAAACAAGGTAAAAGGAAAGGAGGTAAAAACAAACCCGACACTACTTTCAAGGATGTAGCAGGATTGAGCTTGCTTTTATTTTTTCCTAGTGGATTTTGTTTAATTTGTTTTGCCTAAATCGTCAGGCTTATGATCACACATCGAAGTCTTGGATTAACTGCGAAGGCCTCCTTCTATTTGCCGCGGCTTTGGTGGACATATAGGAATAATTCTTCCCTGGATTGCAATACAATGCGGAAGATTTTCTTTCTCCTCTTCTAATCCAAAAGAGGGGAGGGGAGGAAAGAAGAGGGGAATCCATCCATTCCCGGCGTGTTCGCGGGGGGTTAATGTTGCGTGTTCGCTGGGGGTTAATGTTTGCCTTATGACCAAGTCTCTGTGTCCGTGCCTCTCTCCATTTTCTCTTCCTACCTCAAACCCAGCAACTTAGAAAACGGCTGTAGCGGAAAAAAACCCGCTGCTTTGTTCTCCCGCCAAAGGAGCCAAAAGGGACAAACTGCTGCGCTCTGGGATGATTATTTTAATTAAAATAGATGTTAATGATGACGATTGTGATGGTGATGGCATTAGCAATTACAATAATTGACAAAACAAAATTCTTTCAACCCGAGCTAGGGCCCCACTAACCCGGTCCCTCCCAGAGCCCGGATTCGGCCTCGGTCTCGGATGCGACGGGTATCAGACCCAAGCGGCAACGTCGCTCACCCGAAGAGGGGGCGGGAAAATCTTCCCAGGAGGTGATCCCGAATGTCCCCACCCGAGGCTCGAGGCCTGGTGAATGTGCCCATTGTCCTTTCGGGGCCTCTCCCTTGGAGCCCGGCGGCCGCACCCACGAAACTGACCAGAAATGGATGAAGCCGGAGTGCAGCGGGAACCGAAGCCCGCAGCTACCGGCTCGAAGGCGCCGGCCTCGGCGAGCGCTGCTCAGCTTCAAGCCTGGAGGAGCCTCCCACTCACCAACGAACCCCTCAAACACCTAGGCACAGGCGGGCCTCCGGGCAGAGCAGCCGCCGACCGGGCGCTGTCCGCCCACCCAAGCCAACAACTGGCTCCCGAATACATCATAATTTGGAATAAAATGTGAAATCCCGCTCCCCGCCCCCATGCCGCCGCCCCCACCAGCGCCTCGATCTCTCGCTCGCCCTCCCCCCACTCCCGCCCCCAGCGATTTGCAAACGCACCTCTAAAGGACACAGGCACACAGGCATACAACTCAGTGCGGACAGGACCACACAGGGTCCAGCCCCACAGAAGGGCAGCAAACAAACACCACCTAGCACTGCCCCAGAAGCCGACTTGGTCAGCCCCGCACACTGCCCAACAGGACACAACGAAATCAGTCAAACGCAGCGGCTCACGGACACACAATCCAGCACAGTCGGGATCACACACGCCCGACATAACGACGACACCACCCAAACACAGTCGCAGGGGCCACACACCCCCACACACAGAATCAGATCCCTGCTGAGAACACCAACGGAGCACAATCGTACGCAACGAAGAAAACGCAGAAGGGCCTCGAAGGGTCCACATCTACACACCCCAACCGCGCAGGCACACCACACTCGGACACAGAGCCTGTCGCCAAGAAGACCACACTTAGAAGCAGCCAACGCCGCCCACAGTTCTCATGAACGCACTCTCACAATCCCACCGCATGCACACAACCACGAAGAAGAAATGAAAACCAACCACAGCCTCGCGCATTTCTGTATATTGCGTAAGGAAAAGGGGGAAGGAAGGAAGAGAGTCTCCGAGGCGGGAGGGGCGGCGGCAGCCGGGGCGGGGGCGTCCGTGGAAAATGCCCCCCCACCGCCCCCCCCGGCCATCGAAAGGAACCGAGGGAAAGGGAGCGAAGACCTCTTTTGCGGACGTGGGGAAAAAGAGGAGGAAATTGATGAAGAATTCGGTGGGAGGCCGCGGGTTGCTTTTCCCCTAGAAAAAGGCCAGAATGCTCACGTTTTTCCGCTACGGGGGTACGCGTGTGGCCATTTTGAGGCCCGGTCCTGAGCGGCGGCGGCCCGGCCCCTCCCGCGGCCCCCGCTCCCCCGCCCGCCCCGCGCCCGCCCGGCCCCTCCACCGACGCGCTGTAATCCCACTCACGTTCCAGGCCTCGTTAGCATGGGCCGAGGCGCGCCGGGGCCGTGTGCGCCGCAGAGATAAGGCACTGCCGCGGGTCCGCCCGCCCCCGATAAGCGCCTCGGCCATTATGGGCCAAATGATTCATTTTAATTTGGCAATTTCACCGGAGGGAGTGGGGACTGGTTGAGCGGCGCTAGGACCGGCTCCGGAACGCGCTGCGGGGAGCGTTGGACGCGCTGTCTAGGACCCAGCAGATCCAGCCCCCATCTCTAATCCCAAGGCCTCTCAGGAACCCCAGCTTCCCACAACCTCAGTCCCTTAACCTTTCAGACACCTTTCTTCAGCGACTCTCACCCCAGCACTCTGTCCCTACCTCTGAAGACCACCATGATACCAAAATCGTCACCTCCCAGGGCTTCTTTCTTATTCTTCCTCCAGTGTCCCAGACACCCAGATTTCAATGGGCAGTCTCCCTATCCCAGAAAGCTCCCCAGCCCTTCCCTACCTCTTCACCCCCTTCTAAAATAGAGCCGGTAACTCAAATCCATGGGCTCTACGGCGGCCTGGCAGAACCCCTGTCAATAGGGACATAAAATGCCTATTCTGCTAGGTTTCAGGCTGAGCCCAGAGCCCAGGAACACTGCTCCCCACATGGTATTTAAAAAAAAAAAAAAAGTTTAATCTAGCGACTGTAACACTATTCTAGGCATTCTGCAAATACTAATCTACTCTTCACAAACAGTCCTGAGAAGCTGGATCCTTAATTTACAGAAGAGAAAACTGAGGCACAGAAAGTCAAAGTAACTTTTCGAATGATACATAGCTAGTGCTTGGTGGAGTCTGCCTTGGAAGGAAATTTGACACGGAGTCTTCTCTGCGGCTCAGCTGATGAAGAGGGGCAGCCAAAACCTAGCCAGGGAAAGGGACCTGGGCTCAACTCATTGCAGAGACCAGGGTCTTTACTGTGGGGTAGAAATCTGAGTTCAGTGCCAGCTGGATGATGCGCTCAGCCCACGGAGGGTCTCTGGGTTCATTCTTTCATGGTGGAGTGGAAAGAACACATGTTCGAATTTTAGTCACTGATCTCTGAACCTCAGTTTTCTCATTTGTAAAATGGGGAGATAATGTCGACGTCACAAAGTTATGAGAACTAACTTATATGACCTTTAAAAGGTGGTGGTGAGGATAATAATGTATGGAACGTCACTCAGTCCACAGCCCAGGAAAACATCATATGCACTTGCATGGGAGTTCTGGTTATCATCATAGAGAAAGAAATTAAGACACAGAGAGATGTGACTTAGCCAAAACTTACAGTAACCCAAAGGAAAAGCCAGGACCCAAACTTTGGTGTCCAATTCCCAGTCCACAACTCTACTTTCCATGCCAGGCTGATTTGTCCTTCTAGTGTCTCTGCTTTTGAGCTTTTTTTGGAGCCTGAGAACTGGGGGAAAACCCCTACTCTGGTAACAAACTGAGTCCCAGTCAAAGACTGAGCAGAGAGCATGGCCCCAGTCTGGGATCTGGCTTCTCCTTGGTCATCAGGTTGACCCTCTGAGAAGATACAGTTAATTCAGTGCCGCCTGTCCCCTCTGTTCCTCCTGTGCTCTCTGAAGGAAGTCAGGCTGTCATGGGGATACAGATAACTCTCACAGAATCCCACATCCTAAGAAAAAGTCTAGTTCCCCCCTACCATAAGGCCTTTGCTTGGCTCCATCACTTATTAGAAAATGAGAGTCATATAATTCTGAGTCTGAAACACAACTCTGCCATTCCTGGGCTGTGGGACCCTTAGAGAAGTGATTTCATGTCTCTGAGCCACTGTAAAAACAGGCTAGCCATTCCCATATGGGAGAGCCCAGGTGGGGACTGCTTCTCTGAGAAAATGAGGCCTGGACTGAGATCTAAGAGTGAAATTTGGGGGTGCGAAGAAGGGGGGTGGGGAGAAGCATCAGTATCCAGAACCTTCCAGGTGGGCTGAGGAAACAGCTGGACCAAGGGCTAGAACAGAAGGGTGGTAGGTTCGTGAAAAGAATAGAAAAGTGTCCAGTATGGCTGGAGCATGCTTGTGGACAAGTTAAAAGATTTTTTGACATTTTTTTGTTTGTTTGGTTTGAAGGTGGGGGTGGTACCTTGTATAGAATAAGATTTGCATTTCTAGAAAGTTCTTTGGATGAAGTGTGGAGGGGGAAGGACTCTGGGAGGCCAGTTGTGGAGCCAATGCAGTGGTTAGGGGAAGCGGATTAGAGCTTGGACCACTGTGCTGGCAGAAGAGATGACAAGAGGCAAGTGAAGATGACATGTATTTGGGGTATAAAACTGGGTTTATAATAATTGGATTTGGGCCAGGCATGGTGGCTCATGCCTCTAATCCCAGCACTTTGGGAGGCCCAGGCAGGCGGGTCACGAGGTCAAGAGATCGAGACCATCCTGGCCAACATGATGAAACCCTGTCTCCACTAAAAATACAAAAATTAGCTGGGTGTGGCAGCGCACGCCTGTAGTCTCAGCTACTCAGGAGGCTGAGGCAGGAGAATCACCTGAACCCAGGAGGCAGAGGTTGCAGTGAGCCGAGATCGCGACACTGCACTCCAGCCTGGCGACAGAGCGAGACTCTGTCTCAAACAAACAAACAAAAAAAGAATTGGGTTTGGGGGGATGAGGGAGAGGAAGGAATCCAGGAAAACCCCTGGGTTTCTGGCTGTCCTGCAGAGCTAGTGGTGGTTATTCCTGGAGATGGGGAACCTGGAGGCTGAGGGGACATGGGGAGGGCTTATATATTTGGTTTTGAACTCCTTAAGTTTAGATGCCTTTGAGACACCTGCAGACTGTTGGATTATTTTACAGGGCATTAAATGTCCCCAGCCAGCACCTCCAAGGAAAGTGTCCTTTCCTGTGGTGAAGGAATATGGACAGGTGGAAAGGCGTTTCTCAGCCCTGTGGCAGAGGGTGTGCCCAGGCCTCTGTCTGTGGAGCGAGGAGGTGACGTTCACCAACCCTCCAATTCCACACATTTGTTCTCTGCCAAGCTCCAGATTCTGACAGTCAGGCAGCCACTCCCGACCTCATCCACCAAAGCCCTGCCAGGGGCTGGGGTCTCATGACGTCTACATCTGCCCCCTCCCCTGTTTCCGATGGTCAGTGGAAAAACGGAAGCTGTGCGCTAAGCGGGGCGCTGCCTGAAATAGCATCTGGTGCCTGTCGGTCAGCGAGTTGTCCGAGCGTCCACGAGAGAGTGACAGGCCGGGGCCAGCCAGGAAATGCCACCCCTCCTCCACCCGCCCCAAACGGAGGCCCCAGTCGGGCAGGAAACCCGGAGCGCCTGGGGTGGGGGTGGCGAGGAGGGAGGGGAGGTTGAGACCCAGACTGGTAAGTCTGGAGTCTGGAACTGGGGCAGCAAGAGCAGGGGACAAGAACAGGCTAGCTAGGCTCTGGCCCTGAGGCCGTTGTTCCCCACCACCAAAGGTTGGGTTCTCCCTAAACCCCAAAGCCAAGCCTCTTACCATTTTTCAAGTGTTTCTGCCTGCCCTCTCTGAGTACTGGACTATCTCTGAGCTTCTCCCCCGAGCTTCTTCTCCGGAAAGATGCCATGCATGCACTCTGATGAGCAGCCGAGTTTATTTTTAACAAATCTACACTGCAGTTACTGTGTGACAAGTACTGTCCTAGGCACTTTGTAAGTATTAATTCAGTTAATCCTTGCAAGAACCTAATGAAGTAGGGACTACTCCATTTTGTAGGTAGCACAGAGAGGTTGAGCAACTTGCAGAGAACACCCAGCAGGTAAGTGGTGGAGGCAAAATTCACACCTAGGGCAGTCTGGCTTCAGGCCACAGTGCTTCGAAAGCAGCAAAGCAAGCACAATGGTCAGGCAGACCTGAGCTCCTATCCCTGCTCCCCTAGTTGCCAGCTGTATGATACCAGGCAAATTACTTAATCTCTGAGGTTCACTTTCCTTATTTGCAGAAGAGAGGTGCTCATTTTCCATACATAATACTGTTTATATAAGGATTATTTTTAATGAGGAAAATTTCAATTTGAGGAAATGTCATTATTTCCCTCTTCCACTTTCAAAGGACTATTCTCTCCATTTTTGCCTCTGTCTCTTGCCCTGGAAGAACCCCTACCCCATCAGTAAGCAGGCCTCAAGAATTCCGAGCTTGGGAGTCACGTCTGTGCTTCCAAACCCCAACGCTGCTGTCAGAATTCTCAGGGATGGAAGGAACTTCACTCTCAGTGGCTCTCAAAGTGGATGGTCAGCATCACCGAGGAACCTGTTAGAAAAGCAAATTCTCAGGCCTCACCCCAGGCCTACTACTACTACTCTGAGGGTGAGGCCCAGCAATTTGTTTTCACAAGCCTTCCTGATGATTTCTGACACACACACAAAATTTGAGAACCACTTCTCTAGTTTACAACCCCCATCTGTAGCAAAGGCCAAAGTAAAATTGTGTTAAGAAAACACCGTGCTTTTTTTTTTTTTTGAGACAGAGTTTCACTCTGTCTCCCAGGCTGGAATACAATGGTGTGATCTCGGCTCACTGCAACCTCTGCCTCCTGGGTTCAAGCAATTCTCCTGCCTCAGCCTCCTGAGTAGCTGGGACTACAGGTGCATGCCGCCACACCCAGCTAATTTTTTTTTTTTTTTTTTTTTGAGACAGAGTCTCCCTCTGTCACCCAGGCTGGAGTGCAATGGCACAATTTTGGCTCACCACAACCTCTGCCTCATGAGTTCAAGCAATTCTTGTGCCTCAGCCTCCCAAGAAGCTGGGACTACAGGCATGCATCACCACGCCCAGCTAATTACTTATATTTTTAGTAGAGACAGGGTTTTACCATGTTGGCCAGGCTGGTCTCGAACTCCTGACTTCAGGTGATCCGCCCGCCTTGGCCTTCCAAAGTGCTGGGATTACAGGCATGAGCCACCACACCCGGCCTTTTTTGTATTTTTAATAGAGATGAAGTTTCACCATGTTAGCCAGGCTGGTCTCAAACTCCTGACCTCAGGTGATCTGCCGATCTCAGCCTCCCAAAGTGCTGGGATTACAGGCATGAGCCACCGCCCCCGGCCTGTGCTTTTTAATGTTTCAAAGCCATTTCCCTTTCCCTAACCCATGCGGAAGACCAAAGCATACAGAAGACCGAAGTTGCTTTCCAGACTTACAGAAGAGATAGTGTCTAAACTTAACTGTCCTCATGAGCAGAGAACCCCAATAGCTCTGCCATCAATGATTTTATTCCCAGAGCTGTTAGAAAAGGACAGAACATGTGCATAGCCACCAGTTCTCTGGCTAGCAAATAGTCGTTGATGCTCACTGAGACAGAGTCCTGGCCCAGGAGTACACATTAATACATGTGGACAAGACTCCTGGGCCCCTGAAGGGGACTCTATGTCCTGGGCACTGCCATGTGTGCCTGCACTGCTTCCTGCTTCTGCCGCTGTTCTGTCTCTTGATCCTCCACTATAACCTGCCGGGCTGCTTGTGTGATCCCCACTTTAAAAATGAGGAAACAGGCTCATCTCACCCAGTCACTCACTTGGTATACATCCAAGTCAGCTTAGCCCCGGTGTCTTCTCCATTCCTGCTGGCTAGAATGAACTATGTGTTACTTTGGGAGAACTGTTTCAAAATCTTGAACACTTTGGATAGCATTGTGATATCCCCCGGTTTAAATCCTTTGACCTTAAAGAAGATAAATAGCCAAACTTATCATGAAAAGATTCTTCAACTTGTATTAAGGAAACAGAAATTAAAACCACAATGAGATGCCATGACACATCCACTAAAATGATTAAAATTTAAAAGACTGACAATACCAAGTATTGCTGAGGATGTGAAGGAGCAACTGGAGTTCTCCAGCAACATTGTTGAAGGAAATGCAAAAATTACTCAGCCACTTTGGAGAACTCTTTCGCAGTTCCTATGAATGTGCAGTTTATAAACACCCATTTACTGAGACAGCTGAAAAATATATATCCACAAGAACACCTGTACATTAACAGTGATAGAACCCTTATTTGTAAAGCAAAAAACAACAATTCAACTATCCATCAACAGGTGAATGGTAAACAAATTGTGGTACATTCATGTAATAGAACATTACTCAGCAATAAAAAAGAAACAAATTACTGACAAATGCCAGAATATAGACCTCTCAACAACAGGCTCAGTGAAAGAGGCCAGACACAAAAGACTATTTAGCATATGATTCCATTTATATGAAACTCTAGAAAAAGCAAAAATTTTTTTTTTTTTTTTTTTTTGAGACAGAGTTTCACTCTTATCACCCAGGCTGGAGTGCAATGGCGCCATCTGGGCTCACGGCAACCTCCGCCTCCTGGGTTCAAGCGATTCTCCTGCCTCAGCCTCCCAAGTAGCTGGGATTATAGGTGCCTGTCACCACTCCCAGCTAATTTTTGTATTTTTAGTAGACACGGAGTTTCACCATGTTGACCTCAGATGATCCGCCCGCGTCAGCCTCCCAAAGTGCTGGGATTACAGGCATGAACCACTGTGCCCGGCCGGCAAAGCTAATTTCTAATGGCAAAGCTCAGATCAGGGGTGATGGAAGAGGACATATGACTGCAAAGAGGCACAGGGAACTTTCTGCATAAAGGAAATATTCTATATCTTGATTGTGGTGGTGGTTATATGAGTGTATGCATTTGTCAAAACTCAACAAACTGTACACTAAAATGAGTACATCTTATAGTATGTAAATTATGCCTCAAAAAATTGACTATAAACGTTCTTTGTGGCCCCACATCAATCTTATGTTGTCCAGGAAACCTTTTCTGATCAATACTGTCCTCAGCTGCATTTATATCTCCTCCTCTCACCACTTGCTCTCCTGATTAGCATACCCTGGAGCCCTCCGTTACAGTCTAACTCATGCTGCTCAGGGCCAGGCACACAGGGCACAAAAAAGGATCTGTAGACAAGGGAGGAACTGAATTAATGGTATTTGAAAAAGTGACAGAGACATCTGCCAGGAAGTAGGGTTACGTCTTTCTGTGACCCTCAGTTTATCTGTAATAGGAATGGGGTGGGGCAACCACAGGATCTCTCTCTCCCTTTTATCTCTTATCATCTCTTTCACTCTGCTTCTCATCATGCCATCTCTATTTTAAGCGCATGTGCATTCTCTCTGTCTCTAAGTCTGCTCCTCTTTCCTACCCCGGCCCTGTCTCTCCATCTCTGTCTTTAATCTGCCTCTCATCATTGCCTCCTTCCTCTTTTTTGGTCTCTGTTCAGGCTGTCAATAAGAGCTCCAGCTGTGCACAGGTACCCCATAGAAGCAAGGCATGCCGATTCTCTTGCCACATTCCCGACAGGCTGGACCTGTTAGAAAGGCATAAGCTGGTCTATCAGCTATATGGGACTGGGGAGAAGGGGAAATGAAAAGAAGGGTAGAAAGGGAAGGGGAGAGATTTGGAAAGTCACCGTTCAGGAGACACACACGCCTGGTACACTGGATGCAGGGGATTCGGCCTGCTGGACTCTGGCAGAAGCTCTGAGTTCCCAAGAAAAGCTGTGGCCCTCTCCTCCACACGGCCCAGCCCGTGTGCCCAGTCCAGAACCCATGCCACAGGACACAGCCTATAGCTGATTAAGAGCACATGGTTGACTTTCACGCCACCCTGGACTAGAATGCCTCTTCAACAACTTAGCAGCTGATAACCCTAAGCAAGTTACATCACTTCTGTGTGCCTCAGTTTCCTCATCTCTAAAATAGAGGTAAAAATAACACATGAGGCCAGGCACGGTGACTCACGCCTGTAATCCCAACACTTTGGGAGGCCGAGGCAGGTGGATTACCTGAGGTCAGGTGTTTGAGACCAGCCTGACCAACATGGTGTAACCCCGTCTCTACTAAAAATAAAAAAAATTAGCCGGGCATGATGGCGTGCTCCTGTAATCCCAGCTACTCAGGAGGCTGAGGCAGGAGAATCCCTTGAACCCTGGAGGTGGAGGTTGCAGTGAGAAGGAGAGGCAGGAGAATCCCTTGAACCCCACCTCCCGGGTTCAAGCGGTTCTCCTGCCTCAGCCTTCTGAGTAGCTGAGATTACAGGCACCTGCCACCACGCCGGACTAATTTTTGTATTTTTAGTAGATGGGGTTTCACCATGTTGGCCAGGCTGGTCTTGAACACCTAACCTCAAGTGATCTACCTGCCTCGGCTTCCCAAAGTGTTGTAGCCTCATTCATTCATTTTATTCCACAGTTACTAAGTATCAATTTTTTTTTTTTTTTGAGACAGAGTCTCACTCTGTCACCCAGGCTGGAGTGAAGTAGTGCGATCTCGGCTCACTGCAACCTGTGAGGAGGGCAGTCATTCACTCTCTCTGGAACTCAGTTTCATAGTCTGTACAGTGGGCATGGCCCTTGCTTCTTTGTTTATTTTAAACAAACACTTTCTGAGCAGTAGTGCTGGGCCCTGTGCTGGCTGCTGGGGATGTGAGGGGACCCAAGAATCCATTTGCACTGCCTCAGGAGACTAAGGTGTGTGCCTGCTAGAGGCTTACAAAAATTGAGAGGAATAGAATAAAATTTTGTACATAAGCTCAGTCCTTTGGTGGCACACAGGTGGGCATCTTGCTTCTCCTGGGTTATTCCCACATTGTCTTTTTTTTTTTTTTTGAGGCGGGGTCTCGCTCTGTCGCCCAGGCTGAAGAGCAGTGGTGTGATCTCAGCTCACTGCAAGCTCCCCTTCCCGGGTTCATGCCATTCTCCTGCCTCAGCCTCCCGAGTAGCTGGGACTACAGGCGCCCGCCACCACACCCAGCTAATTTTTGTATTTTTAGTAGAGACGGGGTTTCGCCGTGTTAGCCAGGATGGTCTCAATCTCCTGACCTTGTGATCCGCCCGACTTGGCCTCCCAAAGTACTGGGATTACAGGCATGAGCCACCACGCCCGGCTCCCACATTGTCTTGTTTCCCCACACCCTTGGGGAATTGGGCCCTGCTGAACTGGGTGGCAGGAGGAGGGGGAAGGGTGAACACCACGTGAACCTCCTCAAGGCAGAGAGAGCCAAGGAGTTAGGTTGCCCTGGGACTCGCAGCGGAGCTGAAGGTCCTTCCTCTACTCCTGTGTCCCTTCCTCCAGCTCCTTCTCCTGTGTCCCTTAAACATGCCCACAACATGGTGCCAACCACACTTATCTTGGTGTCTGTGTACCCCACCAAGACTCTCAAAAACTGGGACCACATCCGTGGTTTGTCTATACCCCAGCATATCATGGAGGCAGAGTAGGAGCAAATATATGTATGTTTTAAAAATAAGAGGAGCAGAGACAGAGCTGGAGAAAGAAATTGAGAGAAAGGGAAATCACCCAGCAGGAACCTGGGCCATGAACTTGAAGGAAGCGGAACTGGCTAGCCCTCCTGGTCCTAGAAACCAGCCACAGGGAAATGTGAAAGTACATCCTGTATGTCCTTGTGAGGAGAGATAAATATTTCCATGACTGCATGAGCTGTGAGTCCCAGCCCCTTCCTGGGACAGCCCAGGAAATGCAGGCCTTAATGGGGGTTTGGGGATGGGTAGACTCTCCCTATCTCCACAGATGGTCTCTGTGCTGGGTTGGGAGGTGAGGGCAAGCAGAGGTCTTGGAGAGTCACAGCACAGGCCCCTCGTGTTTTTGGGGGTTTGGAGCAAGTCACTCACAGGAGTGACTCAGCTATAAAACATGAACCTGCTCCCCTTCCAACCAGCATCTAAGACCCAGTATCACTTTATCAAGGTAGGAACATCGGTTTTAGGGAACTGAAGCACATGCTTATTTCAACCTGCTGCTCCCAAGGGATAAGGAGGAGAAAAAGAAGGAGAACCTAGGCTCTGAAGCCACACAGGCCAGAGTTCAAATCCTGACTTCACCACTTAATTCACCTGTGTGGCCTTGGGCATGTCACTTTACGCTTGAGTCTCCATTTCCTCACAGGGATAATCCTAATCTGATGTTCAGGTTAAGAGCATGGGATCTGGGCCGGGTGTGGGGGCCCACACCTGTAATCCTAGCACTTTGGGAGTCTGAGGTGGGCAGATCACTTGAACCCAGTAGTTCAAGACCAATCTGGGCAACATGGTGAAACACCATCTCTACCAAAAAGAAGGGCATGAGATCTGGAACCAGACTGCCAAGATTTGAATCAGTATATTGGCTGTGTGAACTTGGGCCACATTACTTAATCTCTCTATTCCTATTTCCAGCCTACTAAATGGGAGATTAGAATAGTATCGACTTCATACAGTTGTAAGGAATAAATGAGTTAACAAATGTAACAGACTTAAGACATAGCAGGTGTGTTCAGTAAAGGTTAAGTATTGTTATTACTGCACCAAATTGTGATGATTAGATGAAGGAATATGTGTAATAATGCTTTCCTTTAAACCCTACTGATCCCCAATGCGGCAAGCAAATAGTATTGGTTCCATAGCAGACAGTTTCTGGTCTTTAAAAAGATCTCTAAGAATAGTTTCATTTTCCTTCCCTCAATCTCATTCTTATTCCACTATCCTGAACCAGGAGTTTGTCACTTATTGCAGGTCTTTTCTTCTGATTTGTCCCATTTCTTGGTAATTCTGAGTACTTCTGAGTGTCTGCATGTGAAGCTGCATATTTGCTTCCACTTACCTGGAAGGGCTATTTTGAGGTCTAAATGAGATACTGAGTAGGACTCTGATCAGTGTTAGATGAATATGATTCTGCACATATGAGTCCGAGCATGCACACATGCACACCTACAACACTAGGATCTAACAGCACCTTCTTTTTCTTCGTTATGCTCCTCAGAGTCTAGCACATCGCCCATGACATAGCAGGAGCATTCAGCAGATCTTTTCCGTGTAGCTCTTCCTTGGACAAGAGGATCACACACAGTCCCTGTTCTTGAGGAGCTCCCAAGCTGGTTGTAATGAATTCTGAGAGGACAAGACAAGGACCAGAGAAAGCGCTATGGAACTTCTTTTCTTTTCTTCTCTTTTCTTTTTTTTTTCTTTTCTTTTCTTTTCTGCAGCCTTGATCTCCTGCAGTCAAGTGCCTCAGTCTCCTGAGTAGCTGGGACTACAGGTGCACATGGCATCATACTCAGCTAATTATTTTATTTTTATTTTTTTGTAGAGACAGAGCCTCCCTATGGTGCCCAGGATGGTCTCAAACTCCTGGGCTCAAGTGATCCTCCCTCTCAAAATGTTGGGATTATAATGCATGAGCCACCGTGCTTGGCCTGCTATGAAGTCTCTAAGAAGGATAATATCACTTCCACATGAGGATTCCAGGAAGATTCTTTTAGGATGGGAGGGGAGGCAGAGGTTTTCGGGGGTCCACAGGACTTTGAACCTGTAGAGAGTTTGGAGGCAAAGGGAGTAATGTAAGCAAAGGTAAGAAGGCTGAAGAGTGTCTGCGTGCATGGGGGCTGCCTTCCTTTTCTGTCCTTTGTGGTATGTCCAGGCGAACAGAGAGGCCTGGGTTTGATTGCTCAGTACCTAACTTTCTGACTCACATGCCACGGCATATGGTAGTAAAACCTGGAAGGCTAGAGTCCTGAATTCCAGCCCCAGCTCTTGCTTACAACATTGTGTGAACTTGAGCAGGTCCCATCTCTTCTTTGGACCCCAGGGTCCTCACGCATAGGAGGACTAAGTGATTGCTTAAAGCCCTCAAGCTCTCACACTCTTGGATACCTGATGTCATCTTTCCGTTGTGTTTGTGATCAGCCCCTCCCTCACCCCTTTGTGGCCCCAGACCTCCCATGAAGAGGCAGGACACAGAGCTCTCCCCAAATCCATCCTTTTCCTGGAGTTCAGCCTCTGACCAGGAAGTGGGAAAACAGGATTTCCTCTGAGGATGTTCTCTGTGACCCAGACAGTTCCGGTTTGGGGAGTGGGGAGGAAGAGATAGGGAGCATCATCCAGGCTTCCAAACCTTAAAGCACCTTTTCATGGGCTTTATGTTTTGAGCTCCTTAGAAACGGAATGCGTAATTCAGAGCTGAAGAAAGATATGTTGGTACTTTGAACAGATAGTACTTAACACTGTTGTGGGGAATGACAGAATTTCCTTTTAAATTATGAAATATGTTAAACACTGTATTAAATAAAAAGTAAGGAAATATCACTTCTGCCTGTGGAAATCCTTCAAAATCTTTCAAAGCCCAACTCCAGTGCTCTCTCTTGCAGGAAGCCTTTCTCTCCTCTGGATTTTCAAACAACTGCTCACATACGATTTCCACACCATCATTTCATACAATCACAGCATATCAGAGAAACTCAGGGCTAACCCCTTCACCTCAAAAACTGAGAAACTAAAAGCCAGTGACTTGTCCAATGTCACAGAGTTTGGGACAGAGCAACAACAGGAAGCCAATTTTTGCTGACTCCTAATTTGGTGTTCTATCTACTTGTGTGTCTTTTCTTTCCTATCTTTGGTTCCCTTCCCCAAATCCCCTCTTCCAAATGCTATACCTATTCATAGCTCCTTGCTTTTGCAGAAGTGGTTCCCTCCATCAGAAATATCCCCGGCTCCTCTTTTCTTTCCTATTACTCCTGATTCTGGGAAAATGTCACCGCCTCTGTAGAATATTCTGAAAATAACCTCCCATCTTCTCTTATATTCTCACGTTGTGTTGTTTCATTATAAGCACTTATCTAATGGTACTGCTAATGTTTGCGTGTCTCTCCCTCATTAGACTGAGTTCCTAGAGGGCACATTTTATTCATCATCTTACGCTCAGCTTCTAGCTCGGTGTCCAGCAGGATCAACATTATTTATCTGTTGAATGACTAGGTGCAAAAACGATACTGGTGCGTAGAGGAAAGGTGGAGGGAGTGGCTGCATTGGGCTAGATGCTGTGGAGGGACACTAGGCTGGTGTCCTGCTTGTTAACTATAAGTGTATGATTTTAGCCCAGTTATACTTTGGTTCTGTCTCATCATTGGTAAAAAGGGATCAATTTTGCCTGCCATACATATTTCAGTAGGGTTTTGTTGTGAGAATTCTATGTGAAAAATATGTGGAAAAGCACTTTGCAAAGTGTGAAGGAGTCTGCAAACGTCAGACATTATCAGGAAATTTATATTGCTGGTATAAGGGCCCCTCAGTTAATCTAGGAGGCTAGGGAAGGTTCTGCCTTCAGGAGCAATGCCTAGAAAACAAGGGCACAGAAGGAACTTTTTATTCCTCCAATTTCCCAGAGCCCTTATAGTACAGACTCAGTACTAGTTTATCACATTGTAAAATCAATGGAAGTGAACACTTTAACATTAACAGAGCTGGGGTTGCCTGCTTCAGAACATATGAGTAAAAAATGATTGCTTCTGGTCTTGGCTAAAGGGCAAGAGATTCCTTCCTGAAGAAAAGGAAAGTGGGGCAGCTTGGAGGAGAGCACAGTATTTAAAGACAGCATTGGCTGTAGTATTTGAAATAATTTATTCAGCTCAAGATCTATTTCTTGCAGAAAGCTCTCCCTGAATTCCTCAGGCCGGAGAGGTTATATTTCTCAATGGCTTAGTAAGACCTTGAGCTCTAGAGTTATACTTAAACTTGAATCTCTGGTAGCAACTTACATGGGTAAATTACTTACCTGAGGCTCTTCCCTCAACTATGAAGATAACAATCACTGTCTTAGTCTGTTTTTATTGCCTATAACAGAAATATCTGAAACTGAGTAATTTATAAAAAGAAATTCATTCTTACAGTTACAGAGGCTGAGAAGTTCAAAGTTGAGGGGCTGCATTTTGTGAGGGCCTTCTTGCTGTCAGGGACTCTGCAGAATCCTGAGGTGGCACAGGGCATCCAAGGTGAGGGGTCTGAGCATGCTAGCTCAGGTCTCTCTACCTTTTCTTTTTCTTTTTTTTTTTGTGAGATGGGGTCTCACTCTGTTGCCAGGCTGCAGTGCAGTGGCGCAATCTCGACTCACTGCAACCTTCGCCTCCCAGGTTCAAGCGATTCTCCTGCCTCAGCTTCCCGAGTTGCTGGGACTACAGACACGCACAACCACGCCCATTCACCATGTTGGCCAGGATGGTTTCTAACTCTTAACCTCGTGATCCGCCCGCCTCAGCCTCCCAAAGTGCTGGGATTACAGGCATGAGCCACCGCGCCTGGCCTCCCTTTTCTTATAAAGCCACCAGTCTCATTCCCATGATAAACCATTAATCCATGAATCTATGAATGGATTAACCCATTTAAGAGGGCAGAATCCTCATGACCCAATCAGCTCTTAAGGGCCCCACATCTCAACACTGCCACATTGAAGATTAAGTTTCAACATGAGGTTTGGAGGGGACAGATATTCAAACCATAGCTATCACCAACTGGTGTCAGCCAGGAGTCTTAAATGAACTAATGCATGTGAAGTGCTCTGCACAGTGCCCTGTGAGCACACAGTAAGTCTTAAAAAGATGGACATGATCACCAATACATTGTTTTGGCTCCTTAGAGTCTAGATCATTCATGTTGGCTTTTCATCATACTCTCATAACTCTTGTGACTATTTCCTGGGTGTATCTGTTTTCTGTAGAATCTTTACAGCTGGCAAAGGCAAGGATACTGTTTAACATGTCTACATCCACTTCTGTGGGGCTTAGCACAGGGCAGGATAAAGCAGAGGACAAAAGTGGAGCATGGAGTAGTTATTGATTTAAACTAACCGGCAAGGGGCTTAGAGGTTGAGTGAGGAGACTTTTGGCGAAGTGGGGTAAGAGTGGTTGCCAACTGGCCAGGACTCGGACTAACAGGTTTGTTTCCCAGAAGTTAGGTAATATAAGTTCCATCATTTTCCTATTCCATTTGAAGTAGCATCCATGTTATCTTATAAACAGTATGCTGCAGGACTGGAGGAAAGAAATTCAGAGATATGTCACTTGATAGGCAAGTATCTCCAAAGTATTTTTTTCTTTTTTGAGATGGAGTCTCACTCTGTTGCCCAGGCGCGTGCAGTGGCGCGATCTCGATTCACCATAACCTCTGCCTCCCAGGTTCAAGTGATTCTCCTGCCTCAGCCTCCCGAGTAGCTGGGACTACAGGGGAGTGGCATCACGCCCAACTAATTTTTGTATTTTTAGTAGAGGTGGGGTTTCACCATGTTGGCCAGGCTGGTCTCGAACTCCTGACCTCGGGTGATCCGCCCACCTCGGCTAACCAAAGTATTGGGATTACAGGCGTGAGCCACCGCGCCCGACCTAAAATTTTAAAATCCAATTTTCCCAGTACTAATGCTTTCTCTAAAGATGCCTAAAAGCTATCATAGCAACTAATTTGCCAAATAACTTGTACTAGGCCATTTTTGCATTGCTCTAAAGAAACATCTGAGACTGGGTAATTTATAAAGAAAGGAGGTTTGCGGTGGTGGCAGGGGTGCGGGTTAGGCACCACACACTTTTTAAGCTTTTAAATGACTAGATCTTACCTGAACTCACTATCTTGAAGATAACACCAAACCATGAGGGACTTGTCCCTGTGACCCAAACACCTCCCACCAGGCCCCACCTCCAGCATTAGGGATTACAATTCAACATGAGATTTGGTGGGAACAAACATCCAAACTCTATCAACCTTCTCATTGTAAAACACCTTCCAGAGTAGGCTTCGGTAATGGTTCCTCTTCTCTTGGCACATGTTTAGTAGAAAGAGACATTGTTTTGTTGAATTAATCTGCAGTCTAAATTCAGGCTCCAAAACTGCTTAGACATTTTAATTAGATGTGGCCTTGGCCAGGTGCGGTGGCTCATGCCTGTAATCCCAGCACTTTGGGAGGTCAAGGTGGGTGGATCACCTGAGGTCAGGAGTTCGAGACCAGCCTGGCCAACATAGTGAAACCCCCGTCTCTACTAAAAATACAAAAATTAGCTGGGTGTGGGGCCACGCCCCTGTAGTCCCAGCTACTCGGGAGGCTGAAGCAGGAGAATCACTTGAACCCCAGGAGGTGGAGGTCGCAGTGAGCCAAGATCGCACCACTGCATTCCAGCCAGGGCGAAAAAGTAACTCTGTCTCAAAAAAAAAAAAAAAAAAAATTAAATGTGGCCTTAAATTGGATGTGGTAATTAGACTTTGCCTAAAAAGCTTAGGTTCCATTTTTACTATTAAGATAGCTTCGTTTGGTATAAACATTACAGGGCTCCCAGTGATAAAGGTACTTGATGAGGCTGTCAGTTAATTCACTGTTTCTTCAATAGTGTGCAATATAAATCGTATCTACACTCGTTGAGTGAAACTGAGGGCTAAACAGAACACACTTGAAGTGGCACTGACAATTCCATTACGTAAACTTACTCCAATAAAACATGTAAGTGAATTTTTATGCTATTTATTAAAATAACTAAAGTCTCAAACAATGTGCATGGAAACACAGGGCAAGACATCACCACTGCCACTTACATGTCTTAATTTTAACTTGAAAGAGCAATGATGTAGGGAAAGATGCACTAACTGGTCCATGGCTCCAGTGGGGAAGAGTAGGGAGCCACCATGTTACTACACTTGGGCTTGCTACTGTAAAGTGATATCAGGTTTTCTCAGAAAGCCACAGCTGGGTTGAAAATGGATCCAAAGTCCATTTATTTCCAGTTTACATATCAACTTTGATATGAAGCAACAACATCTCAATTTAACTTCATCAGAAAAGCCTTATCTTTCAACTCAATGAGGACTCTTTAATTTATATTCAAATGTAACAATTTAAGACCTTTTAAAAAGGTTGTGGGGGATGTGCCAGGAAAGAACTGATACACTCATCGACTTGGATGTATCTTAGGACATCATGCCAAGTGAAAACAGCAAATTTCAAAAAGGTACACACTATATGATTCCATTTATATAAAAGATTCTCAAAAGGCCAAAATTCTAGTGGTGGAGAACAAATCACTGGCTGCTGGGGGTTAGGGTTGGAGAGACCGTGTGTTTTAAAAGGGTAGCACTAGGGAGTTTGTGGTGATGGAATAGTTCTGTATGCTGACTATGGTAGTAGTTATGTGATTCTATAAAAGATAAAATTTCAGCCAGGCAGTGGCTCACGCCTATAACCAGCACTTCGGGAGGCCGAGGTGGGCAGATCACGAGGTCAGGAGTTTGAGGCCAGACTGGCCAACATGGTGAAACTCTGTCTCTACTAAAAATACAAAAATTAGCCAGGTGTGGTGGCATGCACCTGTAGTTCCAGCTACTTGGGAGGCTGAGGCAGGAGAATCACTAGAATCCGGGAAGCAGAGGTTGCAGTGAGCCAAGGTCGCACCACTGCACTCCAGCCTGGGCAACAGAGCAAGACTCCGTCTCAAAAGATAAAATTTCATGGCTGGGAGCGGTGGCCCATGCCTGTAATCCCAGAACTTTGGGAGGCAGAGTGGGCAGATTACTTGAGATCAGGAGTTTGAGACCAGCCTGGCCAACAAGGTGAAACCCCATCTCTACTGAAACTATAAAAATTAGCCAGGCGTGGTGGTGTATGCCTGTAATCCAAGCTACTCGGGAGGCTGAGGCACAAGAATCACTTGAACCCAGGAGATAGAAGATGCTGTGAGCCAAGATCACGCCACTGTACTCCATCCTGGGCAACAGAGCAAGACTCCATCTCGAAGAAGAAAAAAAAGATAAAATTTCATAAAGCTATATACCAAAAAGTAAATAAATGAGTGCATGTAAACACTTGTGAAACCTGATAGGTCTGTGGTTCAGTTATTAGCATTATAGCCAATGTCAATTGCTTGGTTTTGCTCATTTACTATGCTTATGTAAGATATTATCACTGGAGGACACTGGAAGAAGGGTATACGGGAACTCTCTGTATTATTTTTGTAATTTGGGGGCAGTCTAAGAGTTTTTTAAAAAGTGGAGAATAAACTATAACAGACAACAAAGGAAAATAGTCAATCTAGACATTTTATTAAGTTCTATTAAAAAATATTAAGACATCTGAAAAACTCAGAAAGTTTATAAAACACACTCATACTCAATAATTTTCTTATTCTTTGATAGCCAGTGTGACATGTTGAAGATGTTACACCAAAACCAACCCACCATACTGCAAAAAGCTGTATCTCGAGTTTAATCAACATGCATCCTAATTAAGGGGAAATACACTCTTGTATAAAAGAGTGTAAGTTTTTATTAAGTTGTTTTTAAAAATAACTTTTCCCTTAAACTTAGGAAGGGTTGATTTCGCTAATTTACCCAACACCATGATAACTTATGTTCTTTTAATGATATAGGATAAATGCAGAGATGCAACATGCTGGAACTTCTTAAAATATACAGTATAGCTGGGCGCAGTGGCTCACGCCTGTAATCCCAGCACTTTAGGAGGCCGAGGCGGGCGGATCACCTGAGGTCGGGAGTTTGAGACCAGCCTGACCAACATGGAGAAACCAGTCTCTACTAAAAATACAAAATTAGCCAGGCGTTGTGGCACATGCCTGTAATCCCAGCTACCTGGGAAGATGAAGCAGGAAAATCGCTTGAACCCAGGAGGCAGAGGTTGCAGTGATCTGAGATCCTGCCATTGCACTCCAGCCTGGGCTACAAGAGCAAAACTCCGTCTCAAAAAAAAAAGTACAGTATAAAAGAGCAGTTGAGACTTAGAGCTGGATAGTATCTGTCTACTACTTAAACTTGTAGGAATAACTGATCTCAGGGCTTTTCTTAAAGGTTTCAGTGATGTTGAACAGCTCTATTTGAACAATGAGAACTTAGTCCTATCACCAGCCAGCCATCTCACAGAAGTCACTCTTCCCAATTGGCTGCTACCAAGAAACAGTGACTCCAGAATGATCAGGAGCCTTGTGGTAGGCTCCTGTTTTCCCTAAGTATCTTCAGGAGACACCCTGTCCCTGTATTAAAAGGGCAGGGAGTTAAAAGGTTAAAATAATTTTGGTAACTGTCTGAGACGTTTTACATCTAAGAAGGTGCCTACTGAATTCATGCTATTCATCTGCTTTAGCGTTTCAGAAGGTTGCAAACTTTCAGGAAAAATTGTAATGTCCCCTTCATTTTCTTTCTCAGGATGTTGAGTGAACTCTGCTTTCCCGGTTCGAAGGTTCACTGCAGGACTTGGTTTAAGGTTCTTTACTAAGAAAGCTGGCTTTTCAGTCAACTGCTGTTTTGCTTTTGTCTGCAAAACTTCATTTGTAATATTTCTCAATACTGGCGTATCTGCGTTGGTCCCCACAGATTCACAGTTAGAACAATTAATTATTTCATGGTCATTCTTAGAAGGCTCTTTCTGACCACCAAGCTGTTCAGGTATGGACCTAAGGTTCTGATTCAATAAATATTCACTCTTGCTATCTGCATTGTCGGGAGGTTCCTCTTCATCTTCACTATTGTCACTGCTTTGTAGGAGTCCATATCTCTTCATATATTTTTTGGTTGCAAATGACATGTTGTTTGGTGAAATTAAACTAAGCCCCACTGTGCTTCTGTCTGTATTAATATGGAGAAGGCTGAATGGGTCACAATTATTTTGGTTCGATCGAGTGACAGACAGTTGTGACAGCTGATTTTCATTTAAATATTTCAGAGCTATAGCATTTGCCTCCATGCTCAAATCCACACCATTGGGGCTTAAGCCGCTCATGCCAACATTAGCAAATGACATGCAGTTTAATCCAGAGATCACTGCTTCTGGGCTGATGCATGCCAACACACTGAAAGACACAAAGTAGTAAGCCATCATTTACCATATTCTAAGTAATACATAGTTCTCAATGTGTTCCATTCTATACAAGCAACAAAAGATCTTCAGCTTTAAGTTCATGGTCCTTTTATCTAACTACTCAGACATCTAAGTCTTGATGATCCAGATACACAAAGGATACATATGGGCTGGGTATAGTGGCCCAAGCCTCCAATCCCAGCAGATTGGGGCACTGAGGTGGGAGGATTGCTTGAAGCCAGGAGTTCAAGATCAGCCTAGGCAATATAGCAAGATCTTGTCTCTACAAAAAAATTTAAAAATTGGCCAGGCATGGTGGTGCACATTTATAGTCCCAACTACTCAAGAGGCTGAGGCAGGAGGATTGCTTGAGCTCAAGAGTTCAAAGTTACAGTGAGCCATGATCGTGCCACTGCACTCCAGCCTGGGCAACAGAACAAGACCCTGTCTCTTAAAAAAGAAAAAATAAAGAAAAAATAAAAAAAGGGATACAAATAATAGCCTAGAAGGTAATCCATGATTTACAGGTTTAAAGTGGAATACAAATTAATTTTCCTAAATCTGTATATCAGTCATGGTTTTAAGAACAAATACAAGGCCCCAAATGTAAAAGTCATCAACATAGCTATGAGTCATTTAATTTACGACTATTAGCCCAAACAGCACAAGAGATCAGCTAATGTTTAATGTAAAGTAAAACATAAAAATAAAATCAAACACAAAACACATTTGATTATATAACAGTACAAGCTTTAGTAAGTAGCTCAGAAAATTAAATTGTTCATAGTTGAAGAGATTCCATTTGCAATTAATAAAAAACATCAACCAGTCTCTGGATATGGGCTTATACACACACACACACACACACACACACACACACACACACACACACACGAATACTTTTTTCATTAGTTATAATCTTCAACTTACTTTGATTAGTGTTAAGTCAACTGACTTACCTTTTCCTTAATATCACATATATAATAAATAGCTGCTAATTTTTTTTTTTGGAGACAGGGTCTTGCTCTGTTGCCCAGTCTAGAGTACAGTGGCAACTGCATGTCATTTGCTAATGTTGGCACAATTACAGACTCAGGCTGCTCTCAAACTCCTGAGGTAAAGCGAGCCTCCCTCCTCGAATTCCCAAAAGTGTTGGGATTACAGGCGTGAGCCACTGTACCCAGCCTGCTAATTACTGAGTCGTTATATATGCCAGGTACTCTATTAATGCTTTACATGCATTATTCATATACATTCCTTACAGTAACCTTTGTCAGGGAGGTATTCTCTATGGAATATTTCTATCTTATTCTCCATTTCAACATCTTACATTCCCTTTCCCCTACTTTTTTGTTTTCTTTTTAGCACTTACCGCGGTCTATACATTGAATACACACATCTACATATTCAATCAATGCTCGATTCTTATTTATTGTCTAGCACCCTCATGAAAGCCAATAAGGACAGAGTTTTGTCTGTTCTCCTGGCCCCCACTGCAGTATCCTCGATGCCTGGACACACATAGTAGGCACTCAGTAAGTACTTGTTGAATGAATAAAAGTAGTAGGTACTATTGTTATATTTACTCTCAGTTGAGAAAACTGAGGAATAGAGATTTGAGCTATTTTTTCCAAGCTAAATAGTACATAGCAAGCTGAGATAATCCATGACTGCCTTACTCTCTGGGGCTCTGCAACCACTCTTTTACTGTACTATATTCAGTAACTTGGATTTTTTCTATCAGAGTCCTTTGTGCACTATTTGTTGTGGTGAACATTATATTCTAGTCAAATATGCTATGGCTTTCTACATCATCCCATGAAGAAATTCAGCTGTTTTATATGTGCTAGCCACTGCTTGCATTCACAGACCCACAAAAATCAAACAACCATTATATATTTTCATTCTTATAAGCACCTGAAATTCGCAAAAAACTATTTCCAACCACTAATAATCCCTGAAACCAGGCCAGGCATGGTGGCTCCCGCCTGTAATCCCAGCACTTTGGGAGGCCGAGGTGAGCAGATCACCTGAGGTCAGGAGTTTGAGACCAACCTGGCCAACATGGCAAAACCCCGTCTCTACTAAAAATACAAAAAAATTAGCTGGGCGTGGTGGCGGGTGCCTGTAATCCCAGCTACTCTGTAGGCTGAGACAGGAGAATCGGTTAAACACAGGAGGCGGAGGTTGCAGTGAGCCGAGATTGCGTCACTGCATTCCAGCCTAGGTGACAGAGTGAGACTCTGTCTCAAAAAAAAAAAAAAAAAAAAAAAAAAAAAAATTCTCTGAAACCAGTGATGCCATCACCAAACAATGGAACAGTGTGCTCACTAATGCTGGTCTTTACAACCTTGAAATTCTCCCTTAATCTTCTTGGCATTTAATGCTTTGAAGACTATTTTAATAAGATGAAAGAGATACTACTAATTTATCCAGACATTATTCTTTTATTCATAGTGACAATACTTTTGGAAGTCTTTTTCTACTTTGCCTATTTCCTCAGTCTATAGATAATGTTAATGTAAATAATTTGATAAAAGCAAAGAAAAACTACTAATTCAAAATGTTAAATATTTAAAGAAAGCAGGTCTAATTTGGGTTTTTTTTTTGTTTTTTTTGAGACAAGGTCTCACTCTGCCACTAAGGCTGGAGTGCAGTGGCGCAATCATGGCTCACCATGGCATCGACCTCCCAGACTCAAGTGACCCTCCTACCTCAGCCTCCCAAGTAGCTGGGACTACAGGTGCATGCCACCATGCCCAGCTAATCAAAAATTTTTCTTTTTGTAAAGATGGGGTCTCACTATGTTGTTCAGGCTGGTCTTGAACTCCTGAGCTCCAGTGATCCTCCCATCTTGGCCTCCCAAAGTGCTGGGATAACAGGCATGAGACACCATGCCCAGCCTCTTAATTTTAACTAGGGCTTCTTTTATAGAATGGTTAAAAGATCCATAAAGTAGTCAATATCAGTTTAGAAGGCTATTCAAGTTTCAATGCCTAACACAAGCTAGCCAATTTCAATTTGGAGGGTGGGCTAGGGGCAATGAGATATCATTACTTTAATAGCAAAACAAATCAAGACAGGCACAGTGGTATGCACACCTGTAGTCCTAGCTTCTCAGGAGCCTGAGGCAGGAGGATTGCTTAAGCCCAGGCATTCAAGGGGCCACCCTAGGCAAAATAGAGACCACATCACTAAAAAAAAAATCAATAATACTCAGAAACCAAAGCATATAAACACTAGGGTAATTAAGACGAAAAGCAAAAAGGAACCCATTCCACTAATCAAATCCTAAAAGCCTGAGCACAAATATATGCCTATGTTAAAATCTCATTAGATGTGCAGCCACAAGGAATGATGAAAGTCCATGAATAAATTTGAGTTAGCCACATGTCAACAATTTATGGGAAGCTCTAAAATTATTCCAACTCAGATGACAATCAAGACCCCCATCTCTACAAATAAAAATAAGCTGGGTGTGCTGCTGCACACCTGTAGTCCCAGCTACTCAGGAAGCTAAAGTGGGAGGATCACTTGAGCCCAGGAGATTGAGGCTGCAGTTGAGCCATGATTGTGCCACTGCACTGCAGCCTGGGCAACAGAGCGAGACCCTGTCTCTCAAAAAAAAAAAAAAAAAAGTCAACTTTGATTCATGATCCTATTTGAATCCAGATTAGTTATCTACTACTTATCCTACACAGTTTTTCAACTACTAAGCAGATAGCCAGGAAGCAAGGTAAAGAAGCAACTAGAGAGACTACTTGAGACAGGTTTTGAATTCAAAAAGTCACTCCAATTGGGAATATGTAGAGGTTGCTTCCAGACCTCGAACCCACAATCTCCATTTCCTGCACAATTTCTAGGTTTGTCTGGCACCCTTTTTCCCTGCCTTCCTGCCTTTAGACTCTCTTAATCTCTGCGGCATTCTATTAACAGGAAAATAGAAAGCAGGTCTTCCTTCCCCTGCCTTAGCCACTCTTCTGGCGGAATGATGTGCTCCTGGAGTCCAGAACTGGAACATGAAATGAGTTTTCACATAGACACAATGATAAAAGACGGCTGATTTACAGAGCTAGAGGAACAGCATGGATTATAAGGATTAGTTTCCTAGAATATTCAACCTATAATCTGTAACACTGTTTCTATAGAAAAATGTGTCTTACATTCTAAACAACGGCCTTATAAACTTTTAGTATACCAGTTATATTATACCTACACATGTTAAAAAGTTAACAATATAAGATTATAAATACTGACAGTAAATACTACAAAGACACTAAAAATGAACCTTCACTGTAAGCGTCGGTGATGACCTGAGTAGGAGGAATGTCGTTCATTCAGCAAATGACTCATTGAAGGCCCACTAAGTTAGTGGTAGAGGCAATGAGGATTTAGAACTATATAAAATCTTCGCTGGAGCAGTGGCTCATGCCTGCAATCCCAGCACTTTGGGAGGCCGAGACTGGCAGATCACAAGGTCAGGAGTTTGAGACTAGCCTGGCCAATATAGTGAAACCCCGTCTCTACTAAAAACACAAAACTTAGCTGGGCGTGGTGGTGCGCACCTGTAGTCCCAGCTACTCAGGAGGCGGAGGCAGAAGAATTGCTTGAACCTGGGGGGCGGAGGTTGCAGTGAGCCAAGATCATGCCACTACACTCCAGCCTGGGCGACAGAGCGAGACTCCATCTCAAAAAAAAAAAAAAAAAAATCTTGCTGAAAATGTGTCATAAGTACATGCTACAATTTACTGAGAACGAGGTATTTTAAGAGTACAAAACATCGGCCAGGCACGGTGGCTCACGCCTGTAATCCCAGCACTTTGGGAGGCCGAGGCAGGTGGATCATCTGAGGTTGGGAGTTCGAGACCAGCCTGACTAACATGGAGAAACCCTGTCTCTACTAAAAGTACAAAATTAGCCGGGCATGGTGGCGCATGCCTGTAATCCCAGCTACTCAGGAAGGCTGAGGCAGGAGAAATCACTTGAAGCCGGGAGGTGAAGGTTATGGTGAGCCCAGATCATGCCACTGCACTCCAGCCTGGGCAATAAGAGTACAAAACATCAATACACTCTGAGAGGTCCAGGAAACTGACCAAAGAGGTGACATTTGAGTTCAGCTTTGAAGGATAAGGATTTTGGCAAGCAGAAAGGTAAAAAAAAAGAGCACCTCAGATAAAAGTAACATCAAGGAATCTTGCAAATGCCAATGGCAAGTAGGCTGGAACTTGGTAGAGAATGGTAGGACATTATACTAAAAAACTAAGTTTAAGTCAAACTGAAACAATGCGAATTAATCAGGTAGGCCTCAGATAGGCTGGGAGGATATTCCAGACGGAGCCTAAGATAACAGGGAAACTAAATTTAACTCTTATGTTGGAGAAACTATTGCAGTACAGTTTCCTATTTAATCAAAATGACATAGAGATGATGGCACACGCCTGTGGTCCCAGCTACTCAAAAAGCTGAGGCAGGAGGATTGGCTTCAGCCCAGGAGTTTGAGGTTACATAAATTATGATTGTACCATCATACTCCAGCCTGGGTGACAGGCCTGGGTGACAGAGCAAGATCCTATTTTTAAAAACTAAAAAAAAGTTTTAAATATACAGATATTGCATCAATAATAAAATATAACTTTCAAAACTTTAAGATATTTTTGGTCTTAATTAGTACAGATCTTTAAAAGGGGCCATTTTGATGTAGATCAATTACAACACAGTATGAAATACTCCTAAAGTTAGCTACCTTTCTTTTTTCCTTTCCTTTATAAATTAAGTTAGCTACCTTTCCTATGTGATTCCATGGCATTCCCTATCCTTCCATTTCATAGCAGGCATAAAAGATATTGACTATCTGTGTCTTCCCCACTGAACTGTAAACTCTATGAGAACAAAGATGTCTTTCTTTATCAGGTTATCTTGTGTATTACGATATCTCTTATAGGCTGGCTCATAGAAACTCAGTAAGTATTTGTTGAAGTGAATGTATTGGTGAAATGGTAGCTGGCACACATGTATATGTGTAGCTGGTAATAATACTTACTCTTTCAGAAAGCAACTTAGCAACAGCTTTAAAATTTTTGTATCATTTTACCTTAGTCTTTCCATTTCCGAGATTCTATTCTAAGGAAATAATCCTAAAACTGAAAAGCAATATTTGCAAAAGATCATCACAGCAACATTAAAATAGTAAGAAACCACAACTAACGTGACAAGTTGGTTCTCAGTTCTGACAAGAGGGGAAGGGTTAGGATACATAGCCTCTATCTTGCAACATGGATAAAAAACTCAAAAATGCTAGCCTCACTCTTTTACACTATTGGTAGGAATATAAACTGGTACAACTATTTGATGAGCAATGGTAGCATCTACTAAGACTTTGAATGCACATACTCTTTGATCCTGCCTATCTAGGAATTTATCCTACAAAGATACTTGTACCTGTAGAATGATGTTCACTTAGGATTGCTTGAAATAACAAATAAGAGATTTGGCCTAAAGGTCCATTAATAGAGCACTGGGGTTCAATATATTCTAGTACAAGGGTACAAAAGAATATTATGCAGCTGTTTAAATACAAGAGAAAGAACTGTATATCCCTATAAGGAAAAGTATCCAAGATATTATAATATCATGTTTAAAACAAAAACAAAAAAACAGGCCAGGTGCAGTGGCTCACGGCTGTAATCCTAGCACTTTGGGAGGCCAAGGTGGGAAGATTGCTTGAGTCTAAGAGTTTGTCTGAGACCAGACTGGGCAACATAGCAAGACACCATCTCTGCAAAAAATAAAAAATTAGCTAAGTACTGGTGCAAGCCTGTAGTGCCAGCTACTCAAAAGGCTGAGATGGGAGGCTCACTTGAGTCCAGGAGGTTGAGGCTGCAGTGAGCTGTGATCATGCCACTGCACTCCAGCCTGGGTGACAGAGCGAGACTGTCTCAAAATTAAAACAACAGCAACAACAACAAAAAATCAAATCACAAAGCTTATCACATACACATATACTTGAACATGCATGGAACATTTCTAGAATACAAAAGAAATGGTTAAGAGAAGTAACTTTGCTTTTTTTTTTTTTTGAGACAGTCTTGCTTTGCTATCCAAGCTGGAGTGCAGTGGCGCAATCTCGGCTCACTGCAAGCTCTGCCTCCTGGGTTCACGCCATTCTCGTGCCTCAGCCTCCTGAGTAGCTGGGACTACAGGCGCCCACCACCACGCTCAGCTAATTTTTTGTATTTTTAGTAGAGACGGGGTTTCACCGTGTTAGCCAGAATGGTCTTGATCTCCTGACCTCGTGATCCGCCCACCTCGGCTTCCCAAAGTGCTGGGATTACAGGTGTGAGGTACCGCGCCCGGCCTTTTTTTTTTTTTTTTTTTTGACTGAGTCTTGCTCTGTCGTCCAGGCTAGATAGAGTGCAGTGGCGCTATCTCGGCTCACTGCGACCTCTGCCTCCCCGGGTTCAGGCAATTCTCTTGCCTCAGCCTCCCAAGTAGCTGAGATTACAGGCGCCCGCCACCGCACCCATCTAATTTTTGTATTTTTAGTAGAGACGGGGTTTCACCATCTTGGCCAGGCTGGTCTCGAACTCCTGACCTCATGATTCACCTGCCTCAGCCCTGCAAAGTGCTGGGATTACAGGCGTGAGCCACCGCGCCCGGCCTAAGAGAAGTAACTTTGGAAGAGTCAGGCAGGAATGTGGGGAGTTGTGGCTTTTGCATTTTATCTTACACTCTCTTCTGTATTGTTTTTTAAAACCATGAATTTTTATTACTTTTTAAATTAGAAAACAAAAAATAATTAACAGAAAATATGCCAGCCTTAATAATATAATCTCCAGACTTTATTTTCTTTTTAATAAGTTATGTGCTGAGGTCATCTTTGGTAGAAAGGAATCTGAACAGAAGGACATGACCAGTTGGGCACATTCCCAGAAAAAAGAAATATTTTTGCTTTTTAGATGGCACGACTGTGTAACTGTACATCCAGTAGCTGGAACAGACCTTATCACCTCCAGAAAGACTTTTCAGATGCTACCAAGCAAAACTCCTTTCTCTTTCCTCAAGACTCCTAAAGTATTTTGTTGGCCTATCCAGCCAGGAGTCATCCCACAATATCTCTCAAATTACTTATGTATGTAACCCTCTCTCCCACTAAAATGAAGAATCTCTTATTCATCATGCATATGGTAGGCCCTGAATAAATCGTGAATCAACTCAATTGAGGCACAAACGTAACTTTTCTGATGAGATTGCCACAATACATCTAAAATTTATTCATCTAGCCAATGATGGGCAAAAATAAATAAAAATTTTTAAAAAATAAAATTTATTCACTCTTTAAAACAAAATTTTAAAAGTTACCTGGCGTGATCCACGTTATGTGCATTTTTCTTCACTTTAGTGGGAGAATCAATTTTTACTCCAAGGCTTCTTAGTTGCTTAAGAGTTGCATTAAGGACACAATCTTTGTCCACCAGTCTTGAATGATGTGTTTTTTTCTTTGTATGGTAAACGTTTTGGGTTCTGGTGCATTCATGACTGATAATTACTGCTTTGGTAGACGGCTGCTCAGTTTCCTTGGAGGAACTATTTAATAGGTGGTTTACTTGACCCTGACAAAAAGAAAAAAAATTTTTTTGAAAAATCACTATTAACAATGTTAGGGCTGGGTGTGGTGGTTCACACCTATAATCCCAGCACTTTGGGAAGCCAAGGCAGGAAGATCGCTTGAGCCCAGGAGTTTAAGACCCTGGGCAACACAGCGAGATCCTGTCTCTACAAAAAACTAAAAATTAGCTGGGCACGGTGGCACACGCCTGTAGTTCCAGCTACTTAGGAGGCTGAAGTAGGAGGACCACTTGAGCCACGAGGCTGAGGCTGCAGTTAGCCGTGATTGTGCCACTATATCCTGCGTGACAAAGTGAGACTCTGTCTCTAAAAAAATTAAAATTAAAAAAAAGTTAAAAAACAATTTTACAGTAAGACCTTAATGATACAACAAGGCCAGGGAAAATCAGTATCTTGTCAAATTCCACAAAGTATCAAGTAGGCAGGTATTATGGTATTATTTGCAGGTATTATGAAGTTTTTATAGAAGCACATCCTAATGAACAATTTCATCAGACCCTAGAGAAAACAGAATGCTTGTTCAGACTTCATTCACTTAAAAACCAACATAAGCTGGGCGTGGTGGCTCACACCTGTAATCCCAGCACTTTGGGAGGCCAAGGTGGGCGGATCACTTTAGGTCAGGAGTTCAAGACCAGCCTAGCCAACATGGTGAAACCCTGTCTCTAATAAAAATACAAAAATTAGCCGGGTGTGGTGGCACGTACCTGTGGTCCCGGCTATTTGGGAGGCTGAGGCATGAGAATCACTTGAACCCAGAAGGCCCAGGTTGCAGAGAGCTGAGATGGCGCCACTGTACTCCAGCCTGGGTGACAGAGTGAGACTCTGTCTAAAAAAAATAAATAAATAAAATAGAAAATAAACAAATAAAAATAAAAACCAACGTATTTAAAAATCATTTGAGTACAGGCGTGTGGCTCAAACCTGTAATCCCAGCACTTTGGGAGGCCAAGGCGGGCAGATCACTTGAGGCCAGGAGTTCAAGACCAGCCTGGCTAACATGGTGAAACCCCATCTCTGCTAAAAATACAAAAATTAGCCGGGTGTGGTGGCGTGCACCTGTGGTCCCAGCTACTTGAAAGGCTGATGCAGGAGAATCACTTGAACCTGGGAGGCAGAAGCTGCAGTAAGCTGAGATCATGTCACTGCATTCCAGCCTGGGCAACAGAAACACAGTGAGACTCTGTCTCAAAAAAAAAAAAAAAAATTAGCCAGGCATGGTGGCAGGTGCCTGTAGTCCCAGCTACTTGGAAGGCTGAGGCACAAGAATCGCTTGAACCTGGGAGGCAGAGGTTACAGTGAGCTGAGATCATGTCACTGCACTCTAGCCTGGGTGACAGAGACTCTGTCTCAAAAAAAAAAAAAAAAATCTTTTGAGTAATTCTCCAAGTATTTTCGAGGACTTATGCTAAATTTTTTATAAACAAGTTTTAAATAATGCTTTCGTTTGCAAAGTGATAATGTTTCAGTTATAAATTAGGCCTTTATGATGTTCACAGAGTTAGGCTCCTTTTCTTCTCACTTTCTCAAAGTAAGAATGACCTGTGATACTATTTCTGCATATTTCATTCCCTGAGCATACAAGCTGCTAGCACCAGCCTAGGACCTAGCAAGCAAATAACAAATATGTGTTCATTGATGAATACATAGGGCCCTGTGAAGTATGTTGCCTTCTCGCAAATGGACAAATCAAATGTTCTACAATTTGGATGAAAGTGACAGTCAGGGTTTCTCTATCCTTTAAGTCCCAGATCACATTTTAAGTTTTATAATACTAGTTCCTCCAACCAGAATTACCCCTTTATTCTGTGTTCTCTTTGCTTTACACTACTACTCCTCAACAGCCTGTCTTATAATTGTTACTAGTCTGCATGTGCTGTTGTTTCCCCTAGGCTCTCAAGGGCACAGAGTGTCATATTCACCTTTATATTATCGATTTCACTTAGCCTACTGTCTTAGACTAAGCTAAGTATTTAATAAACATTGGCTTACCTGAACTAAAATCAGTAAATGTTATCATAAATATCCCACTACTTTCCAATTTTCAAATTTCCGAGAAACTCTTGCTTATTTTCTAATACTAATTTTGGTTTGAATTAGGCATAATATCAATATTTATACTTTAAAAATAAAGCTGTGTTTTTCTAAGTACTTAAGTATGTTTATGGTAAATTAGTGAATTTAAGTTATAATTTATGAAAAGCTAAAAGAAAAATTACATTGTTAATTAGACAAAAAATCTTTTTATCTTAAGGTCTCAATCAGTTTAAACCTAGGAAAAGCTTAACTAGTATATCCTATACTAAATAACCTTCTCAAAAAGATGAAATGCTCTACATTTTCTTACCAATAAATCCTGGTAAATTTTCTGGTTATCTGATGGTTGATGAAGCAAGGGTTGCATTACATGCTCAATTTTTGGTTCCTCTGATGTTTCAGAATTGTTACTGGCACCCCCTGTTGGTCCAGTCTGTAAACACATGCTTACACTTTCTGCCAGCTGGCCACTTGGAAAGAACACAGGTACATCAGGTTCTTTTCTCACAACTAGAGAAGAGCTGCTGGGAAGGATATATAATGTGTTAGTCATTGAGGTACCTTTAACATATAATTGAAATGTAGTAACTTTAGAAAAAAGGGTTAAGACTCAAGCAGCACCTGGTTGTATTTTTAGCTCTTAGTGATGATGCTACATAAACACCCCATCTTAGCCAGGTGCAGTGGCTCATGCCTGTAATCTGTGTTTTGGGAGAGCAAGGCAAGAGAAGTTTGAGGTAAGAAGTTCAAGATCAGACTGGGGAATATATCGAGACCCCATCTCCACAAAAAATTTGTTTTAATTAGCTGGGTGTGACACCATGCACCTGTAATCCTAGCTGCTCAGGAGGCTGAGCAAGAGGATCACTTAGCCCAGGAATTCGAGGCTGCAGTGAGCTATGATTGTACCACTGCACTCAGCCTAGGCATCAGAGCAAGACCCTATTTCTATAAGAAACAAAAACGAAAACACCTCGTTTTAACAGGCTGCATATAAACTAAACCATGGTACCTTTTAACTTGTGTTACTTATATTTAAGACAACTTTCTTTGAAGCCTGGAAAACAAGCTGTTGATTTCTCCTGAACTTGATGGCAATGGAAATTTTTAGAGCATTTAAATATTTTAGGTATGTTATTTGTTCATTCCAAGTTTTTTTTTTTTTTTTTTTTTTTTTTGAGACAGAGTCTCACCATGTCACCCAGGCTGGAATGTAGTGGCGTCATCTCGGCTGACTGTAACCTCTGCCTTCTGGGTTCAAGCGATTCTCCTGCCTCAGCCTCCTGAGTAGCTGGGATTACAGGCATGCACCACCATGCTCAGCTAGTTTCTGTATTTTTAGTAGAGATGGGGTTTCACCATGTTGGCCAGGCTGGTCTCGAACTCCTGACCTCAGGTGATCTGCCTGCCTCAGCCTCCCCAAGTGCTGGGATTACAGGCGTGAGCCACTGCACCTGGCCTCAAGGATTTAAAAATATCTGTCTTGGTGTCTAACCTAGGAAGCAAAAACTAAAACTGAAAAAGAACAAACCCAAATCATTAAAGATTACAAGGGTCCTTAATAAAATAACACCAAGAGCTAGATAGCTCCTTTCACCACGTGAGGACACAAGGAAGAGGCATCAACTATGAACCAGGAAATGGGTCCTCACAAAACATTACATCTGCTGGCGCCTCAATCTTGGAGTTTCCAGTCCTCAGAACAATGAGAAACAAATTTCTGTTGTTTATAAGCCAAAATAAATAAATAAATGTCTACACTCTTTAGGGGGAAGAAAAAGGAATAAATAAAAATGTCAAATCTCAACAAAAGATTTAAGATTAAATAAAAAATTTTAAAATGCTTCTAATATGCCAAGTATTATTAGGTATGCCCAAAGCACAGCTTCTAAAGAAAAATATGGATCATTTTAAAAGAAAGTCTCTATAAATACTACATACCACTACTCACTGCTGGGAAAAAGTAATCAATAACCAATGAAGCTGCAAGGCAAATAAATTTATCTTTCACAGACTACTTCAACATCAGAAACACTGGTCCAACAAGACATCTAAGGGGGACTGGAAGCCCTGGAGTTGCGTGTCATCTATGAATACTCAGCAGTGGGAACCAGAGCACGAATCAGACCAAAAGTGCGAGAAGGATCCCAGAGAAGCACCAAAACCATCATAGACAACACTGGAGAAAGTATTTAATCCAAATCAACAACCCAAATCAATGCTGAGCAAAGATTAGATTTACATCTAGTTATGTGTTGGGATCGACAGAGTTAATTAATTGCTCTGAAAAAGCAATTAACTTCATTCTATCAATTAACTCAGATCTGTTTCTAAAGTTAAAAAAAAAAAAAAAAAGCCAAAACAAGGGCATGGTGGCTCACATCTTTAATCCCAGCACTTTGGGAGGCCGAGACAAGCAGATCACTTGAGGTCAGGAGTTCGAGACCAGCCTGGCCAACACGGTGAAACACCGTCTTCACTAAAAATACAAAAATTAGCTGGGTGTGGTGGCGTACACTTGTAATCCCAGCTACTTGAGAGGCTGAGGCAGAAGGATCTCCGGAACCCAGGAGGTGGAGGTTGCAGTGAACCAAGATCACACCACTGCACTCCAGCCTGAGCAACAGAGCAACACTCCATCTCCCAAAAAAAAAAAAAAAAAAAAAAACACAAGATTGGATATTTTTTAAAATTCCAATCTGAAAACCCCCATTATTCTAGAAAGTAGTCTGCAGTTTACAGAGTTAAGGAGAATAAATAAAGATCCCATGGTTTGCTCCTCTTTGTCCTCAGTTTCTATAATTATTCTAAATAAACTGCAGACCTACTTTGGGGCTCACCCCATGGGGAACCAGACACTGGGTCAAACTGTAGTTTTTTTTAATTACTTTTTTTGAAACAGAGTTGGCCGGGCATGGTGACTCACACCTGTAATCCCAGCACTTTGGGAGGCTGAGGCGGGCAGATCATCTGAGGTCAGGAGTTGGAGACCAGCCTGGCCAACATGGAGAAACCCCGTCTCTACTAAAAATACAAAACTTAGCCGGGCATAGTGGCAAGTGCCTGTAATCCTAGCTACTTGGCAGGCTGAGGCAGGAGAACTGCTTGTACCCGGGAGGCGGAGGGTGCAGTGAGCTGAGCTGAGATTGCGCCACTGCACTCCAACCTGGATGACAGAGCAAGACTGTCTCAAAAAAAAAAAAAAAAAAAAAAAGAAACAGTCTCTCTCTGTCACCCAGGCTGGAGTGCAGTGGCGTGATCACAGCTCACTGCAGACTCAACTTCCCAGGCTCCAGCAATCCTCCCACCTTAGCCTCCCGAACAGCTGGGACCAAGGGCTAATTTCTGTAATTTTGGTAGAGACAGGGTTTCGCCATGTTACCCAGGCTGGTCTCAAATACCTTAGCACAAGCAATCGGTTCACTTTGGCCTCCCAAAGTGCTAAGATTACAGGCATGAGCCACCAAGCCCAGCAAATTCTAAAAATATGGAAATTACTATGATCCTTACCC
Organism: Homo sapiens; assembly: GCF_000001405.40. Lineage (NCBI taxonomy): Eukaryota > Metazoa > Chordata > Mammalia > Primates > Hominidae > Homo > Homo sapiens. Next base: position 47,266,105 of record NC_000001.11, read on the forward strand.
TGCAGGAACTCAATCTAACATACACAAAAGAGCTTTTCTGTATACTGTGGCACACACAATGAGTGCTTAATTTTATCATATGATTAAAACATATACTATACTAAAAGGAGATGTTTCTCTGTAGTTTTCTGAAGGGACATGTTTATTGTCTTAACCATTATTGTAATCACAATGATTTAAAATGTCAAATATCACAAGGCTTATTAATTTCTAAAAAGTAATCCACTGCCTGCCCCATGTCACCTTACCAGTTCACCTTTTTTTATTTTTAGAAATGGAGTCTCACTCTGTTATTGAAGCCAGAGTACAATGGCACTTATCATAGATCACTGCAACCTCAAACTTCTGGTCTCAAGCGATCCTCCTGTTTCAGCCTCCTGAGTAGGTGGAACTACTACAGGCACATACCACCACACCCAGCTAAGTTAAAATATTTTTTTATAGAGACAGGGTCTCACTATTTTGCCTAGCCTGGTCTTGAATTTCAAATTAACCTCTTTAAACTGTTTCATGTGCTATTATCCTGGGATGTTTTATACCTACATTTTTCTTTTACCTTCAAAATTTATCCTACACCTGATCCCTTCCACGAATTCCACAAGTCCAAGACATCTTCATCTCACTTGGTCTTTAGTTTATTAATCAGTTAGTATCTTAACTTCCACTCTTAACATCCTTCAGTTCTCCACGAAACAATTAGAATGGTCTTCAAAAAATGAAAATCAGATCATAACACTCCATTATCTAAAATCCTCCACTAGCTTTAATGAGCATGCAATAAATTAAAAAATCTTTTCTATATCCTACAAAGCCCCATATAACTTGGCTCCTGCCTGTATCTCAGACTTCATTTCCTATACTCTCCCTCTCAATCACTATGTCCAGCCACACTGGCTTTCATGCTTTTTTCTGTAACTTTTAAACCCACACTTGCCATTACACTTGCTTTTTCCTCCACTTGGAATACTCATCCCCAGATATTATCATGACTGGCTCCTTCTCATCATTCAGGTCACTACTCAAATGTCACCCCCTCACAGAGATGGTTTCCTTTACCACTCTACTTAATATAACACCTTGTTCCCAGGTTACCATCCCAGTTACACTCCACTTGATCACTCTAGTTTACTTTTTCAGAGCAGTTGTCACTATCTGAAACTATGTTATTTGCTGCTCATGTGGTTAAATTCCATAAAGTTAGGAGCTTTGCCTAACCTAGTATTTGATATTTAGTGTCTAGTTTTGTGGTAGCACGTACCAGAAACTCAAATATTTGCTGAGTTTGTTTCCAAATTTGCTGAGGATATAAATTACTTTAGGCCAGGTGCAGTGGCTCATACCAGTAATCCCAACAATTTGAAAGGCCGAGGCAGGTGGCTAACCTGAGGTCAGGAGTTCAAGACCACCCTGGCTAACATGGCAAAACCCTGTCTCTACTAAAAACACAAAAATTAGCCAGGTGTGGTGGCCCGTGCCTGTAGTCCCAGCTACTTGGGAGGCTGAGGTTGCAGTGAGCCAAGATCACGCCACCGTACTCCAGCCAGGGCGACAGAGCGAGTATCTAAAAAAAAAAAAAAAAAAAAAAATTTACTTTAGAATCCGTTTTTTGTTTTGTTTTGTTTTGAGACTTAGTCTTGCTCTGTCACCCAGGCTGGAATGCAGTGGCGCAATCTCGGCTCACTGCAACCTCCACCTCCCAGGTTCAGGCAATTCTCCTGCCTCAGCCTCCCAAGTACCTGGGACTACATGTGTGCACCACCGTGCCCAGTTACAGGTAAGAGTCACTGAGCCTAGCCTACGATCCTTATTTAATGGAAAATTTCATAATGAAAAATTTCAAACATGAGAGAATTATTTTACAAATCACCATATACAATCAGTTTCAAAAATTACCAAATAGCCAATCTTATTTCATTTATACTCCTAGCCATTTCATTCTCCCACAGAATTAATTTGAAGCAAATCTCAGATAACATTTCATATATAAATATTAAGGTTCTATCACTCAAAAATAGACTCTTTTATATATAATGGCAATACGGAGAATCTTTAGAAATCTCGCCATCTCACAGTGGCTCATGCCTATAATCCCAGCACTTTGGAAGGCTGAGGCAGGCGGATCACCTCAGGTGAGGAGTTCCAGATCAGCCTGGCCAACATGGGAAGCCCCATCTCTACTAAAAATACAAAAATTAGCTGGGCGTGGTGGCGCACGCCTGTAATCCCAGCTGCTTGGGAGGCTGAGGCTCAAGAATGCCTTGAACCTGGGAGGCAGAGGTTGCAGTGAGCCAAGACAGTGCCATTGCACTCCAGCCTGGGTGAAAAAGCGAGACTCTTGTCTCAAAAAATAAATACATAAAATAAAATAGGCTGGGCACAGTGGCTCATGCCTGTAATTCCAGCACTTTAGGAGGTCAAGGTGGGTGGATCACCTGAGGTCAGGAGTTCACGACCAGCCTGGCCAACACGGCGAAACCCCATCTCTAAAAAAAATACAAACAAAATTAGCCCAGCATGGTGGCAGGTGTCTGTAATCCCAGCTACTCAGGAGGCTGAGGCAGGAGAATCACTTGAACCCAGGAGGCAGGGATTGCAGTGAGTCAAGATCGCACCATTGCACTCTAGACTGAGCAACAAGAGAGAAACTCCATCTCATAAATAAATAAATAAATAAATAAATAAATAAATTAAATAAAAGAAATTTCTCCGCCAGGTGTGGTGGCTCACGCCTGTAATCCCAGCACTTTGGGAGGCCGAGGCAGGCAGATCACGAGGTCAGGAGATCGAGGCCATCCTGGCTAACATGGTGAAACCCCATCTCTACTAAAAATACAAACACGGAATTAGCCGGGCATGGTGGCAGGAGCCTGTAGTCCCAGCTACACGGGAGGCAGGAGAATGGCGTGAACCCGGGAGGTGGAGATTGCAGTGAGCCGAGATTGCACCACTGCACTCCAGCCTGGGCAACAGAGCGGGACTCCGTCAAAAAAAAAAAAAAAAAAATTTCTCCATCTGTATCTGGAACCTAATATTATCAGATCCTCTAGGGTGAGGCCTGAGCTTGTGTATTTTTGAAGTTTTCTTCCGATTTCTGATTCATCCAGACTGTTAATATAGCCAAAGACTGACATCTGGAAATGGTTCTAGAAGGCTCAGAGTTGTCAGTTACATAGAAATCATATCAAGTAAAGACATAAAAGAAAATACCAGTTAGAAAATATATCATTTCTGAGTTAGAAGACTTTAAAGAAATTAGAATTAAAAACAAAAAAAAACCTGAACAGAACAGCAACTGTAATGAATAATAATACATTGTATATTTCAAAATTGCTAATAGTAGACTTCAAATGTTTTTACCACAGAAAAAGTTAAGTATGTGAAGTGATAGATTTGTTGGTCTGATTTAATCATTCCATACTGTAAACATGCATCTAAACATTGTGCCCCACAAATATATACAATTATTATTTGTCTATCAAAAAAAATTTTTTTTGAAAGTAGGATGAAAGACTAAATCAAAGAGACCTTACTTGGATACAGAAAGTGGCTGGTTAAATTCTTCTTCCACAGCAATGTTGCTCTCTTCAAAACTGGGAATATCAACTGCTTTTAATGAAGATGCACTACCTGGAAGACTTGTGACTTCATTATTAATATCGACAGAAAAATTCATGTCCTCACTGGAAATTTTGGTATCATCTTGCTTCATTTGAGAGTCAGGCTCTTGATCCTCACCTGCTGCATTCCAAAACAAGCTAGCACCTGGAGGTTAAATAATTTAAGATACTGAAACAAACATTCAACTTTAAAAATAATACTCTGCCAAACCTTTGTTAAGAATAGCCATATTGGCTGGGTGCAATGGCTCACGCCTATAATCCCAACACTTTGAGAGGCAGAGGCGGGAGGATCACTTGAGCTCAGGAGTTCGAGACCAGCCTGGGCAACATGGAGAAATCCTGTCTCTACAAAAAAAATACAAAAAAATTAGCCAGGTGTGGTGGTGTGCCTGTAGTCCCATCTACTCAGGAGGCAGAGGTGTAAGATCACTTGAGCCCAGGAGGTCGATGCTGCAATGAGCTGTGATTGTGCTACTGCATTCCAGCCTGGGCAACTCTGGCTCAAAAAAAAAAAAAAATATATATATATATACACACACACACACACACACACACACACACACACACACAATTACTTAGAACTAAGTTTTTAGATTATATTTCCTCAGAAATGCCAGGAAGAGGTAGGTGGAAGACAGAAAGACAAAACACTAGGGGACGGGTCGGGTGGAAGGGCACATTCTGGGTTCTGCTTTTTCAAGAAGGGTGGCTCTGAAATGATTTGCTTTACATATTAAGATTCTGAATATGATCCGTGGGATGGGGTGTGTATGTTGAAAACTGCTGCTCTGAATAATATGAGATAATATATAAAATACAAATCCCTAGGTTCTCTGGTTTTGACACTTAAATGCAATATTTAAAAGACTACATTGGTGATGCATCAGACATCTGTAATATCTGTAATATCAGGCAGGTATTAAAAAAAATCAAGTGTTTCCCAATCTTTTTTTTTTTTTTTTTTTTTTTTTAAGACAGGGTGTCACTTTGTTGCTCAGGCTGGAGTGCAGTGACACAATCACAGCTCACTGCAGCCTCAACGTCCCTGGGCTCAGGTGATCCTCCCACCTCAGCTTCCCGAGTAGCTGGGACTGCAGGTGTGCGCCACCATATGTGGCTAATTTTTGTATTTTTTTTAAAGATGGGGCTTCATCATTTTGACCAGGCTGGTCTCGAACTCCTAGCATCAGGCAATCCACCTGCCTTGACCTCCCAAAGTGCAAACATTATAGGCATGAGCCACTGCGCCCAGCCAATTTCTCAATCTTTATGAAGCACTTACACCTATCTTCAGAGCTATTTGCATGTAATATTGTTTACTTACTCTTTCTTTAAATTAACTCTTTTTTTACTGAGCCTCATTATTTCTCTAAAATCACAGATTTGATATGCTTATTGTATTTATACCTATGAGTATTGGAAAAGATATATTTACAAAATATAAATATTAATCTGTATAACACCCTAAATCATCTTTTGTACCACGAGCCATAGGCATTCTATAATTTGGGGAATATTGCTAATACATAATGGTTTAAACAGATGGTTAAAACCAAAAAGTAGCCTGGGCACAGTGGCTCATGCCTGTAATACAATCCCAGCCCTTTGGGAGGCTGAGGTGGGTGGATCATGCGGTCAGGAGTTGGAGACCAGCCTGACCAACATAGTGAAACCCCATCTCTACTAAAAATACAAAAATTAGCCAGGTGTGGTGGCAGGCGCTTGTAGTCCCAGCTACTCAGGAAAATCACTTGAACCCAGGAGGCGGAGGTTGCAGTGAGCCGAGACTATGCCATTGCACTCCAGCCTGTGTGACGGAGTGAGACTCCGTCTCAAAAAAAAAAAAAAAAAAAAGTAAATCATAGTCAAAATGGTTTCTACTCTGAGGATATACTTGGGTGATTTTATGAAAATAAATTAATACAAACAAGACTGGCTGGACGCGGTGGCTCACGCCTGTAATCCCAACACTTTGGGAGGCTGAGACAGGAGGATTGCTTGAACCTAGGATGGTGGAGGTTGCAGTGAGCTGAGAGTGCACCACACTGCACTCTAGCTTGGGCAACACAGCGAGACTCCATTTCAAAAAAAAAAACAAAAAACAAAAAAAAAACCAGAATTGGGTCCAGCCTAGAAAAGTAGCAAAATCAAACACTTTATCATGTTATGCAGTTTGCAGGTGTAGTTTTATTTCACAAAGACTAAAATCACACAAAAACTTAAGTCATACTCTCATCACCTTGGTTTTGGTCCTACTGCACCATGCACCAATTTGAACATAAAATTCAAAAACCAGATATGAAAAGCATTTTTAACAATTTCCTTACAAATTAAAAAAAAACTGAAATTACCTGTGCTCACAGCAATGCTTACACCTTTTCTCATGTGCAAGCCAGGGGAAGACTGTGCTTCCACAGAAACCAACTCCATTTGTCTTCCAGCTTGCACTGTGTCTTCAACAGCAGTTGTCTTAGGGGAACAGGGCATCAGAGACTGTGCTTCCAACAAACGCTGAATCTGTATCAATTAAAAACATACTTTAAACTGACAGGGAAGTAATCAACAAAACTGGCAGCAGTTTAATAATGAATTACAAAGCGCCCTAATTATAAGAAACTGACTTTTAAGTCTATTTTCTCAAATTTCAACTAGACCATACCATGAAACTTATTCAATATAGAAAGCCATTATCACTAGTTATTAAGAAGCACTTTAAGTATACTATTTTTTTTTTTTTTTGAGACAAGGTCTTGCTCTGTCACCCAGGCTGTCACCCAGCCGTGGTGCAATCATGGCTTATTGCAGCCTCAACCTCCTGGGCTCAATCGATCCTCCCACCTCAGCCTCCTGGGGTGGCTGGGATGACAGCCATGCACCACCATGCCTGGTTAATTTTCACATGTTTTGTAGAGATGGGGTTTTGCCATGTTGCCCAGGCTGTTCTCAAACTCCTGGGCTCAAGCAATCTGCCCACCTCAGCCTTTAAGTATACATTTAAAAGCAATACATAAAGGTGTTTAGCTTAGTATTCGTAAGTTGATACTCATGTAAAAAAGTGTGAATGGTTAATACTTCAAACTAACATTATATTCCTATTTCACTTATAAATCAAAAGTTAGATTGGAGGTATACTCTGACTCTCTGACTCCATATACCAAATACTGAACATATCACACAAGATTATTATAAAGGTAAATCAGAATTGCCCATGTTTGCCCATGTTGAAATTGGATATATTAATAACAATGGCTAACAGTTACTGAGCGCCTGTTGTTTGCAAGACCCTATTACTATAGGCTTTTATGTATAATTTTTACAGCAATCCTCTGAAGACTATATTACAATTAAACATTTTTTTTACAAGTAAGAAAACCTGCGGCAAGGAAAAAGTTAAGTTACTTGTATAGGACATATAACTAACAAGTAGCAAATCTGAAAGCTGAGGTTCAAACACCAAAAGCCTCCCCTCTTCCATTTTAAATTGAGATATAATTCATGTACCATGAAATTAGCTGCTTTAAAGTGTACAATTCAGTGGTTTTTGGTATACTCACAAAGTGTGCAATAATCACCACTATCTGATTCCAGAACATTTTCATCAAACCCCCAAAACTCTGTACCCATTAGCAGCCACACCCTATTGCCCTTCTCCGGAGCCCCTGACGGTCTAACATGATTTCTATCTCTGAATTTGCCTATTCTGGACATTTCATATAAACAGTACCATACTGTGGCCTTGTATCTGGCTTCTTTCACTTGGCATAATGTTTTGAAGGTTCAACCATGTTGCAGCATTTACTAATACTTTATTGCTTCTGATTGCTGAATAACATTCCCTTGTATGGATATATCACATTGTGCTTTTCCACTCATCAGCTGACAGACATTTAGGTTGTTTTCACTTTGGGCTATTAGGAATAATGCTACTTGGACATTTACATACAGCTTTTTGTGTGGACATATTTTTTTCACTTCTCTTGGGTATGTAACTAGGAGTGGAAGAGCCTCCCTTTGTAAACACTATGATTTTCTGCTTCTCTACAAATGGTACTACTGTGCTCAATATAATTTTAGTGGATTAACCTTATTAATATAGGAAAATAAGTATCATCAATCAATTATTAAGGTCAGTAGAAATATAAACTGCGCTAATAGTATAAAATGGCATGTGTATTTATAGTGGTTTGGAGTACAGCTTTGGTATCATGTGGCTATAAGTTTAAATCCTACCCTGCTACCTTTTGGAAAAGTTACTTAACCACTATGAGCTTCAATATCACCTAAAACTAAGGTTGTTAAAAGAGATAAATAAAACAGTTGTAATTTGTTGCGTACTTCCTCTAGCCAGGTCCCATACTAAGTAAGCACTTTACACACACACACACACTCATTTAATCTTTAAATCTACATATAATACTGATCATTTCTCCCATTTTATAGGTGAGAAAAGTGAAGTGTAGAGAAATCACATAGGAAATGTACAGTAAAAGACATTACACACACTCAGGTCCTAAAATTGATCACTCAGTGTTTTTAAAACATTAATCACTAGAATTCTATAGTGCATTTTAACATTTGAAACAGCTAATATTCTTTCTTTCTCAGAACTTTTCTTTTTTTTCTTTGAGACAGAGCCTCGCTCTGTCGCCCAGGCTGGAGTGCAGTGGCGTATCTCAGCTCACTGCAAGCTCCGCCTCCCGGGTCCACGCCATTCTCCTGCCTCAGCCTCCCGAGTAGCTGGGACTACGCCAGGCTAATTTTTTGTATTTTTTTTAGTAGAGACGGAGTTTCACTATGTTAGCCAGGATGGTCTCGATCTCTTGACCTCGTGATCCACCCACCTCAGCCTCCCAAAGTGCTGGGATTACAGGCGTGAGCCACCACACCCAGCCTCTTTCTCAGAACTTTTAGGGATCATTTGGCAGGACTTCAGTGTTATTTTTTAAAGTTCCTCTCCTCAAGCTGCATCTTCTCCATTAAAAAAAAAAAAGCCATTAAAGTTGGAATATTGAAATATAAAGCTGTGGGTGATTAAATCAAATGGTAACTAGTGGTGGGGGGCAGGCAGATATGTGGAGCAGACTATAGTTCAGAAATAGATGCAAACATATGATACTTTCATTATACAATAAAAAATGCATCTCTTGCTGGGTGCAGTGGCTCACACCTGAAATCCCAGCACTTTGGGAGGCCGAGGCAGGTGGATCACCTGAGGTCAGGAGTTCAAGACCAGCCTAGCCAACATGGTAAAACCCTGTCTCTACTAAAACCACAAAAATTAGCCGGGCATGGTGGCACACGGCTGCAATCCCAGCTACTCAGGTGATAAAGGCAGGAGAATCACTTGCACCTGGAAGGCAGAGGTTGCAGTGAGCTGAGCCAGTGCCCTCCAGCCTGGGTTACAGAGCAAGACTCTGTCTCATCAACAACAACAACAACAACAAAAAGCATCTCTAAATCATTCGTAAAAAGATATGTATTTATTAAATAAATATGTGAGTCCAGTCATCTGATTTAAAAAAAAAAACTTACTTAAATAAAAAAGAAGCAACAAATATAATCCTGAAGGGAGAGGGAGAATTTTTTAAAAAGATTTTTTTTTTGCTGGGCGCGGTGGCTCACTCCTGTAATCCCAGCACTTTGGGAGGCTGAGGCGGGCGGATCACAAGGTCAGGAGATCAAGACCATCCTGGCTAACATGGTAAAACCCCGTCTCTACTAAAAATACAAAAAATTAGCCCGGCTTGGTGGCCAACGCCTGTAGTCCCAGCTACTCAGGAGGCTGAGGCAGGAGAATGGTGTGAACCCGGGAGGCAGAGCTTGCAGTGAGCTGAGATCGCGCCACTGCACTCCAGCCTGGGTGACACAGTGAGACTCCATCTCAATAAATAAATAAATAAATAAGATTTTTTTTTTTTAAGACAGGATCTTACTCTGTCGCCTAGGCCAGAGTACAGTGGCACGGTCTTGGCTCACTGCAGCCTCAGCTTCCTAGGCTGAAGCAATCCTCCTGCTTCAGTCTCCCAAGGAGCTGGGATTACAGGTGCGCAACACTATGGCCAGTTATTTCTTTTTTATTTTTTGTAGAGATGGAGTCTCACTATGTTGCCCTGGCTGGTCTCATATTCCTGGGCTCAAGTGATCCAACCACCTTGGCCTCCCAAAATGCTGGGATTACAGGCATGAGCCAGTGGGCCCAGCCAAGAATAAATTTTTTATAATCTTGAAAGGAAGAAGGCTTTTCTAAACATAAAACCCAGAAAGAGAATGACTCATACTTTTTTTTTTTTCTTTTTGAGACAGAGTCTAGCTCTGTCGCCCAGGCTGGAGTGCAGTGGTGTGATCTTGGCTCACTGCAATTTCCGCCTCTGAGGTTCAAGCGATTCTCATGCCTCAGCCTCCTAAGTAGCGGGATTACAGGCGCCCACTACCACGCCCAGGTAATTTTTGTATTTTTAGTAGAGACGGGATTTCACCATGTTGGCCAGGCTGGTCTCAAACTCCTGACCTCAGGTGATCCAGCCGCCTAGGTCTCCCAAAGTGCTGGGACTACAGGTGTGAGCCACCGCACCTGGTCTACATTATTTAACTGTATCTAAACTGGAATATTCTGTACAAAACAAATGGTTAAAATGCAAAACACTTAAGACTAACTGTAAGAAATACCACACGCATATGCATATACATATACATATATATATATATGAATGATAAAGGACCAATTTCCTTCATATACAATGAGCTCTTATAAATAATAATCAATTACATATGTTAATATAATGTAAATTAAAACAACTTCTAGGCCAGGCATGGTGGCTCACACCTGTAATCCTAGCACTCTGGGAGGCCGAGGCAGGTGGATCACCTGAGGTCAGGAGTTCGAGATCAGCCTGGCCAACATGGTGAAACCCCTGTCTCTACTAAAAATACAAAAATTAACCAGGTGTGGTGGTGGGTGCCTATAATCCCAGCTACTTGGGAAGCTGAGGCAGGAGAATTGCTTCAACCCCGGGGGGCAGATAGAGGTTGCAGTGAGCCCAGATCATGCCATTTCACTCTAGCCTGGGTGAAAGAGTAAAACTCTGCCTAAAAAAAAAAAAAAAAAAAAAAAAAAACCATCTTCTAAGACTGGTAATAATTTAAGTTTGCCTAATGTTGGACATGTAGATGTGGAAAAATGGTTTGGGGATACTAAATTGGTATAATCTGGCATCATTCATCTCATCTAGAAAAATAAATAAATAAATAGATATAGCCTTTCCAGCAGCCATTTTCACTCATTCAAGTAACAAACTATGTATTAAGCAACGATTACACATCAAGTACTATTCAAGGTGCTAAGAAAACAGTGATGAATGTGAGCTCCTTCCCTGGAGCTTTCTATCACAAATAGAACAAAAAAACGTGATTAAGGGCCTGAATGATGAGAAGGAAATAGCCATTAGAAGGGTCCAAGGAGGAATATTTCAGGCAAAGGGAACCAAAAGCTGAAGAACCTAAAGTATAAACATGTTTTGGCATTTTTAAAGTACAAAAAGTTAAAGAAAAAAGCACTACAGCTGAAGTGTAGTGAACACAGAAGACAGTGATAAGAGATGAGTTTGCAGAGAAAGACAAGCCAAGTCATAAAGGGCTTTAAGGGCCAAGGTAAAGCATTTGGATTTTATTCTAATTGCAATGGAAATCCACTGGAGGATTTTAAGCAAGAGTGCTACAATCTGACCTGGGCTTTAAAGATGGTGTGGGGAAAACAAACAAACAACGACGGTATGGTGTTTCCAAGTATAGGAAACATGAGGGGATAGTACTGGATGGAAGTGGTATGTAAGGGTGTCATCAGTGGTTTGAATTAGGTTGGTAGCAGGAAAGATAGTAAAGAGTAGTTAAGTTCAGTATATATCTACAAAGCAGAGCCTGGGTTTGTGACTCCTGAGAATTTTGCCTGAGTGACGAGATGAGAGGTGATACCATTAACTAAGATAATAATAGTGAAATAATAGTAATAGTTAACATATACTGAGCACTAACTATATGTCAGCAATATTCTACACCTTTATCTAGTAACTCATTCAGATCCTTAGAACTCCATACAACTTTGCCATACATGTGAACAACTGAAAAAAAAATTAAAACAAAAAACAAAAGAACTCCATACAACTTATGTATATCCCTATTTTGTATGTGAGAAAACTGAAGTCAATGAGGTAAGGTAACTTGTCCATGATCTTGTAACCTACAGTACCCACAAACTAGATCAGAATCCAAGGAGTCTGGTACCACAGCCCACTCTCTTAACCCTTACACCAAAATGAGATTTGCAATACTAGAACAGGAACAAATTTGGGTATCTTTGAACATTTAAAATGTTTATTCCATTTGGCTTCACAGTTTTACTTCTAGGAATCTATAGTATAGAGATACTTGCACATAGGTAGTAAGATGCAAATATAGGAATGTTCACTGCTGCATTGTTTGCAATAGCAGAAGCTTTAAATGGTTGAAATAATCAATAGGAGAACAATTAGAAAATTTGTTGTCTATCATTATGATAGAAACCCATGCAGGGTAAGGGAGTTCTATATATACTTATATAAAAAATGTATAAGATACTTTTTAAAAAGTGGTACCTAAAAATTTAAGTTCATATATATATAAGGAAAATACTATATGTATTTACACACAGAAGCATTTTTTTGTATATTTCATATTTTCTAAATATAATGATTCAGATAGTCTAGACCACGGCCTGTGATCTATAATATTATATTTTAAGTATACAAATTCCAAGTAACTAAGATTTCTAAATAGTATAATGGGTCCTTTTAGCCTCTAATTAGTCTTCTTTAGAACAAGACAGGAAATAAGTGAGAAATAATTATTTTCAATGTAAAAATATTTAGGTATATTCAAATTTTTGCTAAGTGTTTATAATGTTAAAATCCAATTTATATTTTACATTATGTGGGAGTGGTGACTCACACCTATAATCCCAGCACTCTGGGAGGTCAAAGCAGAAAGATCACTTGAGCTGAGGAGTTCAAGACCAGTCTGGGCAATATAGGAAGACCTTTTCTCTAAAAAAAAAAGTAAAAATTTTAAAAAAAACTATACTTTACAATTTCAAAGAATTTACCTAGGTTTAAAAAAACAGCAGAGCTAAATTTTTCTCAGGTGTTCCTATCCAAAGCGTTTTCACTGATTTGAAAAATGTCATTGTCTTTTTTCTGATAAAATGCAAACACTATAACTCCAATTTTATAAAACAAAGATTTTTTAAAAAATCATATGTATGGCCGGGCGCGGAGGCTCACGCCTGTAATCCCAACACTTTGGGAGGCCGAGGTGGGAGGATCACAAGGTCAGGAGATCGAGACCATCCTGGCTAACATAGTGAAACTCCGTCTCTACTAAAAAAATACAAAAAATTAGCCGGGCATAGTCCCAGCTACTCCGGCGGCTGAGGCAGGAGAATGGCGTGAACCCGGGAGGCGGAGCTTGCAGTGAGCCGAGATCGTGGCACTGCACTCCAGCCTGGGCGACAGAGAAATACTCCGTCTCAAAAAAAAAAAAAAAAAATCATACGTATATATGCACATTACACATATATTTGCATAGTTATAGGATCATGAAAAATATTTAAAACTACATTTCAGGTTGTTCCCATTGGTGCTGGGGAGAAAGAGAGGAACACTGTTTTGGGGTAGGTATGTGGAGGAAGGACGTCAGTGAGGAAAGAAGAAAAAAGACAACACTTACACACTAAACACTGCGCAAGGATATAATTAAGACAAAGAACTCCGTCGAGACTATGCTGGCCAACATGGCGAAACCCCGTCTCTACTAAAAATACAAAAACTAGCCAGGCATGGTGGCGCGTGCCTGTAATCCCAGCTCCTAGCAGGGCTGAGGCAGGAAGATCACTTGAACTTGGGAGGCGGAGGTTGCAGTGAGCCAAGATCATGCCCCTGCACTCCAGCCTGCGCAACAGAAGAGACTCCGTCTCAAAAAAAAAAAAAAAAAACAACAAAAAACTAAGAACTCTGCAACAGAGGTTCTGAAAAAAGGGAACATTTCAGAAAACAAGAAGTAGAATAAGTCCAGTATAGATATGCAGAAAGGCTCTAACTATATAGATAGGCATTATATAGGGCTGACAAACTAGAGATGAAGTATAAGCCACTGTCCAGACTTTATATTTAGCTGTATATAAAGGCTTAGTTAATTATAACAGACTTTTCATTAGAGGCAAAAAATAAAAATACAATTCTATTGTAGGTTAGGATATGCATAAGATGGTTCTACTACTAACTAGCAACGTGGCATTGGGTTAAATTATTCTCTCTAATCCTCATTTTACTTACCTGTAAAACAAGAGGGCCTAGAATTCAGTTTCCAAGGTCCCTCCTAATTCTGACATTCTATACTTCTATAAAACATCATTACTGAGGAGAGGTGCCAGTTTTTAAGAAATCTTAATACCAAGAAATTAATAGAACTAGGAAAGCACCAAGCAAACCTGTGCCTGAAGTAGTCTTAGCTGTCTGTCTTGTTCTGTGAGGAACCGATATGCATCTGGAGATAGTCCCATCATTCCATTATCTGACTCAGTCTTGGGTGTGTGCATGCACACTGTGCAAGGCTGTGGGTTACATAAGTCCATATGTGAAGGCGGTCTTGCCACAGGCGATGGTTCAATATTGCTGTGGGGAGAACAACTGCCCATATCTCCCTGAGGTCTCAAGGCTATAGGACTACTTGAAGAACAGAATGCATTACAGTACAGGGCTGGACATCCACTTGGGTGAAATAATGAATGCTTTTGAAGGGCTTCAGACTGGACATCTTGAATGGATCCAACTGTGTTTGCTCCTTGCCAAGAATTTAGCGGACTATATTGAATATGACTATGATGCTGACAACACCTGCAAACGTTTGTGGAACAGTAAGATGGCAGTGGGGGAGTAGGTATCTGAAGTTCCATTGGTCTTCCTGAATTATGGGGTGAAAAAACAAAATCGTGTGGTTGGGACTGCGGGGCAAGAGAAGACTGCCTAGAATTAAGTGTGGAGGGTCTTATAGGATACTCTTCGTTTTGTACATTTCCAGCAGAAACTGTTTGGAGCTTTTCAAATATATCATGAGATGGCCCATTATGAGAAGATGGTTTAATACTGTTCCTGGTATGGGGGTTCCCTTTCTTATAGGCAGGTGGCTGTCTTACTTTGCAGTGTCTCAAAAGAGCTGGTTTATCCTGGTTTAACTGATTTGGTATTCCTCTCAAGGAAGGCTCTCCAGCTTCAACTTCTGGACTGTGTTTCTCATCATAAAGCTGGGGTTGCAATGGCTTCAAGTGTTCCAAGTGGTTAATCAAAGGAGGATTTTCATTATTCACCATTTCCAATGGAGTAGGCAGAGGGTTTGATTCTATGAAATTGCCATCCAACACAAGTGAAAGTTCAGGAACTGATGGTTGGATCTTAGAAATCTACAAATAAGAAAGAAATAGAAAAAAAAAGTATTTTTTTGGAGAAACTGTATACTTTACTTTCCTCAGACCAGTATTTCCCAAATTATATCTAATTACATATTAACAAGTGTTCATTCTTTATTTAGACCATCAGTTAATTTTTTCTGGGCATGTTTTATGTGCTAAGCACTAGGAATGCAATTGTAAGCTAAATAAACAAGGTCCTTGCCCTAAAAGAATAAAACTAAACACTTCCCAAACTTATTTAATAATGGAACTCTTTTTATTAAAACACTAACACTGCTAAGATCACAGAACACAATATGAGAAACTGTTTTATATAACTTTTTAAATCCTCTCTGCAAAAAATAAAATTGTCACAAGCAGAATGTTTTCACAGATCTAGTAGCAAATGTTTATGTACCTTAAATAGTAAAATCTTCCAATAAATGTTTCAAAATATTTCTCCACTAAGAAGTCACTCACTGTTATTCCTTCTATTGATATCAACTAAGAGGTGGAAAGCAAAAAAGAGTAAACAAAATACTCGCTGTGATGAATTTGGTTATAATTTGATATTAGCTTTAAAAAATCCTTCCCATTCCTTTTTCTTCTAAAATAAGAATTAAACAATTCTAAAATGACCCACAGGTTGGTAGCAATAAAAAAATTATGACAAGAATTTTAGCAATTAACCTCTGAAAGCAAGTATAATGTTTTCTCAGAATATAGTGATAAAAACCAATGTCAAGCTCTAGTGATAGTATATAATGTTGAGTCTATATGGTTATTAAAAGTACCAGATTCTAAAACCAAACCTCCTGAAATAGAATCCCAGCTTTACTACTTACTAGTTGTGTGTCTTGGGTAGGTAACTTAACCAATCTATGTCTCAGTTTACTCTAGGAATAACCATACATGCTTATTACATAGATATTACACATATGTATATATCATTACATATAATATGAATTATTATATATAACTGTGAAATACTTATATCTCTATATATAGATATAACCATAGAGATAGAAATAGCTAGATATATCTAAGAATGATACTTAGGTTTCAGGTAGTATTATTTAGTGTTTTAACCATGAAGAGACTTAGGTCTCTAACCACAAAAGTGAATGCATTTTAAAATCAGTGATACCTTCTGACTCACTGGATGAGGACTAGGAATTGGTCTTGGAGAAAAATCTTCATCTTCAACACCAGAGTCGTGATCATGTATTGGCATCTTCCCAGAAGATAACTTTTGGGAAGACCTAAAGAATAGAAGGGGAGACCAGAAAAGCCTTTGGTAATCCAGTGTTTTCTTTCTTCTAGAAATTGAATAAAGTCCTTTAATAAGTTGCAGTAGTACTCAGATCATTTAATTTAGTATCTGACAACCACAAATTATTTTATTTTTCAGGCCAGTGTTAGTTGACCAGGGAAGCTGGACCAGCCAGCCTTAATAAACTACCCTATTTACCTGATGATAGCAAGTTTAACCTTGTATTGTTAATGTCACAATAAATCAAGTCACTGGGCACCCTCTAGTTGATCACTTCGATAAATATAGAAACAAGTAAGACTTAGTACTTGCTGTCAAAAAATTTATAATCTAGTATTAAAGGTTATTAAACACACTATATTACAAACCCTCTGTATTAAAAAGGAAAACCAAATAAGGAATTATATTTTCCTATGTACTTATATCTATGATGGGAAAATACTTTGAAAAATCAAAGTACTACCCTCCCATTTAGTCAGGAATACTCATTGTATCACAGATGGCATGCCCAGCAAAACAGAAAATTTCTGAGTGCTGGTACCAAGTTTTAAAAGCTGAAATTAGTGTTTAAGACTAAAGATTTGGAATACTATATGCATCAGGCTTTTTTACATCCTACACTAGACAAAGTCTCAATAGGATGCATTAGGGAAAAGAAAAGCCAGAATGAAAGCTAACAGCGCTCAGGATTAATGGGATCCCTAAAAAAGCACCCTGCATTCTGTTTCATGCAAGTTGAATCCTCCCTAGCAGGAAGAACAAAAGAAACTCCAAGGCAGGTTTGAAAATCAAACAGCAGAAGAGACCTTTTGCCCTAAACCCTGATTGTCTGAAGAGGTAGACCTTCACAGAGTTCTTTCTGTACAAGGTATTACAATGAAGCAATCAGAATGTCTGCATGATTATGTTTAAGCAGAAATGGGTCTTCAGTCCCACAAAGCTCTTCTCCAACACCCAAGGCAGCTTGAGATACATAATGATATTCCAAAGCGCTCAGTGCAGCATGGACAGGAAACAAGAGAGCCAGTGGCCTGAACAGGGTCAAAAGTTGCAGCAGGAACTTGCACAAATCTGACAAAGACCAGATGCAAATGAAAACACCTCAGCAGATTGTAGCACAGATGGATGAGAATCACGTCACCCCATATCACCAGTACTGGCATACCATTAGTCCCCTCTACATTACATATAACCCCAGAGAAAAGGGAATAAAGAAACCTTGAATTAGGTGAAATTTGGTGTCTATAATTCAGTAGAACAAATAGGGGCTTAAAATAGATATTAAGTTCAATTACTAACTTTTTTAAGTTACATTCTTTTGTATACCTGAGTTGTGGCATGGAATTAATATCTGTTTTGTACTTAAGATGAATATACACACAAAACCGTTGACACTGAGCAATAAAACCCATTTCTTAGCTTTTTTTTTTGCGGGGGGGTGGGGGGTGGATAGAGTCTCCCTCTGTCGCCCAGGCTGGAGTACAGTAGCATGACTTCAGTTCACAGCAACCTCCGCCTCCAAGGTTCAAGTGATTCTTGAGCCTCAGCGTCCGAGGAGCTCAGACTACAGGCATGTGCCAGCACGCCCAGCTAATTTTTATATTTTTAGTAGACACAGGGTTTCACCATGTTGGTCAGGCTGGTCTTGAACTCCTGACCTCAGGTGATCCACCCACCTCTGCCTCCCGAAGCACTGGGATTACAAGTGTGAGCCACTGTGCCTGGCCTCATTTCTTAGCTTTTTTAGTACCCAAGGGAAAAAAGGAAAAACTTCAGGTTGTATAGTTATAACAACAGTACTTTAGGAGAGACAAACATTTTGATAACATTTAAAATGACTGTTCCTCATTAAAGCTTAGGCCAGAATGGAAAATAAACAAGGTTTTTTAACATCACTTTTTTTGAAGCCGGGTTTCACTCTATTACTTAGGCTAGAGTGCAGTTGGCATAGCATGATCATGGCTCCCCAACTCGACTTCTTGGGCCCAAGTGATCCTCCTACCTCAGCCTTCTGAGTAGCTTTTAATAACAATCTTAAAGAAATTGCTATTGTCTCCTTAGTTTGGCTATTTCTTCCATAAATATTCAATAAAATGTTGAATAAGGTCTTAAAATTTAAGACAGTAAAGATGTTCCTGGCTGGGTGAGGTGACACAAGCCTGTAATCCCAGCACTTTGGGAGGCCAAGGTGGGTGGATCATTTGAGGTCAGGAGTTCGAGGCCAGCCTGGCCAACATGGTGAAACCCCATCTCTACTAAAAATACAAAAATTAGCCGGGCGTGGTGATGCACACCTGTAATCCCAGCTACTTGGGAGGCTGAAGCAGGAGAATTCCTTGAACCTGCGAAGTGGAGGTTGCAGTGAGCTGAGATCACACCACTGTACTCCAGCCTGGGTGACAGAGTGAGACCCTATCTCAAAAAAAAAAAAAGATAAAGACTGACTTCCTGGAGGGAAAAGGAATTCTGCCAGCAGGCTGCCTTTGGACTCAAATTGCAATTCTTCCCTGGGTGTCCAGCCTACCAGCCTACCTGTAGACATTTTTTGTCTTTTTTTTTTTTTTTTTCTTTGAGACAGGGTCTCATTTTATCACCCAGGCTGCAGTGCAGTGCCACGAACATGGCTCACTGAAGCCTTGACCTCCTGGGCAAGTGATCCTCCCACCTCAGCCCTGCAAGTAGCTGGGACTATAGGCATGTGCCACCACAACCAGCTAAATTCTGTACTTCTTTTCTGTTTTTGTAGAGGCAGGGTTTCGCCACATTGCCCAGGCTGGTCTCGAACTCCTGAGCTCAAGCAATCCTCCCGCCTCAGCCTTCCAAAGTACTGGAATTAAAGGGATGAGCCACTGTGCTCAGCCTCTACCTGTAGACTTTGGATTTGCCAAACCTTCACAAACACAGAAGCCAATTCCTTAAAACAAATATCTCTACATACACACATCTTGTTGTTTCTGTTAATCTGGAGAACCCTAATACAAGATAATATCTTTTTTATTTTTTTTGAGATGGAGTCTCACTGTATCACCCAGGATGGAGTGTAGTGGCATGATCTCGGCTCACTACAACCTGTGCCTCTTGGGTTCAAGTGATTCTCTTGCTTCAGCCTCCTGAGTAGCTGGGATTACAGGCATGCACCACCAGGCCCGGCTAATTCTTGTATTTTTAGTAAAGACGGGGTTTCACCACGTTGGCCAGGCTGGTCTCCAAGTCCCGAGACTCAGGTGATCTGCCTGCTTCTGCCTCCCAAAGTGCTGGGATTACAGGCGTGAGCCACCGGGCCTGGCCGAGAATATCTTCTTTACCACAAAAGGTAGAATATGCTGACCCAAGAAGTCACAAGACTTTATTTAATTAATATTCTTCAAGTGTGTTTTAGAAGTTTTAAAACAATTTTTTTTTTTTAGGTAGGAGTTTGTTTTGAGACAGGGTCTTACTCTGTTGCCCAGGCTGAAGTGCAGTGGCGCAATCTCAGCTCACTGCAACCTCTGCCTCCCGGGTTCAAGCGATTCTCCCACTTCAGCGTACCGAGTAGCTGGGATTACAGGCACGCTCCAGTGCGTCCGGCTAATTTTTGTATTTTTAGTTGAGACGGGGTTTCACCATGTTGGCCAGGCTGGTCTCAAACTCCTGACCTCAACTGATCCGCCCGCCTCAGCCTCCCAAAGTGCTAGGATTACAGGCGTGAGCCACTGCACCCAGCAAGAGATGCATTTTTTATTGTATAATGAAAGTATCATATGTTTGCATCTATTTCTGAACTATAGTCTGCTCCACATATCTGCCTGCCCCCCACCACTAGTTACCGTTTGATTTAATCACCCACAGCTTTATATTTCAATATTCCAACTTCAATGGCTTTTTTTTTTAAATGGAGAAGATGCAGCTTGAGGAGAGGAACTTTAAAAAATAACACTGAAGACCTGCCAAATGATCCCTAAAAGTTCTGAGAAAGAGGCCGGGTGTGGTGGCTCACGCCTGTAATCCCAGCACTTTGGGAGGCTGAGGTGGGTGGATCACGAGGTCAAGAGATCGAGACCATCCTGGCTAACATAGTGAAACTCCGTCTCTACTAAAAAAAATACAAAAAATTAGCCTGGCGTAGTCCCAGCTACTCGGGAGGCTGAGGCAGGAGAATGGCGTGGACCCGGGAGGCGGAGCTTGCAGTGAGCTGAGATACGCCACTGCACTCCAGCCTGGGCGACAGAGCGAGGCTCTGTCTCAAAGAAAAAAAAGAAAAGTTCTGAGAAAGAAAGAATATTAGCTGTTTCAAATGTTAAAATGCACTATAGAATTCTAGTGATTAATGTTTTAAAAACACTGGGTGATCAATTTCAGGACCTGAGTGTGTGTAATGTCTTTTACTGTACATTTCCTATGTGATTTCTCTACACTTCACTTTTCTCACCTATAAAATGGGAGAAATGACCAGTATTATATGTAGATTTAAGGATGTTGGCCAGGCTGGTCTCAAACTCCTGACCTCAAGTGATCTGCTCGCCTTGGACTCCCAAAGTGCTGGGATTATAGGCGTGAGCCATCACACTCCAGCTAGTAGTTAATTTTATAGTAGTTTATCTGATAGGTCCAGATTTAAAACTATAAGGAAGGGTTGGGGACGATGGTTCACACACGTGATCCCAGCACTTTGGGAGGCCAAGGCAGAAGGATCACTTGAGGCTAGGAGCTCGAGACCAACCTGGCCAATACAGCGAGACCCCACCTTTAATTTAAATATTAAAATAAGAAACTTATAAGGAAGGGAAGAACAAATAGAAAGCACTAAACAAAACAGGGAGCAGATTCTTGCTAAGCAAGATAATTTTTTGACAAATACTTTTGTATTTTTCCTGTATAATACATCAACCCAAATGAAAACCATATTAGAGTTGCCACTTCATTAAAATTACTATCCAACTTCCTAGTGAATATGAAGGAATGCATTTAAAACAAAGACATTTATGGTACATAAGATTTAAAAAATCATTTCATCAGAAATAATTTAGTTATTTTACTCACCAAAAACTAATAAATATAATTTTTAAAAAAACACACACATAATAACAAAAAGATCTTTTACCTCTTAATTGAAAAATTCTTGGAAGCCTTACTGAAAAACTCTGTTTCTGCATTTTGGCTTTCAGCGCTCAGTTCACAACGGATTGGATTTTTGTCAGGAGGTTCAACATTCTGAAATGAAGTAGGTCATATTTTGAGATCTGACTTAAATAAGAACACCAGAGAATTCTATTTAGATGAAAAGTAGCTCTGAAACACTAGATGATGGAGTGGCAGACTTCTGATTTCTGTAACCCTCTTTTGTAAACTGTCCAGTTCCCTGCTACATAAGTGAAAAAGTTAATCACTTGTGTTATAATCACAGATTCAGTGAATATAACTATGAAATGAGAATACCATCTAAAGAATAAAATGACAAATATGTCTCTAAAACAGAAATATTAGATCTCAGTTAAAATGATAGGTATAAAATACAAAAACTTTATAGCTTACATAACCTATAAAATATAAAATGTATATAATATATAATATAAAGGTATTTTATATATAACATATATGTAATATAATGTATATATTATAATATTAAAATATATATTTATATAAAATATATAGATGTATAACATATACATGATCTCAAAGAAGGTACTAAATACGATCTGAGTGGACACGTGGTTATTTAAAAGTATTCAATATTTTTCTAATAAAGAATGTACTTTTATTAGTCTGAGACCTAAAATAACCAATAATTTTATTGAAAAGTAGCATTTGAATATTTTCATATAATGACACCTAGTTTCAAAGATCTACTTCCTCTTTTTTTTTTTGAGACAGAGTTTCCTTCTTGTTGCCCAGGCTAGAGTGCAGCGGCACGATCTCAGTTCACTGCAACCTCTACCTCCCAGGTTCAAGTGATTCTCCTGCCTCAGTCTCCCAAGTAGCTAGGATTACAGGCACCTGGCACTATGCCTGGCTAATTTTTGTATTTTTAGTAGAGACAGAGTTTCACCATGTTGGCCAGGCTGGTCTCAAACTCCTGACCTCAGGTGATCCGCCCACCTCGGCCTCCCAAAGTGCTGGGATTCGAGGTGTGAGCCGCCACGCCTGGCCTAAAGATCTACTTTTTCTATGATCATCATCTAGTTGTGTTTCTAGGTATTTTATTAGATGATATAGTAACAATCTATTCTGATTCCTTAGATACATAATATAAATAATGGCCTTTAAGTATAAAAAACCATTTCTTATTCCCACACATTTTAAAAATAATACAGTCATGGTCAGGTGCAGTGGCTCACACCTATAATCCCAGCACTTTGGGAGGCTTAGGCAGGTGGATCACCTAAGGTCAGGAGTTCGAGACCAGCATGGCCAACATGGTGAAACTCCCTCTCTAATGAAAATACAAAAAAAAAAAAAAAAAAAAATAGCCAGGTGTGATGGTGGGCTCCTGTAATCCCAGCTATTCTGGAGGTTGAGGCAGGAGAATCACTTGAACCTGGGAGGCAGAGGTTGCAGTGAGCCGAGATCACGCCACTGCACTCCAGCCTGGGCAACTGAGTGAGATTCCATCTCAAAAAAAAAAAAAAAAAAAAAAAAACATCAGGACAAAGAAAAGTACTGAGATCCCACAAAGTTAACCTTCACAAGTATAAAATGATATATGAACAACTGATATATTCTTCAAAGATTTTAGAAAAACATGGGCAAGTTATTCTGTGAGTAACCTCTGGTTCTCTATTGTAATTTGGTTGAAGATATGATCTCAGATTTACTAAAAAAATTTAACCATAAATGAATAAAGTTAATATTTAATAAGATTATTTATAAGTAAACAAAGCATAATAGTTTGGATTACTATTTTAAAGGGTAAAAGCTGTTGGGTTTAAACTGCCAAAGTGCAAAACCCTAAACAGTCACTAATGTACTAGACAATGAAATCACTTACTTTGAAAAGATGTAATGTTTCCTTACTGGTTAGCAACTGAAACCGAAAGTCAGGTATCTTGCCATCACAAGGGAAGCATTCATAAAACTCAGGTTCCTTATGTGTCATAGAATAGAGAACTATGATGAAATTTCCAGATTCTGAAAAAACCCTGCACAAAAAAAGTCATTTAATTAAAATTTAATGAGGATAACATGATGACACTCAAATAACTTCATGTGAGTCTCCCAATCTAGTTAACAAAATGACTAAAAGGTGCAATTTTTGTTCAAAAACTGGGGTCCACCACTTAGGAAGGCAAAAGGTGGGAGGATCGCTTGAGGCCAGGAGTTTGAGACCAGCCTTGTCAACATAGTGAGACCCTTCCTCTCTACAAAACAAAATTTTATTTTATTCAGGAGGCTGAGGCAGGAGAATGGCGTGAACCCGGGAGGCGGAGCTTGTAATGAGCCAAGATCGCGCCACTGCACTCCAGCCTGGGCGACAGAGCAAGACTCCGTCTCCAAAAAAAAAAAAAAAAAAAAGGAATAAGAGAGCAATTCAAAATTAATTTTACTGAGGATTTACTGTCAATATGAACTTAAAGCATGATCAGTAATTGATAATAAAACATAATTGTACTAAATCATAGCAAAGGATCTAAAACTAACATTTAATTTCTGCTATCTAAATATAACTAATTATCTTGAAAAGTTAAAACAAAATGTTAAAAGTAGAACTCCAAAAGCATCTGAAGAAAATACAAGTGATTTTTTTACTTCAGTAAATACACCTGGAGTGGGTGAATCTTTTCTAAACACGATATGAAAAAGATTAATAAATATGACTAAAAAACAGTAAGTCTGTTTGGGAAAAATATTGTTAAACTTAAATGACAATCTGGGGGGAAAACCGTTACTATATATCATCAATATGTGTTTCTCTATGTATTTTACATTATATATATAGAGAGAGAGCTTGCTAGCACAAGCAATATGAAAAGATGCACAGGCCGGGCGCAGTGGCTCACGCCTGTAATCCCAGCACTTCGGGAGGCCGAGGCAGGCGGATCACGAGGCCAGGAGATCGAGACCATCCTGGCTACCACAGTGAAACCCTGTCTACTAAAAATACAAAACATCAGCCAGGCATGGTGGCGGGCACCTGTAGTCCCAGCTACTCGGGAGGCTGAGGCAGGAGAATGGCGTGAACCCGGGAGGTGGAGCTTGCAGTGAGCCGAGATCGCGCCACAGCACTCCAGCCCGGGCAACAGAGCAAGACTCCGTCTCAAAAAAAAAAAAAAAGAAAAGATACACAATCTAAGAGAAAAATGGCTAAAGACATGACTAGGCAGTTCCTGGAAGATGAGGTTATAAATCATTGGAAAAGTTTATTTTTCATCTATCAGGTTAGCAGAGGTCAAAAGTTTAACAACAGCCCTCCACTCACCTCTCTGAGCTCATCTCCAGCTACTCTCCCCTTCCTTCACTCCTCTCTAGCTACAGTGGCCTCTTTGCTGCTCCTTGAAGATGTAACGTGTTGTTTCACCCAGAGCCCTTACACTTAACACATCCTTTGCCTAGGACAGTGCCCCAGACAGCCACAAGGCTTACTTCCTCACCTTAAGTCGGCCTCCCTGACCACCTATTTAAATTGCAACTCTTGGCCGGGTGCAGTGGCTCACGCCTGTAATCGCAGCACTTTGGGAGGCCAAGGCAGGCAGATCACCTGAGGTCAGGAGTTCGAGATCAGCCTGACCAACATGGAGAAACCCTGTCTCTACTGAAAAAATACAAAATTAGCCGGGCATGGTGGCACATGCCTGTAATCCCAGCTACTCAGGAGGCTGAGGCAGGAGAAACGCTTGAACCCAGGAGGTGGAGGTTTCTGTGAGCTGAGATTGAGCCATTGCACTCCAGCCTGGGCGACAGAGCAAGACTCCATCTCAAAAAAAATAAGTAAAATAAAATAAATAAATAAAAATTTAAAAATTAAAAATTAAATAAATAAATAAATAAACGGCAACTCTTTACTTGCCACTATCATTCAGACACACAACATCCTCCTCTCAGGCTTTATTTTTCTCCACAGTACTCATCGCCTTTTAACATACTATTTATTTTATTTATTCTGTTTATTGCCTGTCTCTGCAGGACTATTTTATTTTTTATTTATTTATTTATTTTTTGTTGCCCAGGCTGGAGTGTAGTGGTGCGATCTCAGCTCACTGTAACCTCTGCCTCCTGGGTGCAAGTGATTCTCCTGCCTCAACCTCCCGAGCAGCTGGGATTACCGGCATGCTCTACCACACCGGGCTAATTTTTGCATTTTTAGTAGAGATGGGGTTTCACCATGTTGGCCAAGCTGGTCTCTAATTCCTGGCCTCAAGTGATCCACCCGCCTTGGCCTCCCAAAGTGTTGGGATTACAGATGTGAGCCACCATGCCTGGCCTATTTTATTTTTTTAAGACAGGGTCTGTATTGTTCAGGCTGGAGTACAGTGGCACAATCATGGCTTACTGCAGCCTGAACTCCTGGGCTCAAGCGATCTTCCCATATCAGTCTCCTGCTGGGACTACAGGCATGTGTCATTACACCCAGCTAACTTGTTTTTTGTTTTTTTTTTTTGTTAGAGACAGAGTCTTGCTATGGTACCCAGGCTGGTCTGGAACTCCTGGCCTCAAGCGATCCTCCTGCCTCAGCCTCCCAAAGTCCCAAAGTGCTGGGATTACAGACATAAGACACCATGCCTGGTCTGGGGACCTTTATTTTGTTTACTCTGATCCCCAGTACTGTGAACATAATAGATATAATAGGTGCTCAATAAATAAATAAATAAATATTTCTTTCACAGTGTTAGTGCAGGTAGAGAAAAAGGCACTCTCGTGTACTGCTGGAAAAATTATAAATTGGTGCAGTCTTTTTGAAGGGCAATTTGGCAATATCTACCAAATTTTAAATTACATACTCTTTGGCCTAGAAAAAAACACTTTTAGAAACTTATCCTACAAATATACTAGCATATGCACACAAAGATGTATGCATAAAATGTTCAGTCTACCACTATCTGCAAGACAAAAGGGCCAGTTTTTAAAATACAGTATGTATTATAAACTCTTCAGTTGTAAAATATGTATATTAAATCTGTATATGCCAAGAGGTAATGATCTCCAAGGTATAATTTATACAGAAAAAAGCAACATAAAGAAAAGAAAGGATGCTATGGTTTAATTTTTACAGGCCAGGAAAAGGTGATACTTGTCTATGTTGAGTATTGAAATATTGACTATTTCAGGAAGGAAGCACAAGATATCACTTTACAGTGATTGCCTCTGAGAATGGGGTCTAGGGAAATGGGGAGGAAGAGAGATCTACTTTTATTGTAGATATTTACATATGTCAATTTATTACTATGTGCTTGTACTGCCTTTTCAATATAGTTTAAGTCCTTTACAGCCACCCAAGGTAGATAAAAATAGACCTTCTCATTTAATAGATAAAGAAGGTGAGAGACAAATACTGACAAAGATGTCACCTTCTTTATCTATTAAATGAGTTGAGGTTAAAAGTAAAGTTTCCCTAACTATTAATTCCAATGTTTAGGCTTCAGTTTCAGGAAGAAATTAAAAATCTTGTCTCAAGTATTTCTTTGTGTATTAGTAGTAACACTGTGTAACTTAATAAAACATCTGTAAGGTAACAAATCCAAACTCATTTGCAGTCATTTCACTGAAAGTTAACCTCCTTAATTATTAAATAGGATGCTACAGTAGACAATCTCCACAGTTTTTTTCCACCCCCAAAAGGTTTGTGTTCTGTGGTTAGGCAAGTGAATTCCTTGGTATTTCCAGGTATACTGCAACCTCATCTTTTTTTAATCTGGTTTTATTCTCATTTAATATAAGGTTTGTTTTTTCTTAATGTACGTGTTTATTTATAAGTATTGTAAAAGGTTACGGCATTACATGAATTTTAAATGGGACCATAAACTATGAATGGGGGAAAGGATCGAAATAAAGTACTACAGAATAAAATATCACTTGCCTTTCTTGAACAGAAGAATTGAATATGTATCGCAAACAGCAAGCCCATACCTGAGGACTATAGATATGTGTAATTCCAGACAGCCAACTAAAAGAAAAAGATAGAAATTAAAAACCATAGTCACTTACATATATAGCATAATTTACATTCTTCCTAAGATAACAAAGTAGACGTATGGCTTTTATCAGCCATACATTAAAAAGCCTTAGTAATAAGAAATCTAAAAACGTGCTGATAATTAAAAGGAAGAATATATAGACATTTGTATATATATAACTATATTGATATATATAGACAGACATATAGATATATATCGAGAGAGAGAGAGAGAAAGAGAGCAAGCACGCGTATCTCTGTCCTCTTTTACCTGAGATGTGGGAAAGAAAATGGTTAACAGAGATGAAAGCAGTATACTAGAATGAATTAGCTTGGACTGGAAAGAATGGGCTAAGGTAGTACAGACTAATTTGCAGCCTAAAACTACTTCACAGAGTTGCTGAGGATTAAATGCTGTAATATATACAGGTAGTCAGAAAGAGAGAAGGCTCTTAATATTTACTTAAGCATCAACAATCCATTGCCTATATTAGGACTGTAGCAAACTATAAGTAGATTTCATGGTCCAGAGAACATTCATGCATTCTCATTCACTTTGCATGTGCCATTCCCTTACATGGGTTCCCTTCCCCAACAATCTTCCCTTCTACTATCTAAACAATTGAAAGTCTAGCTCAAGTTTGTCTTCTCTAGGAAAATGCTCCCTATCATATCTTTCTTACAAATACTAAGTGTTCACTTTCCATACTGGTCACTTTATAGTAAATCATATACTTTATTTTTCTGTGTATGAATATTTGAATGTTTTATCACCTCACTTTGATTTTAAATTCTTTAAGAAGCTTTAAACCTCAACACATTATCAAGCATAACACTGTATATAATAAGTACTCAATACTGAATGAATATAAATTTCTAAATATTCTGTCTAAATATCATTAACTCAGATGGCTTGAGCCCAGGAGTTCCAGACCAGCCTGGGCAACATGGCGAAAGCCCGCCTCTACAAAATATACAAAACCTAGCCAGGCGTGATGGCCGGTGCCTGTAGTCCTAGCTATTCAGGAGGCTGAGGTGGGAGGATCACCTGAACCCCAGAGATTGAGGCTGCAGTGAGCCATGATTGTGCCACTGCACTCCAGCCTGTGTGACAAAGTGAGACCCTGTCTCAAAACATGTATACATATATAAAAAAAAGTAAACACATAAATATCATTAATTACTACTCTAAAGAGAAGGCCATTAACACTAAAGGAGATTTCTGCAAGATTGACTGACAGTGGATTTTAAATGGTATTATTATGAGCCCTGAGTTCTTTAGGGTGACTTAAGGATGAGTGGTAGTGAGAGAATACTGAAGAAACAGGGCTCTAAGCCTTCACCTTCAACCAGGAGAATTCAACTTATATTTTTTATTTTTTTTTGAGAAGGAGTTTCACTCTTGTTGCCCAAGCTGGAGTGCAATGGCGCAATCTCAGCTCACTGCAACCTCCACCTCCTGGGCTCAAGTGATTCTCCTGCCTCAGCCTGCCAAGTAGCTGGGATTACAGGCACGCACCACCATGCCTGGCTAATTTTTTGTATTTTTAGTAGAAATGGGGTTTCACCATGTTATCCAGGCTGGCCTTGAACTCCTGACCTCGAACTCCTGACCTCAGGTGATCCGCCCACCTCAGCCTCCAAAAGTGCTGGGATTACAGGCGTGAGCCACTGCGCCTGGCCATAGAATTAAGCTTTTATCTGTTTTATATGTTAGAGTTCTTCCTAATATTGGACAAAATCTGGCTGAGCATGATGGTTCACACCTGTAATCCAAGCACTTTGGGAGGCTGAGGCGGGTAAATCACTTGAGGCCACGGGTTCGAGACGAGCCTGGCCAACATGGTAAAACCCCGTCTCTACTAAAAAAGCAAAAATTAGCCAGGCATGGTGATGCACGCCTGTAATCCCAGCTACTTAGGAGGCTGAAGCACGAGAATCACTTGAACCTGGGGGATGGAGATTGCAGTGAGCCGAGATCTCTCCACTGCACTCCAGTCTGGGCACAGAGCAAGACTCCATCTCAAAAAAAAGATTGGGTAAAATCTTATTTTAGCTGATTCTACTAGTAAAATAAGAAAACCTGACAACCACTTATCTTTGTGGCTTTATAAAATGATCTAAATATTTATAGTACAACTGAGTCACATGCTTATCATATACATTTGAACATTTGGCTGATAAGGTTTTCATAAATAATGTAATACTTACATTCCCACCAATGGTAGAGAATAAACCTTGGGATCAGATTCCAACAAAAGTAACAATTTGCGTGTTTCATCCATGGTAAGATATCTAAACAGAAGACATTCATGTGAAAATAACTGAAATTATGTACTTTTTACCTAAAAGACATAATCTAAATGCTGAAGCATACTTTAGAAAGGGGAGATAATTCAAATGAACGTTGTCTTGCACACACAAAAGAAACAGAAACTTTTTACTGACTCAGTAAAAAGACTCTGGTAAGAGGAAGAGATTAAAGAGATTTAATACCTTAAAACTTCCATCTATCAATTAAAAGACATTGAAGATTATACACCTTTTTTAAAAGTTTTGCTCTATAACTTTACTTACAATTTACTTTAATCAAGAGTGTTAACATTAAGGTAGGCAGTTTCAGAACCAAATAGGTTTCCTTGGAAGAACTGAATTCCCTATCACTAGAAAATGTTCATGCATCCAAGTGATTTGACAAGACTGCAACAGATGTGACTTCTAAGTGAAGGAGACTGAATTAGGAGAAGTATGATCAACCTTCCATGTGCCATATTCCTCCAACCACTGTCAAAGGACTTTGGAACCATCATAAAACACAAAAGCTCACTCTTTCCTAAAAGGACATTATACTATATTTATATTTTATTATATTTATTATTGACAGCAAGTTATAAGAATACAAAAAACCAAAGTAGAATTGTTAATTTTATTGTTATGTCTTTCTTCAAAAACAATGCCATTAGTGGGTCAGGCATGGTGGCTCACGCTTACTGTAATCCCAGCACTTTGGGAGGCCGAGGTGGGCAAATCACTTGAGGTGAGGAGTTCGAGACCAGCATGGCCAACATGGCAAAACCCCATCTCTACTGAATATACAAAAAAAAAAATTAGCCAGGCATTGTGGCACACGCCTGTAATCCCAGCTACTCGGGAGGCTGAGGCAGGAGAATGAATCACTTGAACCCAGGAAGCAGAGGTTGCAGTGAGCCGAGATTGCACCACTGCACTTCAGCCTGGGCAACAGAGTGAGACTCCGTCTCAAAAACAGAAAACAAAAACAATGCCATTAGTGATATAAAGCCTTGGCAGTACCACTGATGATATATTTTATTGCTCTAATAACACTAAAACACAAAGACAATACATTTGTCAGGTCTTGTGACAAGAATATTAAGCCTGAGTTGGCGTAAGATTTACAAATCAACAATGACACAGCTGCTTTAAAAGTTCTCCCTCATGTCTTGCCCATCTGATAAATTTCTACTCCTTAAAAGAATTAGTTCAGGCTGGCTGGGCCCAGTGGCTCATGCCTGTAATTCCAACACTTTGGAAGGCTGAGATGGGTGCATCATGAGGTCAGGAGTTCAAGACAAGCCTGGCCAAGATGGTGAAACCCCATCTCTACTAAAAATACAAAAATTAGCCAGGCATGGTGACGGGCGCCTGTAATCCCAGCTACTTGGGAGGCTGAGGCAGGAGAATCACTTGAACCCAGGAGGTGGAGGTTGCTGCAGTGAGCTGAGATCGTGCCACTGCACTCCAGCCTGGCAACAGAGCAAGACTCCATCTCAAAAAAAAAAAAAGAATTAGTTCAGGCTTTCCATGATTTCCCCAGGCATTTTGGACATCCCTCCCCCTACTTTCCCAGCACTGTATATAAACCTCCATTATAACACATCATGTTTACATGTCAACATATTCAATAGATAGTAAGTATAGTTTTTAATCTATTTATTTCCAATGTCTAACATAATGCCTATGCCATAATGGGCCCTAGTAAATATTAGGGTATATAAAGGGCAAATGTCAAATTTTTTTTTAATGATGGGGTCTCACTACATTGTCCTAGCTGGAGAGCAGTGGCTATTCACAGGCACTATTGTAGCTTACTGCAGCCTTGAAATCCTAAGCTCAAGCCACCCTCCTGCCTCACTCTCCCAAGCAGCTGGGATTACAGGTGTGTGTCAATGTACCTGGCATGGCAAATGTCACCAATTTAATAGACGATTCTAGATAGGAAGTGGCAAGGAGAATAGGTGATTGACAGAATACTGAACATCCTGGTTATTACCAGCATGCCCGCCCAGCAGTCACAGATGGATAATTCCAAGAAAGGTAAATTCATGCTATACAAGTAAATGGGGATGGGTACTAAAGAAAACAAATTAATTTTTTTGTTAATTTAAACAAAAAATCCCATGCTCCACTTGAGAAGTACTTTATTAATTAAGAGGATTAAATGTTTCATTTAATTCAAACAATTTTTGCTCACTTTTGACCACTCCATGATTTTGGAATATACCAATTTTTCCTTTGGGCCACTCCAATCAGAAAGCACAGCTCTGGTCAGAATCTGGTTCTGAAGAGGTATTTTTAGAGAATAAGACTTGGAATTGAGTGTACTTTGGCAAACATTTTTAGATTGAATGGCCTAACAGGAACTAGGGTGGAGTCACTGGGAAAGGAAACCAGAAGTGTAATACTTGGAGCAGTCTCTGGTCAAACTTTAAAGTAGAGTAGTTATATTGTCTAACCTAGTTTTATAAATAATAGATAAAGAAAATAGATGAAGATTCAGGGAAGCAGCCTTGCTGAAGATTAGAAAGCATGCATTTTGGCTTACATTTCCTAAGAAATTAAGAGTGGAGATAGGAAGCTGGAGAGGATTCTACTCCAGCTCTGTGAGGAAACTCCACCCTCAAGTAGTTGGCAATTTGGTAAGCAAGAGTACTGTAACTTTTTATTTAATTATCTCCTTTCTCTATCTGCAATGCTCATTATTCACAGTTAAAACCACATACTATAAATGAATTCTCTAGCCTCCCTTGGGTTCATAATTAGGTTATAGTTAAGAAAAAAAAAAGGCCTAAAACCTAAATAAAATACAAAGAATAATACAGAATATACAATATAGAACACAATTTCCTCTTACATTTTCAAATAATAAATTATCAACCAATTTGTTTTTTTTTGTTTTTTGGTTTTTTTGAGACAGAGTCTCGCTCTGCCGCCCACACTGAAGTGCAATGGTGTGATCTCAGCTCACTGCAACCTCTGCCTCCCAGGTTCAAGCGATTCTCCTGCCTCAACCTCCTGAGTAGCTGGGATTACAGGCACGTGCCACCATGCCCAGCTTTTTTGTTTGTTTGTTATTTTTAGTAGAGATGGAGTTTCACCATGTTGGTGAGGCTAGTCTTGAACTCCTGACCTCGTGATCCACCCGCCTCGGCCTCCAATTTTAATATAATTTTTACCACCACTTTTTTTTTTTTTTTAGAACTGAGGTCTCTGGGGCTGGGCATGGTAGCTCACCCCTGTAATCTCAGCACTTTGGGAGGCTGAGGCAGGAGGATCACCTGAAGTCTGGAGTTGAAGTCCAGCCTGGCCAACATGGTGAAACCTCATCTCTATTAAAAATACAAAAATTAGCCGGTGTAGTGGCATGCACCTGTAATCACAGCTACTCAGGAGGCTGAAGTGGGAGGATCACTTGAACCAGGGAGGTGGAGGTTACAGTGAGCCAAGATCCCACCACTGCACTCCAGTCTGGGTGACAGAACAAGACACCATCTCAAAAAAAGAACTGAGTTATCCAGACATTATACTTTATGGCCACTCAGTTTTGTCTTTTTTTTTTTTTTGAAACGGAGTCTCTGTTGCCCAGGCTAGAGTGCTGTGGTGCGATCTCAGCTCATTGCAACCTCCACCTCCCAGGTTCAAGTGATCCTCCTGCCTCAACCTCCCGAGTAACTGGGACTACAGGCATGCACCACCACGCTCAGCTAATTTTTATATTTTTAGTAGAGATGGGGTTTCACCATGTTGGCCAGACTGATCTGCAACTCCTGACCTCAGGTGATCTGCCCGCCTAGGCCTCCCAAAGTACTGGGATTACAGGTGTGAGCCACTGCGCCAGGCCCTACCACCAATTTTTTGTAGGTGGTGGCACAACTTAAAGAAAATTTCATATTCAACGAAAATAAACCATTTCATTTTTTACTTTCCCTGGTTATTAACCAAGCCACCATATCTCTGGCATATAAATTGACTGGACAATTCTTTCACATTACATGGACATTCTGAAAATATACTAATGCAACTAACATTTAGATTAATGTATCTTTTACTTACCCATATTTATAAGTCCCTTGAACTTGAGAAATATTCAGATTACTGCTCAAGTTTCTTGCCAGAGCTGTTGGAATAATGGGGATGGGCTTCACAGGTGTGCATTTAAAGTTATTTGCTAGAGTTACTGCTGCCCAATGCAAGTCAAATTCCACACTGTCCAAACTCTCCCTGGAAGTGATATGAACTCTTAGGGAAAGCAGCTTACCACAGTCCAAGGAATCTTTGCTACATATATGGCACTGTAGAGCCTGAGAAATCAATATTAAATAATTATTTTAAAACTTTGAAATGTGCCCATATCGCCAAAGTTTATTTTATACTGATACATATACATATATAATATCTTGCACAAATAAAATTAAATGAGTTCTGATTTACAGCATTTCAGTTCTCGTTTATTCCATGTGACCAAAAGATTATGTGAATAATTATATCAAAGCAAGTAAGATTTACTGTCCCAAGCTCCACTACACATTTTCAATGTAGATATCCCAGCAGCACTTCAGTCTTATTGGGGAGTCACCCCCAATAAATATTTACCACATGGGAAAAAATGGACATAAAATAATTTTTTTTTTTTTGAGAAGGAGTCTCGTTCTTTTTGCCCAGGCTGGAGTGCAGTGGTGCGATCTCAGCTCACCACAAACTCCACCTCCCGGTTCAAGCGATTCTCCTGCCTCAACCTCCCAAGTAGCTGGGATTACAGGTGTGTGCCACCACACCCAGCTAATTTTTTATATTTTTAGTAGAGACAAGGTTTCACCATGTTGGCCAGGCTGGTCTTGAACTCCTCCTGATCAGCCCACCTCAGCCTCTCAAAGTGCTGGGATTACAGGCGTAAGCCACCGTGCCTGGCCTCATAAAATAATTCCGATTGAGCCTCAGAGAATCTAAAGTCCATTCCTCTTTGATTCCTTTCTTGTTACCACAAATTGTCAAGTTAGTTCTCCCTCTGTATTTGCCCATGCCCACTGTGTCCTTCCTAGTTTCACTGCTACCATTGTACTATAGGTTAATACATCCCTCTATAATACACACCTGCCCAACTTCTACAATGGCTACTCTAACTTCGGTCAGCCTACCCTATCAGATTAACTATTTCTGATTTGACAGTGTTTTCTTTTTTCAAGAACCTTCAATTTCTACATGGCCCATATGACAAAGTTCAAATTCATCAGGCTGGCAGACAAGGCTCTTCTTTCTTGAGACAGGGTCTTGCTCCCACCAAGGCTGGAGTGCAGTGGTGTGATCACGGCTCAACCTCCCGGGCTCAAGCAATCCACCTGCCTCAGCTTCCCGAAGTGTTGGGATTAAAGACAGGAGCCACCATGCCCAGCCAAGCCTCTCTATAATCTGACCAAATTAATACTCCAGTCTGACTGCCCACAAATTCAGCAAAAATGTATACTCTAAACACTACCCTAAGTACATCTTGAACTTTCTTATCTCGGTTACACTGCTTCTTCTGAAAGGCTACTCATATCGCTTACCTAGAGTTTTTGCCCTCACAAACACATTTAGTTGGATTTTAGGTTCACAATAATTCAACCAAATTATTGTAAATCATTCTCAAATATGGTTTTACTAAAATACAGCATACTAAACATAGTTTGATTCTTGTGTTGAATTAACTATCAAGTTGTCAATGAATCGCACCTTTAAAGCTGAACTGAAGTCATCTACACTGTGAACTATCATTTCTCTTGAACAAAGTTCTTGAGTATGAACTTTGCATGGAATCAAAAAGTCCCCAGGAAGAGAAGCAGTAGGGGTTATTTCTAGGCATTCAGGTACTTCTCGACCAGGATCAAAGCGATCTACTGTCAATGTTACACCTTCTTCATCTGTAGAACAAAAATAACAGCTATTATACAGCATACTAATTAAAAACATAAAATCAACCAAGCAAGACTACATTATAGCAAAGCACTTTGTTCATACCAATAGTACACTAAACTCTTAAATACTAAACTAAACTCTTACAGTAAACTAAACTCTTATAAGCGTATACTAAAGTCTTACTTGCTTATATATATTGATCCATCTGACCAGACAGTGAACTCTGTAATTAATAGTTTTACTCATCTTCATATCCTTGGTACACAGCAAAGAAAATTAGCGCAAAGCAAATACAATAGTTGGCCGAATCAATAAATTCTATTGCAGTCATACAAGTAATTTAAAAAAATGTTTTCTTGTACTGATGGAGTCTTACTATGTTATGCAAGCTGGTCTTAAACTCCTAGGTTCAAGTGATCCTCCCACTCCAGCCTCCCAACGTGCTGGGATTACAGGCGTGAGCACTGGTCCATTTTTAAAAGTGTATTACCTTCGTCTGCTGTCAGAGAACCAAGTAAAAAGCATGACGAATTTTTTTTATTCTGCTTAGCATGACGATAAGCAAGTCGGATGGTCTTCTCAGTCACCACAAGCTTTGGATTTCTGAAAAACAACAAGTCTTTTATGAATATGGTAGACCTCATATCTTAAAAAAACCTCCTGCCATAAAATGCTGTCTAAATTATAACACACATTTTTAAAAATGTACAGAAAGATCATTGTCAGGAAATCCCAGGGTCAAAGGCAGGGGATACGGAGGGCCACTTGGAAACTAGAATGGCAATAAACAGACACTGAAACTATAGTTGTTCTCCAGGCATTTTGTTAACTTTATGAACCTCAGCAGGTAGGTCTCCTGTTTTTGTAAGTAAATTTTGATTGAAACAGTCACATCTGTTTCTTTACATACTGTGTATGGGCTTCAGATATAATCAGCATTACAGTAGTGCCCCCTTATCTCTGGGAGACATGTTCCAGACCCCCAGTGGATGTCTGAAACCACAGATAGTAACAAATCCTATATATACTATGTTTCTTCCTATACATACGTATCTATGATAAAGTTTAATTTATAAATTAGGCACAGTAAATGATTAACAACAATAATTAATAGTAGCATAATTTTAACAGTATACTGTAAAAAAGTTGTGTGAATATGGTCTGTCTCTCAAAATACCTTATTGTATTATACTGTGGGTAACTGAAACCATGGAAAGTGAAACCATGCATAAAGGGGGGAAACTACTGTATTGAATACAAAATATAGTATGATTTAAATGCTTTAAAAAATGTAAAAGGAAAACCAAAATATAAGCCAGGAATAAGATACTACGAAAAAAGACCAGGCAAATTTGAATAAAAAAGCCATACAGAACTTAAAGAAATAAAAAATATAATTTGCAAAAATTCAATAAGTTATATAATTAACTGGGGATAGGTACACAAATGTGTATTGTTATTCTATTAACTATGCATATATACTATAAGTATCCTCTCATATATATGGTACACCGCCACGTTTTAAAAAACCTAAATGAGGGCCAGGCGTGGTGGCACATGCCTGTAATCCCAGCACTTTGGGAGGATGAGGCAGGTGGATCACCTGAGGTCAGGAGTTCGTGACCAGCCTGACTAACATGGTGAAACCCCATCTCTACCAAATACAAAAAAATTAGCCAGGCGTGGTGGCACATGTCTGTAATTCGAGCTACTTGGGAGGCTGAGACAGGAGAATCGCTTGTACATGGGAGGCGGAGGTTGCAGTGAGCCAACATCACGCCACTGCACTCCAGCCTGGACAACAACAGCAAAACTCCTCTCAAAAAAAACAACCAAACTTAAATGAATAGGTTAGATGGCAGCTAAGCACAGCTAAAGAGAAAATAAGCAGACTTGAAAAACAAAGGAAACTACTCAAAATGTACAGAAAGACAACAATAAAAAAAATAAAAACAGGACTAACCATTATTTAGTTGAACTTCCATAAGACTCTCCCTATTTTTGTCAATGGTACCACCCTTCTCTGCCAACTAGTGTTGAACCCGAATACTTTCTTTCTTGTATCTTTCCTTCAGTTCCTCTATTCAGTCAATCATCAAATACTACAAATTATTTATTCAAAACACCTTGTTTCATTCTTTCCTCTTGATCTGAATACTGCTACATTGCTCTAAGTCCTTATAATGTATAATAGATGCCATTTATGAAATACTTTCTATTCCAGGCACTGTGACAATTGCTTTACAGAGTCTTATTTAACCCCTACAAGAGAACTGTGAAACTGGTATTATTATAGTCATTTTATAAATAAGGAAACTGATCCTTGGCTACTTTACTGAGGTTGCATAAATAAGTACTAGAATCAGGATTTGATTCCCTAGGCAGTCTGCTCCAATTATTGCACCGTTTTTTTTTCCTTATTTTGTTTTTTTTTTTACTTTTTATTTTAATTTTTTATTGAGACAAGGTCTCACTTTGTTGCCCAGGCTGGTTTCAAACTCCTGACTTCAAGCAATCCTCCTGCCTCAACCTCCCAAAGTGCTGGGGTTACAGGTGTGAGCCACTGCACCCAGCCCAGTTATAGCACCTTAAACCATTACAATATACACCTGTGTGATTACAGAAAAGCATCTTGAAGCTAGGCTGACTCAAGGCTCTCCCCGCCATAATCTATCCTTCTTAGAATACTACTTTTAACAAGTAACTCTTATGTACAAAACCTCAATAGATCTATTTTCTATTACTTTACACCTAAACTTTCTTGTCTGTCAAGGTCCTAGATGTAACTACAAGATTTTATATTCCTTCTAATCTGATCCACTCAAAAATTGGTTCAAGCTTCTCAACGTTCCACAAAGACACCATGCTGACATAATAAAAAACACTTTCAGTTTTTACTATATTTCACCTCTTTTGAATTCCTACAATATGCAGAATTTGCAGAAAACTGGGAAGATAAGATTATCTCTCAAAAGTACAAGGAACAGATGTTAAGAAGCAGAAGGAAAATTTTGCCTGAGGGGAGATTCTAAAAGAAAAGTAAAGAAAAATGAATAATTGGTCATAGTAATCAACTTTGCCTTATACATCTTTGTATTACTCTTGTTTATACTGGCTTGATTTGAAAAAAAGAAACATGTTATACCTGTAGTAACTGAGATGTAAGTAGATGAAATCTCCAGTTGGCGTTGGGTTCCAAAGTGCACATTTTGATGGAGGAAAGTGGAAAGGTACCATCCTGCTTGAAGGAAACCTTTTGAAAAAACAATGTAAAATTAAAGCACAAGGAATAGCAAACTTGGTAGACATTTGGTAGGAAACAACTAACTATCTTTAAGGTGATGGTATTTTCAGACTACTTTTGTAATTTTCAAAGAGTTTATATATATATATTTTTTTTGAGACAAAGTCTCACTCCATCACCCAGGCTGGAGTGCAGTGGCGTGATCTCAGCTCACTGCAACCTCTGCCTCCTGGGTTCAAGCAATTCCCCTGCCTGAGCTTCCTGAGTAGCTGAGATTACAGGAGTGCACCACCACACCCGGCTACTTTTTGTATTTTTAGTAGAGACGGGGTTTCGCCATGTGGGCAAGCTGGTCTCGAACTCCTGACCTCAAGTCATCCACCTGCCTCGGCCTCCCAAAGTGCTAGGATTACAGGCATTAGCCACTGTGCCTGGCCAAAAAATACTTTTTTATTTTTTGAGACGGATTCTCACTCTGTCGCCCAGGCTGGAGTACTGTGGTGCAATCTCAGCTTACTGCAACCTCCGCCTTCCAGGTTGAAGCGATTCTCCAGCCTTAGCCTCCCAAGTAGCTGGGACTACAGGCACATACCACCATGCCTGGCTAATTTTTTGTATTTTTAGTAGAGACAGGGTTTCACTGTTAATCAGGATGGTCCTGATCTGCTGACCTCATGATCAGCCTGCCTCAGCCTCCCAAAGTGCTGGGATTACAGGCGTGAGCCACCACGCCTGGCCTTTTTTTTTTTTTTTTTTTTTTTTTCAGACGGAGTCTTACCCTGTTGCCCAGGCTGGAGTGCAATGGCGTGATCTCAGCTCACTGCAACCTCCGCCTCTGGGTTCAAGTGATCCTCCCACCTCAGCCTCCCGAGTAGCTAGGATTACAGGCGCCTGCCACCACACGCAGGTAATTTTTTGTATCTTTAGTAGAGACGGGGTTTCACCATGTTGGCCAAGCTGGTCTCAAACTCCTGACGTCATGATCTACCCGCCTCAGCCTCCCAAAGTGCTGGGATTACAGGCGTAAGCCACCGCGCCCGGCCCAAAAAATATTTTTTAAAAAAGAAAATTCACTTGTAACTCTACTACCAGGAGAATAGGCACTCAAAATTTGGCTTATTTGTCCTTTTTTATCTATGCATATGTAAATTTATGTATACACAAGCTTTTAAAAAAAGAACAAGACAATCCTACAAAATCCCTTTTAAGTAACAGAAAAATGAGTATAAATCATACATTTACATTTAAATTTAAACTAAAATCTTTCTTTTCTTTCCTTTTTTTTTTTTTTTTTTAAAGAGCAGGGCCTTGCTCTGTTGCCCAAGCTGGAATGCAGGGGCTCAATCATACCTCACTGCAGCCTTAAACTCCTGGGCTCAAGGGAGCCTCTCAAGCAGCTAAGACCACAAATGTGCACCACCACGTGAGATTTACTTTTGTAATTTTTGTAGACACAGGGTCCTGCTATGTTTCCCAGGCTGGTCTTGAACTCATGGTTTTAAGCAATCTTCCCACCTTGGCCTCCCAAAGCACTGGGATTATAGGCATGAGCCATGGCTCCTGGCCTAAAATCTGTCTTTCTGAACTGATTTCCAGATAATTGTTAGATAATACCCAACAGTTATGAAAAGCAAAAAAACTTAATAAATTCTTAATTATTTTCCAGTGTTTCCAAATTTGGTATTCTGGAATACCAAAATACAGCACAAGTTTAATTATTGAAGCGTCAAAAGGACATAATTATAAATAATTCCTCAACAAAGATGCCAGGGGCAGTGTAAAGCAAGGTTGTGATATTAAATCATATAGGGTACCATCAAAAACTTTTCATTTTACATGAGTGTATAACACGAGAAAACCACAATAAGAAAAAGACCACTAATGGGGCCAGGCCTGGTGGCTCACACCTATGTCAGCACTTTGGGAGGCCAAGGCAGGTGGATCACTTGAGGCCTGCAGTTCGAGACCAGCCTGGCCAACATGGTGAAACCCCATCTCCACTAGAAATACAAAATTAGCCAGGTGTGGTGCCACGCGCCTCTGGTCCCAGCTAGTTCAGAGGCTGAGGCACGAGAATCACTTGAACCCAGGGGGAAGAGGTTTCAGTGAGCCAAGATCACGCCACCCCACTACAGCTTGGGTGACAAGAGCAAAACTCCATCTCAAAAAACAAAAAACAAAAAATTAGCTGGACATGGTGGCACACGCCTGTAATCCCAGTTACTCAGGAGGCTGAGGCATGAGAATTGCTTGAATCAGTTGAGGTTGCAGTGAGCTGAGACCGCACCACTGCACTCCAGCCTGAGTGACAGAGTGAGACTCTGTCTTGTTGCGGGAAGTCAGGGACCCCAAATGGAGGGACCGGCCGAAGCCATGACTGAAGGACGTGGATTGTGAAGATTTTATGGACATTTATTAGTTCCCCAAATTAATACTTTTGTAATTTCTTATGCCTGTCTTTACTGCAATCTCTAAACATAAATTGTAAAGATTTCATGGACACTTATCACTTCCCCAATCAATACCCTTGTGATTTCCTATGCCTGTCTTTGCTTTAATCTCTTAATCCTGTCAGCCGAGAAGGATGTATATCGTCTCAGGACCCTGTAATAATTGCGTTAACTACACAAATTGTACAGCATGTGTGTTTGAGCAATATGAAATGTGGGCACCTGAAAAAAGAACAGGATAACAGCAATTGTTCAGGGAATAAGAGAGATAACCTTAAACTCTGACCGCCGGTGAGCCAGGCAGAACAGAGCCATATTTCTCTTCTTTCAAAAGCAAATGGGAGAAATATCACTGAATTCTTTTTCTCAGCATGGAATGTCCCTGAGAAAGAAAATGCGCACCTAGGGGTAGGTCTCTGAACTGGCCCCCCCGGGGCGTACCTGTCTCTTATGGTCGAGATTGCAGAGGTGAAATAAACTCCAGTCTCCCATAGCGCTCCCAGGCTTATTAGGAAGAGGAAATTCCCACCTAATAAATTGTAGTCAGACCGGTTGATCTGAAAACCCTGTCTCCTGATAAGATGTTATCAATGACAGTGGTGCCCAAAACCTCATTAGCAATTTTAATTTCGCCTCAGTCCTGTGGTCCTGTGATCTCGCCCTGCCTCCACTTGCCTTGTGATATTCTATTACCCTGTTAAGTACTTGATGTCTGTCACCCACACCTATTC
Organism: Homo sapiens; assembly: GCF_000001405.40. Taxonomy (NCBI): domain Eukaryota; kingdom Metazoa; phylum Chordata; class Mammalia; order Primates; family Hominidae; genus Homo; species Homo sapiens. The sequence continues at coordinate 47,308,169 of NC_000001.11, forward strand.
GCACACTCCCTCCCCTTTTGAAACTCCCTAATAAAAACTTGCTGGTTTTTGTGGCTTGTGGGGCATCACGAATCCTACCAACGTGTGATGTCTCCCCCGGAAGCCCAGCTTTAAAATTTCTCTCTTTTGTACTCTGTCCTTTTATTTCTCAAGGCAGCGGACGCTTAGGAAAACAGAAAAGAACCTACGTGATTATCGGGGCAGGTCCCCCGATACTGTCTCAAAAAACAAAAAAAAAGAAAAAAGAAAAAGAAAATGGAAAAAAAAAAGAATAAATTCCTGTCATTTGCAACAACATGGTTAGAACTGGAGATCACCATGTTAAGTGAAATAAGCCAGGAGCAGAAATACAAACTTCACGTTTTCGCTTATTTGTGGGATCTAAAAATCAAAACAATGGAACTCATGGACACAGAGAGTAGAAGGATGGTTACCAGAGGCTGGGAAGAGTAGTAGGGGTTGGGTGAGAGGTAGACACAGTTAATGGGTTTAAAAAAAAAAAACCAGAAAGAATGATTAAGACCTATTATTTGATAGCACAGCAGGGTGACTATAGTCAATAACAACTTAAAAGTAATAAATAATAACATTTAAAAATAATTAGGCTGGGCACAGTGGCTCACACCTATAATCCTAGCACTTTGGGAGGCTGAGGTGGGCAGATCACTTGAGGTCAGGATTTCAAGACCAGCCTGGCCAACATGGTGAAACCCCGTCTCTACTAAAAATACAAGTTAGCTGGGCATGGTGGCGCACGCCTGTAATCCCAGCTACTCGAGTGGCTGAGACACGAGAATCACTTGAACCCAGGAAGCAAAGATTGCAGTGAGCCGAGATGGCGCCACTGCCCTCCAGCATAAGTGACAAAGTGAGACTCTGTCTCCAAAAAAAAAAAAAAATAATAATAATTAAAAGTGTACAGTTGGATTGTCTCTAACACAAAAGATAAATGCTTAAGGGGATGGATACCCTATTTCCCATATGTGATTATTACACATTGCATGCCTTATAAAAATATGTCATATACCCCATAAATACATACACCATGTACCCACAAAAATTTAAATTTTTTTAATTAAAAACAGAATACACTGAACTTGTTACACAACTGTACCCTTCTAAGAATAGAAGACAAAATTTTTCTGTCAACATGGGGTTTCCCCATGTTGCCCAGGCTGATTTTGAACTCCTGAGCTCAAGCGATCTGCCCACCTCAGCCTCCCAAAGTGCTAGGATTACAGGCATAAGCCACCTTGCCCACCGACAAATTTTCAAATAAGAGATGGCAGGGGGGTAGAACACAAGGGCCAAAATTAAAGCAAAAGGAATACGATAGCCTCCTTGGGTCATGTTTCCCACTATCTTCATCAAGAACATCTGGCACAAAGAAAGACATTACAGAGAATAAAGGCGACCCATGAATGCAATTCTGGTTTGGAAGAAAAAAAAATTCACATGTCAGCATTAACTGTCGTTCCCTAGGGGAAAAAAGAGCAATAAATGATCCAAAGAGCCAAATAATACAAGCTGATTTGCCCAGTCCCCATAGTAACAGACTGAGAAAAATGGAAGACAGGTGGCAAGCTCCTACTTCACTTGACAAAGGCTTAGGAACATCTGAGGAAACTTGGTATACCTAATGTGAAATTATTCCCATCAAGGAATCAGTATTTGTAAGAGGGAAGGAACCCAACCAATTTCCCACTTGTCTAGAAAGTAAACAAACACCGATATAATTTTTAGCCTCCTAAGTTCAGGTACTATTTCCCATCAATAAAGATCTATATTACGAAAATAATTGAAGGAGGGACGGAACTAGTATTTACTGAGTGCCTATTACATACTAGACCCTTTAGTTTAGTAATCTTATTCAACCCCACACAATAATCTTCTGTGAGACAGAGATTACCATCCTCATTTTACAGATGAAGAACTGAGGCTTAGTTAATTAACTTGATCACGGTCACCCACCTAACAAGTGGTAGAGCTAGGATATGAACCCAGAATTTCCTGATTCTAAAGATTATATTCTTTTTTCTCTTCCAACCTACCTTCCCAAGTTATGTGAAAAGCTGTAAGACAAATATTTGTAAATATACTTCTATACCTGGTATTCATCTGGGGCCGTGCAAAAGGATATATAGGCTCCATGATGTCTGGTGAATGATTTCTTTAATTCCAAATCCTCAGTATCCTAAAGAATTAAAGAGAATATTACTAATGAATGATAAAAACAAAGAAGAAAAATATGATTTAACCACATATTAAAATTACAGGCAAAATTAGATTACTTATATGAAGTGTGACTATAGATTAATAAGATTAAATGCTTGTAGATTCTGCCAATCATTTTCATACGTTAGAGTCATTCTGCCAATAAATTACTGTTAATATTTATTCTAGGCAGCAAAATCTACCAATATATCTATCCCTTAAGGAAAGCTCGGATTCTGCCCCAAAACCTTTGTATCAACTTAGTGAGCTCGGTAAGGCAGGTAGTATCAAATGTATGAGATTTTGACCAAAAACCTTACAACCCTCATAAAACCATGAAGCAGCAGAAAAAAATGATTTGGGCTAGATATTTATTTGGGGCCTATAATGAAGTCATTAAAGAATCTTCATTGGAAAAAAAACAGTACTGCATGCATTCCCACAAACTGACTTGTGTCAGTGAAAAATCAGTGTTCTTTTTTTTTGAGATGGAGTCTTGTTCTGTTGCTAGGCTGGAGTGCAGCAGTGCGATCTCAGCTCACTGCACCTCCGCCTCCTGGGTTCAAGCGATTCTCCTGCCTCAGCCTCCTGAGTAGCTGAGACTGCAGGTGCGCACCACCATGCCCAGCTAATTTTTGTATTTTTAGTAGAGACGGGGTTTCACCATGTTGGCCAGGATGGTCTCAATCTCTTGACCTCGTGATCCGCCCACCTTGGCCTCCCAAAGTGCTAGGATTACAGGTGTGAGCCACCATGCCCAGCCCAGTATTCTTTTTTAACTCCACATGCTCTCTCTGGGTACTATCCTCCACTCCCATTGCTTCTACACCTACTTATCTATAGCAAACCTTTAGCTCCACCTCTCTTCTGAGTTTCAAATCCATTTTCTTTTCTTTTTTTCTTTTTTTTTTTTTTTTGAAACAGGGTCTCACTCTGTAGCCCAGGCTGAAGTAGTACAGTGGTGCAATCTCAGCTCACTGCAACCTCCACCACCTGAGCTCAGGTGATCCTCCCACCTCAGCCTCCTGAATAGCTGGGACCACAGGCATTCACCACTGCACCCGGCTAATTTTTTTGGATTTTTTGTAGAGATGGGGTTTCATCACGTTGCCCAGGCTGGTCTCGAACTCTTGGATTAAAGCAATCCATCAGCCTTTGCCTCAAAAAGTGCTGGGATTACAGGCATGAGCCACCATGCCCAGATGTTTCAAATCCATATTTCTAACTGCCCACTGGACAGTTCCATCTAAGTATTATTGAAGCTAAACACAGACCTCGTAGTCCTTTCTTTAGAGTTCAGTATGTCCTATATTCTTTCAAGCCTTAGAGTTCCTTAGGTCCTGCACATTCTGTATCAATTCTAGGAAAAAGAAACTGTCTAAGGCCAGGTGTGGGAGCTCATTCCTGTAATCCCACCACTTTGGGAGGCCGAGGTGGGTGGATCACCTGAGGTGAGGAGTTCGAGACCAGCCGGGTCAACATGGTGAAACCCCGTCTCTACTAAAAATACAAAAATTAGCTGGGCATGGTGGTGCACACCTGTAATCCCAGCTAGTCAGGAGGCTGGGACAGGAGAATCACTTGAACCTGGGAGGGGAGGTTGCAGTGAGCTGATATCATCCCACTGCACTCCAGCCTGGGCAAGAGAATGAGCCTCTGTCTCACTCTGTGTGAAGCAAGATAAAGGAGAAAAGGATTATTAATCCAGATGCAGAGATTATTTAGAAGAGACTTTTTAGATAAAGTCAGAGGCTGAAAATCCTATTGAAAATGCTCTTATACCTTGTTCAAGACAGAGAAAAACGTGCTTCTAATAAAATTGACTAGGCCGGACACGGTAGCTCACGCCTGTAATCCCAGCACTTTGGGAGGCCGAGGTGGGTGGATCACGAGGTCAGGAGATCGAGACCATCCTGGCTAACACGATGAAACCCCGTCTCTACTAAAAATACAAAAAATTAGTGGGGTGTGGTGGCGGGCACCTGTAGTGAACCCGGGAGGCGGAGCTTGCAGCGAGTGGAGATTTCGTCACTGCCCTCCAGCCTGGGCAACAGAGCGAGACTCCGTCTCAAAAAAAAAAAAAGGTGACTAAACAGTCCTTCTTAGAAATATCTGGACTTAAAAGGTTTAATGCAGCTTCCACAGAATGCAGGCTTTAAATCCTAAAACCCTTCCTTAGTACTTGGTTGTCATGGATAACAGTATTCACATGGATAACTGTAACTCTACAAAGTATAAAAAGTGCCAATTTTTTCTTCATTAAACAGAAGTGTCTTAAAATGCGCTATTTGTGTTTTATTCCTTTATTCATTTGGGTGAAAAGATGGATAATGTTGATTTCTTATTTTAAAACAATATACATAAGGTACTTTCATTCTGTCAGTGTTGTACAAGCCACTAAAGGTAATAAAACTAAAACCACACAACATCTACACCTAGCAAAACATATTCTCAGGTAAAGTCATTATCGTGTACAATAGAAACGTTCAAATCATCCTCACCCCTTCTTCCATATAAATTATCTTTCCATACCCACCACCTTAGTTGCTAACTTCATCAACTCACCAGACTTATGGAAAAGTCCCCATAATGCTGCTAGAAGAGTGTTTCCATATAAATCTGATCAAATTATTCTCCTGCTTTAAAAGTCAATGGCTCATGTCAGGGGCGGTGGCTCACGCTTGTAATCCCAGCATTTTGGGAGGCCGAGGCGGGTGGATCACCTGAAGTCAGGATTTCCAGACCAGCCCGACCAACATGGTGAAACCCCGTCTCTACTAAAAATACAAAAATCAGCCGAGCGTGGTGGCGTTTGCCTGTAATCCCAGCTACTAGGGAGGCTGAGGCAGGAGAATCGCTTGAACCCGGGGGACGGAGGTTGCAGTGAGCCGAGATCACTCCACTTCACTCCAGCCTGGGCCAAAGAGTGAAACTGCGTCTCAAAAATAAACATAAAAATAAATTTTTTTTAAAAAGCCGATGGCTCTTCTTTACATACAGAATAAAGGATCTTCACAATCCAGCCCCACTCTATTATTCCAACCTTAACCCCCCCATCCACTCATCCTACATTCCAGTCAAACTGAACTACTTGCAGTGCCCCGGTTTCAATATCTGCACAGGATGCCTCCCTTAACTTGGAATGCCCTAGTAAACCCCCGCCATCCCTCACAATCCAACTCGAATGTCACTTCCTCTGTGAAACCTTCTCCCAGACACCGTGGCGATGGTACTATACTGTCTGTACTCACACGCATAGCATTCTCGCACTTTGCTGTTTACACTTTACTTCCAGTAGTCCATGAACTTCAAACATTAACTGATCCCTTACTACGTAGCAGAGTGTGAGCCAGAAATTGTGAGGAATGCAAGAGCGAGCATTCAAGGTTTCAGTCCTCAAGAAATTCCCACCGTAAAAACAACTTTAAATGGCACGTTATCGACTGCAAACCTCTTTCACATACCTTAGCTCAGATGATACCCAAGGATTTCATGGACTGCTTAATTTCTCCCACTAGCTCCCCTTCTCGTCATCTGCTCCAGGCTCCTGGAGGGCGGAACCCACTACAGGGCTTTGAATGTTACCCACCAACCTTCCCAGGGCCCCGCTGCCGCCTCTCAAGGGGAAACCAGGAGCACAAAGCTCCACTTACCGCAACTTCCGCGGAGCTGAGGTCTGTTTGCAGGGTAGGAGCGGGAGCCGGCTCCAAGGAGCGCCACCGCCGACTCCGGCCCCGCCTCTGGGACGTTGGGGTCGCGGGAACTGAGGCGGCAAACACAAGCTCGCGAAACTGAAGGCCGCGCCACGCCTGCTGACTGGTCAGAAACCTCGCCAGTCAGGGAGCGGGGGTGGTGCTAGAGAGCCGCGCACGGTCGCCGTTACGTATTGGTGTGCCGACCAATCAGCGCCCCGCACTGGTTCCGCGCTCGACCAATCCCAAGTCTTCTTGGAGAACTGCGGGCGCCACCGGCGCTCCAGGATCAAGGATCCGAGGATTTAAACCTTTCATTTCGTCAACGGTTAAGTTCCGGGGCGGGGTAGGCTTTCCGCAAGCGCAATGGAAAGCCCAGCTAGGTAGACGGAGGAGCGAGTGGCAGATGAAGCCGGAAGTGCTCTATAAGATGATCATTGGTCGGCGACTGGAAGCGGACACCCGAAGAACAGTTTCCAAACTCTTTACCTGAAAGCACAAAAGACAAGAAAGTTAGAGTTATTCCAGTTTCTTACTTTTTAATTTTTATTCTAAAATGTACATTTTTAATTTTTCCTTTTTGTGATCACTTATCCTCAACTTCTAGATTTCTTCCAGTTTCTTTCCTAGGAAGCCATCTGTTTTAGTGACATAATTTTTTTTTTTTTTGAGGTGGAATCTCACTCCGTCGCCCAAGCTGGAGTGCGATGACGCGATATCGGCTCACCGCAACCTCGCCTCCCGAGTTCAAGCGATTCTCCTGTCTCAGCTTCCCAATTAGCTGGTATTACAGGCGTCCACCACCCACCACCACGCCCGGCTAATTTTTTTTTTTTTTGAAACGGAGTCTCGCTCTGTCGCCCAGGCTGGAGTGCAGTGGCGCGATCTCGGCTCACTGCAAGCTCCGCCTCCTGGGTTCATGCCAGTCTCCTGCCTCAGCCTCCCGAGTAGCTGGAACTACAGGCGCCCACCACGCCCGGCTAATTTTTTGTATTTTTAGTAGAGACGGGGTTTCACCGTGTTAGCCAGGATGGTCTCGATCTCCTGACCTCGTGATCCGTCCACCTCGGCCTCCCAAAGTGCTGGGATTACAGGCGTGAGCCACTGCGCCCGGCCTAATTTTTGTATTTTTTAGTAGAGACGGGGTTTCACCACGTTGGCTAGGCTGGTCTCGAACTCTTGACCTCAGGTGATCTACCCGCCTCGGCCTCCCAAAGTGCTGGGATTACAGGCGTGAGCCACCACTCTGGGCCAAAATTTGTATTTATTAATTGATTGATTGATTGATTGATTGAGACAGGGTCTTGCTCTGTCGCCCAGGCTGGAGTGCTGTGACGCTATCTCGGCTCACTGCAACTCACTGCACACTGCCTTCCAGGTTCAAGCAATTCTCCTGCCTCAGCCTCCGGAGTAGCTGGGGTTACAGACAAGCACCACCACGGCCGGCTAGTTTTTGTATTTTTAGTAGAGACCAGGTTTCACCATGTTGGGCACTGGGCTGATCTGGAACTCCTGACCTCAAGTGATCTGCCCACCTCGGCCTCCGAAACTGCTGGGATTACAGAAGTGAGCCACCGCCCCCAGCAAAGTAACATAAAAATTTTAAATTCCTGTTGAGTAGAAGAAAAGAATGTGACTTAAATTTATAAACCATATATGCCTATCTCTACAACTAGCATTGATATTATATATAGTATTGATATTTTATGTATTTATATACAGTCAGCCCTCTATCAGTGGGTTCCATATTCACAGATTCAGCCAACCGCAAATGGAAATATTCGGAGGGGAAAAAAACAAAATAACAACAATAAAAATAATACAAATCCAGTCTGGGCAACATGGCAAAACCCCATCTCTACAAAAAATACAAAAAAATTGCCAGGCATGGTGTCATGTGCCTGTAGTCCTACTACTTGGGAGGCTGAGGTGGGAGGACGGCTTGAGCCGGGGAGGCAGAGGTTGCAGTGAACTGAGATTGTGCCATTGCACTCCAGACTGGGTGACAGATCAAGACCCTGCCTCAAAAATAATAATACAAATAAGACACACATGTTGGGTGCGGTAGCTCCTGCCTGTAATCCCAACACTTTGCAAGGCCGAGATGGGAGGATCGCTTGAGGCCAAGAGTTCAAGACCAGCCTGGGCAATATAGCAGCACCCTGTCTCTACAGAAAATTTAAGAATTAGTGGGGTGTGGTAGTACAGGCCTGTAGCCCTAGCTACTGGGAAGGCTTAGGTGGGAGGATTGCTTGAGCCCAGGAGTTTGAGGCTGCAGTGAGCTATGATTGTACCACTGCACTCCAGCCTGGATGACAGAGCAAGACCCTATCTCTCAAATAATTTAATTTAAAACTATAACCAATTTGACCGGGTATGGTGGCTCATGACTGTAATCCCAGCACTTTGGGAGGCCGAGGCGGGTGGATCACCTGAGGTCAGGAATTCAAGACCAGCCTGACCAACATGGAGAAACCCCGTCTCTACTAAAAATACAAAATTAGCCAGGTGTGGTGGCACATGCCTGTAATCCCAGCTACTAGGGAGACTGAGGCAGGAGAATCGCTTGAACCCGGGAGGTGTAGGTTGCGGTGAGCCCCGAGATCACGCTATTGCACTCCAACATGGGTGACAAGAGTGAAACTCCATCTCAAAAAAAAAAACAAAAACCTATAACTACTTTTTACATAGCATGTACACTGTATTAGGTATTATACAATGTGTTAGGTATTATACAATTAGTTATTATGAGTAGTCTAGAGATGATTTTTTTTTTTTTGAGACAGGGTCTCACTCTGTCACCACAGACTCAACTTCTGGCTGAAGTGATCCTCCACTTCAGCCTCCCTAGAAACTGAGACTACAGGCATATGCCACCATCCCCAATTAATTTTTGTTTTAAGATGATTTAAAGTATAAGGATGACTGTACATTGGTTATATGCAAATACTATGCCATTTTATATAAAAGACTTGAGTATCTGTGGGCCAAATTTGGTATCCCTGGGGTTCCTGGAACCAATCCCCCATGGATACAGAGGGAAGACTGTTTATATGGTATTAATATTCCTTTGATAATTTGTAATTATTTCCACAGCTAATGTGGTAATAGTGCTTTCTCCACCAGTATCTGATATTATTCTCCTAAAAGCCAAAGTAGAGAAGTGTTATCCCTATTTAACAAGAGATGAAATGTGTTAAGATCCCACAGCTAGTTAGTGCAGAGACAGGATTTGAAATGTCACTTATTTTCCTCAACACTCCACTTTTGTTAGTTTCCTGAGCAATATGGAAATATCTTAAAGTCCGAGCTGTATTTGTAGGCTGCTCTGGTCAGAATAAGCAGCTACCCTTTTAAGAGAGTGAAAACACTATTCTGAAAAATGTATCAAACTAGCAAAGAAATATGTGCTCTAAGACCAGGTGTGGTGGCTCACGCCTGTAATCCCAGCACTTTGGGAGGCTGAAGTGGGTGGATCACCTGAGGTCAGGAGTTCAAGAACAGCCTGACCAACATGGTGAAACACCATCTCTACTAAAAATACAAAAATTAGCTGGGCGTAGTGGTGGACGCCTGTAATCCCGACTACTAGGGAGGCTGAGGCAGGAGAATCACTTGAATTTGGGAGGCAGAGGTTGCAGTGAGCTGAAATCACAACACTGCACTCCAGCCTGGGCAACAGAGTGAGACTACATCTCCAGAAAAAACAAAAAAGAAAGAAAGATGTGCTCTGTAGAGCATCATTCTCTGCTTTCCTGAAAAAATTCTTGGCATCTAGGGTACAAATTTTAAGGGGAATGATGGTCAGTTCCTGAGCTCTAGTGTGAGAACAGGAAGGGCCTCAGACAGCCATGCATGTCTGACAAACTGTTGGCCAGCCCAATAAGGAGCTCCAGAGCAAAGATTGCCCATTACAGGAGTCCCACATTAGGCAGAAATGGCTAGGCCCTAGAATTCTTGCTGTGCCTAGTCATTGCCTGAGGCTTCCAAGAAAGAACAAGCACCAAAGCTAAGGCAGATTCCAAAGGAGGCTGTCAGGCAACTGCAGTCTTTGCAGCTGACTGGAAAGTTCTTTCTGGAAAGAGATCTAAGTCATTGAGATCACTGACACATCTCAATGACGGCCATTGGTTACATGAAGTGCAAAGGCCCTGAGTTACATGGGAAGCCTTTGGAAAATTTTTTTTTTTTTGAAACAGAGTCTCACTCTGGTGCCGGGCCTGAAGTACAGTGGTGTGATCTCAGCTCACTGCAACCTACGACTCCTGGGTTCAAGTGATGAACCCTGCCTCAGCCTCCGAGTAGCTGGGATTACAGGCACCCGCCATTACGTCCAGCTCATTTTTTGTATTTTTAGTAGAGACAGGGTTTCACCATGTTGGCCAGGCTGGTTTCGAACTTCTGACCTCGTGATTCATCTGCCTCAGTCTCCCAAAGTGTTGGGATTACAGGCGTGAGCCACCACCCCCAGCCTGGAAGATTTTATATACAGGACTGACATAATCTGATTTTAGGTTTTTGTTTGTTTTGTTTTGTTTTGTTTTTTGAGATGGAGTCTCGCTCTGTTGCCCAGGCTGGAGTGCAGTGGCGCCATCTAGGCTCACTGCAACCTCCGCCTCCCAGATTCAAGCATTTCTTGTGCCTCAGGCTCCCGAGCAGCTGGGAATACAGGCCCCTGCCATCACGCCCAGCTAATTTTTGTATTTTTGGTAGGGACGGATTTTCACCATATAGGCCCTGCTGGTCTCAAACTCCTGATCTCAGGCAACCCTCCCTCCTCGGCCTCCCAAAGTGCTAGGATTACAGGCGTGAGCCACTGCGCCTGGGTGAGGCTATGATTTTAGGTTTTAAAAGGACCATTGATTGCTATATTGAGAATAGACTGTTTGGGGCAAGGGCAGAGATGCAAGGGGACCAGTTAAAAAACTGCTGCAATAACTTAGAAGAGAGATTGATGGTAGCTTGGACCAGAATGGTAGCAATGGAGGTGGTGAGAGGTTATTGTATTCTGGATATATTTTGAAGGAATAATCAATACTATTTGATTCCAGATTGAATTTAGCATGTAAAAGAAAGGAACGCTGTGTCAGCTTCTCATGATTTATGATTTTCTTTAAAACTACTTTGATATTAGAAAGAGAAATGTAGTATGAGTTAGATAAAAAGGAAGGGGTGAGCCTAACACATAACCCCCCACTCCTTAGGTGTGGGCTGCACATAATGACATTTCTTCTAAGTGTATAGTATTGGGTTGGGGGAGAAAGGCAGAGGGAGGAAAGTGACTTTACAATGGGAAAACCTGACAAACACTACTTCAGGTGGGTCATCAAGCCAACCTCAATAGTTATGCTGATAGTAGGTACACTTCTGTTTCCTTTTTTTGTTTTTTAGAGACAGTGCCTTGCTGTTGCCCAGGCTGGAGTGCAGTGGCACAATCATAGCTCACTGCAACCTCAACCTCCTGGTCTCAAATGATCCTCCTACCTCAGCCTCCAAGTAGCTGAGACGACAGGAGGGTGCCACCATGCCCAACTTTCTTTTTTTCCTTCAGTAGCAAGTATTCTGTCTATATTGTCCAGTCTGGTATTGAACTCCTAGCCTCAAGTACTGGGCCTCCAAAGTGCTCGGATTCCCAAAGTGCTGGGATTGCAGGCGTGAGCCACAGCACCCAGACTACTATGCACACTTGATATGATGTGATTAAAATGGCACTTTAGGCTGGGCACGGTGGCTCATGCATGTAATCCCAGCACTTTGGGAGGCCGAGGCAGGCGGATCACCTGAGGTCGGGAGTTTGAGATCAGCCGGACCAACATGGAGAAACCCCGTCTCTACTAAAAATACAAAAAATTAGCCAGGCGTGGTGGCACATGCCTATAATTCCAGCTACTCGGGAGGCTGAGGCAGGAGAATTGCTTGAACCCGGGAGACGGAGGTTGTGGTGAGTCGAGATCATGCCATTGCACTCCAGCCTGGGCAACAAGAGCGAAACTCCGTCTCAAAAAAAAAAAAAAAGGCACTTTAGGCCAGAGGCGGTGACTCACGCCTGTAATCCCAGCACCTGGGGAGGCTGAGGTAGGTGGATTACTTGAGGTCAGGAGTTCGAGACCAGCCTGGCTAACGAGGAAACCCTGTCTCTACCAAAAAATATAAAAATTAGCCGGGTGTGGTGGCATGCGCCTGTAGTCCCAGCTACTCAGGAGGCTGAGGTGGAAGAATCGGTTGAACCCGGGAGGCAGATGTTGCAGTGAGGTGAGATCATACCACTGCACTCCAGCCTGGGCGACAGAGTGAGATTCCGTCACAAGAAAAAAGCAAGGGGCACTTTATCTCTGTGGTCTTCCTCCCATTAACCTATAACCTTGTATTATTCTGAGAAAGACAGACAAATTCCAATAGTGAGGAATCCTGTAAAATGCCTGACCTGTACTCCTCAAAACTGTTAAACTCATCAAAAACAAGGAAATCCTGAGAAACTGCCAGAGTCAAGAGAAGCTTAAAGAGATATGATAACTAAATGTAATGTGATACCGTGGATGGGATCACGGACCGAAAAAAACCTCATTAGGTAAAAACTAAGAAAGTCTAAATATAGACTTTAGTTAATTATAATGTACCAATATTTGTTCATTAACTGTAACAAATGTACCTACCATACTAATATAAGATGTTAATAATATGAAAAACTGGGTGTAGGGTATGGAACTTCTGTACCATGTTCTCAATTTTTCTATAAATATAAAACTTCTAAAAAAAATAAAGTATTGTCTGGTACACTCGCTTGCGCCTGCAGTCCCAACACTTTGGGAGGCTGAGGTGGGTGGATTGCCTGAGCCCAGAAGATCAAGGCCAGCCTGGGAAACATAGTGAGACCCCATCTCTATTCATTATAAAATATAATTTTTAAAAACAAACAAAAATCCTTCCAGTAAGAGACAATAGCCAAAAAAAAAGTGTTTTAGAGGCAAATTTTTTTTTTGAAACGGAATCTTGCTCTGTTGCCCAGGCTGAAGTGCAGTGGCTGGACCTCAGCTCACTGCAACCTCCACTTCCTAGGTTCAAGCAATTCTCCCTGCCTCAGCCTCCCAAGTAGCTGGGATTACAGGTGCCTGCCACCACACCTGGCTAATTTTTGTATTTTCAGTAGAGACGGGGTTTCAGGATGTTGGCCAGGCTGGTCTTGAACTCCTGACCTCAGGTGATCCGCCCACCTCGGCCTCCCAAAGTGCTGGGATTACAGGTGTGAGCCACCGTGCCTGACTGAGGCAAATTCTTAGGATTAAAAAAATTAAAGAGTCTATTACAAAGAAAAAAGGAAAGTACAAGGTGAGAGCTGAGGCATGTGCTAATCTTTAGAACAACTAAAATAGCATGTCTTCCTTTTTGCTTAGTAATAACTCAAATACCAATGAGAGTTCAATTAAACATTTTATTAACACTGGACTTTTTTTTTATGGAGTCTCGCTCTGTCTCCCAGGCTGGAATGCAGTGGCATGATCTCGGTTCAAGCAATTCTCCCTGCCTCAGCCTCCCAAGTAGCTGGGATTATAGGCAACCGACACCACTCCCAGCTAATTTTTGAATTTTTAGTAGAGACAGGGTTTCACCATTTTGGCCAGGCTGGTCTCGAACTTCTGACCTTGTGATCCGCCTGCTTCGGCCTCCCAAAGTGCTGGGATTACAGGCGTGAGCCACCATGCCTGGCCTACCACTGGACTTCTAAGCAGGATATACACTTAACACTATGCATAAATACTTTTTGACTGAAATGAAAAGTAATTATTGACTTCATTTTAGGATAGGAATGATTCAGCATTATATTTAGGAGAGCTTGGAAGTGACTAAAGAGCTTATTTCCCCAGATGTTTTCTTTTTTTTTTTGAATTATAATGCAATAATCAATAGCTTTGGGGATCTGACCCCAATTCTGCCATTTAATTTCTCTGAGATTGATTTTCCTCATTTGCATATTGTACATTATCATAAAAAAGAGTTAATGCATAATGAGTGTGAAAGTTAAAGGGGCCACCCATATATTATTATTAGTCTAGGTGTACTGGCAGTTGACATTATTAATAAATGAGCAACACATTGCCCTGTGTTCAAAGAGATTAAGGGAACTGATTTGTTAAATTAGAAAGAGAATAAGGGCTGGGCGCAGTGACTCACATCTGTAATTCCAGCACTTTGGGAGGCCAAGGTGCACATATCACCTGAGGTCAGGAGTTTGAGACCAGGCTGACCAACATGGTGAAACCCTGTCTCCACTAAATATACAAAAAAATTAGCCAGGCATGGTGGCAGACGCCTGTACTCCCAGCTATTCGGGAGGCTGAGGCAGGAGAATCTCTTGAACCCGGGAGGGGAGGTTGCAGTGAGCCGAGATCGCGCCACTGCAGTCCAGCCTGGGTGACAGAGCGAGACTCCGTCTCAAAAAAAAAAAAAAAAAAAAATTAGCCAGGCGTGGTGGCGCACGCCTGTAGTCCCAGCTACTCGGGAGGCTGAGGCAAAAGAATCGCTTGAACCTGGGAGGCCAAGGTTGCAGTAAGCCGAGATTGCGCCACTGCACTCCAGCCTGGCGACAGAGCGAGACTCCATCTCAAACAAAAAGAAAGAGAATTAAGTTTAATGGAATAAAATCTACAAATGCTATACCAAGGACCTACTATACACTAAGCTTTAGTGCTAGCTGGTATGGGGAGTTGAAAGGACATGATAAGCATAGAACAGGGAAGGCACAATTTTATAGGCTGTGTAATAAGAGGTAATTACCCAAAGCAAATATGAATAATTGTTAGATGACAGGCCAGTTTAAATAGACTGAAGAGATACCATGCTAGTCTTTGATCTCTGTTTATATATATTTATGTGTCATTTCTTTTTTTTTCTCTTTTTTTTTTTTTTTTTTGAGATGGAGTCTTGCTCTGTCACCCAGGCTGGAATGCAATGGCGCCACCTCGGCTCACTGCAACGTTCGCCTCCCGGGTTCAAGCAATTCTCCTGCCTCAGCCTCCTGAGTAACTGGAATTACAGGCACCCACCACCATGCCCAGTTAATTTTTGTATTTTCAGTAGAGACGGGGTTTCACCATGTTGGTCAGGCTGGTCTCAAACTCCTGACCTCAGGTGACCCACCCACCTCGGCCTCCCGAAGTGCTGGGATTACAGGCGTGAGCCACACCGCACCTGGCCATTCATGTGTCATTTCAAGACACTGTGGAATTGCTATTACTTTTGGCCCTTACAGAGAAAAGCTACTGGTTTTATTTTTTAAATTTCCAAGTTCTTTAGTTTGCTTCACAGATAACCATTTCCAGTTTGTCATTTTTTTAAAAGTATGAATTTGTTGCATAAACAATGTTATAACAAGAAAAAAATTGTAAAAGGAAAAATTCATCCAGAATTCTATATTCTAACTGCTGTAGACTGAATATTTGTGTTCCCCACAAAATTCATATGTTGAAGTCCTAACCTCTAATATGATAGTAAGTAGCTGGAGCCTTTGGGAGGTGATTAGGTCATGATGGCAGAGCCTTCATGAATGGGATTAGTACCTTATAAAAGAAACCTCCAGAGAGCTCCCTTGCTCCTTTCTGCCCTGTGAAGTCACACGGAGAAAATGGCTGTTTATGAACCAAGATAGCAGGCCCTCACTAGATACCAAATCTGCCAGCTCCTTGATCTCTAACTTCCTATCTTTGAGAGCTGTGAAAAATAAATTTCTGCTGTTTATAAGCTACCTGTTTATGGTATTCTGTTATAGCAACCCAAAGACATCAATTGTTTTTCCTTATTCCTTTTCAGTCCCTGTCCACATGACATGGTCTTTATGATTAGACTAAGTAAATGTTCAGTGCTATAAACCCTGATGGTGCCTGCTAACAGACTGGCTATGGGGATTAAAGAGCTATTGTTATCACCAGGAACAGGGAAGTTGGAATCTGTTATTTCTCCTCTTCCTGGTTCTGTTACTTATTACTGTACTAAGTTTCTCCAAACACCCAACTTTCCCTTTCTCAATTTACACTTCTAAGCTAAATTGTACTACTGATTTTTAAAAACAACTACAGCTTTGCTTTTAAGACACATATTTTTATTTTATTTATGTCTTTTTTTTTAAAAAAAAAGATGGGGTCTCTCTCTGTCACCCAGGTGGGAGTGCAGTGGCACGATCTCAGCTCACTGCAGCTTCAACTTCCTGGGCTCAAGTGATCCTCCCACTTCAGCCCCCTCTCCGTCCCAAGTAGCTGGGACTACAGGCGTGCACCACCACACCAGGCTAATTTTTGTATTTTTTTGTAGAGATGGGGTTTCACCATGTTGCCCAAGGTGGTCTCAAACTCCTGAGCTCAGGAGATCTACCTGCCTTGGCCTCCCAAGGAGTGCTGGGATTACAGGCGTGAGCCACTGCACCCGGCCTTAAGAAACATATTTTTAAAGAAGATTGCTAATCTGTCAATTTATGCCAAATTCCTTTTAGACACTTAAAAATCTTAGAAGAGGCAACAATTACAATTTATGTCTCAAGTCATGTTGACTTATTTTACTTATTTTTTAAAGTTTGGATTATTTGGAATGAATACAATGATCAAATATCACATACTGGTAAATTCTCTAAAAGTATTTGCTAAACTGAGCTAATGTACCATCATCCTGATTTTGCAGACAAAGAAATTGCAGGTATAACCAACCTACCTAAGCTTGTAAAGTTAGCAAAGATGC
Organism: Homo sapiens; assembly: GCF_000001405.40. Lineage (NCBI taxonomy): Eukaryota > Metazoa > Chordata > Mammalia > Primates > Hominidae > Homo > Homo sapiens. The sequence continues at coordinate 47,324,797 of NC_000001.11, forward strand.
TGTAAATTCAGCTAAAGACAGTCAGTCTCCCTTCACTGGTCTGCCTGCAGTTCTGCAGTATGAAGCTAAGCTCAGCTGACAAAGTCACTCCCAGGAGAGCAGTCATATTGTCTGCTGCCAGATTTGTCACATCACATTTTTTTTTTTTTGAGATGGGCTGGGCGTGGTGGCTCAGAGATGGAGTCTCACTTTGTCACCCAGGCTAGAGTGCAGTGGCATGATCTCATCTCACTGCAACCTCCACCTCCCGGGTTCAAGCGATTCTCCTGCCTCAGCCTCCCAAGTGGCTGAGATTACAGGTGTGTACCACCACTGCCAGTTAATGTTTGTATTTTTAGTAGAGATGGGGTTTCACCATGTTGGCCAGGCTGGTCTCGAACTCCTGACCTCAGGTGATCCACCCACCTCGGCCTCCCAAAGTGATGTGATGTGGGCCAGACGTGGTGGCTCACACCTGTAATCCCAGCACTGGGAGGCCGAGGTGGGCGGATCACCTGAAGTCAGGAGTTTGGGACCAGCCTGGCCAACATGGTAAAACCCCATCTCTACTAAAACACAAAAAATTAGCTGGGTGTGGTGGTGTGACCTGTAGCCCCAGCTACTGGGGAGGCTGAGGCAGGAGAATTGTTTGAACCCGGGAGACGGAGGTTACAGTGAGCCGAGATTGTGCCATTGTATTCCAGCCTAGGTGACAGAGCGAGACTGTGTCTCCAAAAAAAAAAAAAAAATACTATGTTTCCCTGAACTAATGTTCAGAATCTTTGAGAACAGGTCCTTTGATAAAGCCTCACAACAATAACCAAGCAAATCTGAGTAGCAGGGACCTTCATTTTAGAAACTCTATTAAGTATCAGGTTATGCAATGTACTAAGCATCACTCCAGGAAATAGATTACAATATAATAGACAGCTATGAAGGCCTGAAGACAAAGCATGCACCTGCTTGCTTAAGAGAGTGAATCATGTAACAATAACACACGGTCATGCTCTTAGTTCAATGCTGTACAAAGAGTAATCAGACAGAGTCCCTTCCTTCATAGAGCTCTAAATCTAGTGTGGAGATACCCATAACAACATAGGCCTACAACAGAAATAACAAGGGACGTGATGGGGGAGGGTAGAAGCACAAAAGAGGTACACCTAACCCAGTCTTGGGAGGTTGTTTTTTTTTTTTTTTTTTTTGAGACGGAGTTTCGCTCTTGTTGCCCAGGCTGGAGTGCAACGGCGTGTGCCTGTAATCTCAGCTACTTAGGAAGCTGAGGCAGGAGAATTGCTTGAACCCAGGGGGCGGAGGTTGCAGTGAGCCGAGATCGTGCCACTATACTCCAGTCTGGGCGACAGAGCCAGATTCTGTCTCAATCAATCAATTTTTCAAAAGAGATGGGGTCTCACCATCTTGCCCAGGCTTGTCTTGAACACCTGAGCTCAAGTGATCCTCCTGCCTTGGCCTCCTAAAGTACTGGGATTACAGACATGAGCCACCATGCCCAACTTTTTTTCTTTTCTTTTTTTTTTTGAGACAAGGTCTCACTCTGTCATCCACGCTGGAGTGGCATGATCACTGCTCACTGCAGCCTCAACCTCCCGGGCTCAAGCAATCCTCCTGCCTCAGCTTCCTGAGTAGCTGGGATCACATCTGTCTAATTTTTCTAATTTTTTCTAAAGACAGGGTCTCACTAGATTGCCCAGGCTCAAGCTGAATTCTGAAACATGAATATAACATAGGCAGCAAAGGGGAGTAGTCAAGTCTGGGAAAATGAAAGTATGGGAACAGATATCTATCTCTAAGAGGCAATTATGATAAATAGGATTGATGAATGGTGACAAAGCTTATTTCCTAATCCCCTACAAAGGGTGCTAGGAACATAGATATACCCTGGGAATAGTATGCAGGTACTGAATGTATGTGAAAAGACCTAATGTACTCAATGATAAACATCTATGGGTAAGGGTGGGTTTTAAGGATAGCTCTTGCTATACATCTTTCTGAGATCAGTCTTCTGGTCTGTAACATAACATATTTTGACGGGATTTTTGTGAGTATGGAACTTTTCATGGAGTCAGTGTTGTATAGAAATGCACATTTTAAAGTCATACATGCTGAATTTGAATTTGACTTTGTCATCTATTGCCTTGTGGGGTTTTTTTGTTGTTGATTTTTTTTTTTTGAGACGGAGTTCCACTCTTGTTGCCCACGCTGAAGTGTCATGGCGCGATCTTGGCTCACCGCAACCTCCATCTCCCAGGTTCAGGCGATTCTCCTGCCTTAGCCTCCCGAGTCGCTGGGATTACAGGCGCCCGCCACCACACCCGGCTAATTTTGTATTTTTAGTAGAGACAGGGTTTCTCCAAGTTGGTCAGGCTGGTCTCAAACTCCCGACCTCAGGTGATCCACCTGCCTCAGCCTCCCAAAGTGCTGGGATTACAGGCGTGTGGTGAGCCACCGCGCCTGGCATTGCCTTGTGGTCCTGGCTCTATGTAAAACGATAGTACTAACTTCACAGCATTATGAGAATTTCATAGGCAAGGCAAGGCTGATATTTAACTAATACCCAACTGGAAAGGCTGTATTGGTGATTAAAATATTGAAACACGCGGGGCGCGGCGGCTCACGTCTGAAATCCTAGCACTTTAGGAGGCTGAGCTGGGTGGATCACTTGAGCCCAGGAGTTTGAGACCAGCCTGGGTAACATGGCAAAATCCTGTCTCTACAAAGAATAGAAAAATAAGCGAGGCATGGTGGTGCATACCTGTAGTCCCAGCTACTCAGGAGGTCGAGGCTAAAGTGAGCTGTGATGCGCCACTACACTCTAGCCTGGGCAGCAGAGTTAGACCTCGTTTCAAAAATAAAGAAACAACAAAAATATTGAAACATTTACATATGAGTTGGCATATGGCTACTTCCCTAAGCACTTCCAGTGTCCTCCAACTCTCCCCTGGGACACACTGGACCTCCCCACAATCTAGCAATTAGAAGATATCTGAGGCCAGGTGCGATGGCTCACACCTGTAATCCCAGCACTTTGTGAGGCCGAGGAGGGCAGATCACCTGAGGTCAGGAGTTCAAGACCAGCCTGACCAACATGGCAAAACCCTGTCTCTACTAAAAATGCAAAGTCAGCCGGGCGTGGTGGCGCATGCCTGTAATCCCAGCTACTCAGGAGGCTGAGGCAGGAGAATTGCTTGAACCCAGGAGGTGGAGGTTGCAGTGAGCCGAGATTGCACATTATACTCTAGCCTGGGCAACAAGAGTGAAAGTATGTCTCAAACAAACAAACAAACAAAAAGACAGCACAGAAATCTTTACAGGTATTCTGATAGATTTATTTTAAAAGTTGGAATATTATCCAAAAAATGCCTGGCACATAGTAGACATTTTTTTTTTTTTTTTTGAGACGGAGTCTCGCTCTGTCACCCAGGCTGGAGTGCAATGGTGTGATCTCGGCTCACTGCAACTCCGCCTCCCAGGTTCAAGTGATTCTCCTGCCTCAGCCTCCTGAGCAGCTGGGATTATAGGCACCTGCCACAATGCCCAGCTAATTTGTATTTTAGTAGAGATGGGGTTTCATCATGTTGGCCAGGCTGGTCTCGAACTCCTGAGCTCAGGTGATCCACCCATCTTGGCCTCCCAAAGTGTTGGGATTACAGGCGTGAGCCACCATAGTATACATTTAATAGATATTAATCAAATTTATTTAGCCTATAGATTCAATCTATGGATATAGTTAGGAAATGCCCCTTTACTGGGTGACATCCACTTATTCTATATATATTTATTGGGACATACTATTATTGCATATCTGGTGGCTTACCCCTAGGTGTAATTCAATGCTTCTCTGCCACCTCCAAGGAGCACTAATATATGGCTAAGACAAAATGGATTCCTTGGAGACAAATTAGGATCAAGATGCTAAGTGGTAGACCTTTCACTGTGGACAAGCAATAGGATTGAATTTTCAAGCATCAGTGTAGTATTGTGTCTTTTATTAATTCCATGTACTCGGCTTGGCCCCATGTGACTGCCAGTGTGATCAAATAGGCCCAAAGCTACTTGGAGATCCTAACTTCCTTGGCTTATTTCTCTTTTTGAGTGTTCCTGTTGATCTGGTCTAGCTTGCCAGGGAGGAGTCTAAGAGAGGGAAGGTCATCTAGGCCTCCCTTGATTATACAAGAGAGTTTTCTCTAAGCTCTATAAGATCCATCTCAGCTTACTAAATCTAAGGTTCCACAGAGGGCTTTTGGACCCTGTAGAAACTTTAAAACATGGCACCAAAATTCCTGACACTCCTCTTGAGAAGTAGGGCCTATGTACCCTCTCCTTGAATCTGGGCTCTGTGTGTGGTTGACTGAAAGAATATGGTGAAAGAAGAGTTGCTGTGGCAGTTTCTAAACCGAGGTTTTAAAAACTGGCAGTTTCTACTCCCCATCTCCTGGAATGTTTACTCTTGAAGAGTAACATTTAGCCATCATGCTGTAAAAAGAAACCTAAGCAACTCATGGTAAACTCCATGGTCTTTAGGGAAAGAGCGTTTCCACAATGTTAGGGAGAGCCAAGAAAAATTTAAATAGTGTATTTTCCAGCTTCCCGTCTCTACACCAAAATTAAGTATTGACACTCACAAGAGGAAAAAAGTTATCCTCTGTCAGCCATGTGAATGAGCCTTCTTGGATATGGATCCTCCAGCCCTCAGCTGAGCTGCCCCAGCTGATGCCATGTGGGATGAAGATTAGCTGTCCCCACTGAGCCCAGCCCAATTTTCAGGTAATAGGCAAAATAAATGTTTCTTGTTTTGGCTGGACGCCGTGGCTCACGCCTGTAATCCCAGCACTTTGGGAGGCTGAGGCGGGCGGATCACTTGAGGTCAGGAGTTTGAGACCAGCCTGGCCAACATGGTGAAACCCCATCTCTACTAAAAATACAAAAATTAGCCGGGCATGGTGGCGGGTGCCTGTAATCCCAGCTACCCAGGAGGCTGAGGCAGGAGAATCGCTTGAACCTGGGAGGCAGAGGTTGCAGTGAGCTGAGATGGTGCCACTGCACTCCAGCCCAGGCGACAGAGCAAGACTCCATCTCAACAACAACAACAACAAAAGGCAGGGCTTGGTGGCTTATGCCTGTGATCTCAGCACTTTGTGAGGCCGAGGCGGGCGGATGACCTGAGGTCGGGAGTTCGAGACCAGCCTGACCAACATGGAGAAACCCCGTCACTACTAAAAATACAAAAAAATTAGCCAGGCGTGGTGGTGCATGCCTGTAATCCCAGCTACTTGGGAGGCCGAGGCAGGAGAATCGCTTGAACCCGGGAGGCAGAGGTTGTGGTGAGCTGAGATTGTGCCATTGCACTCCAGCCTGGGCAACAAGAGTGAAACTCTGTCTCAAAAAAAAAGAATGTTTCTTGTTTTAAGTCATTGATTTGGGAATGGCTGTTTTGTAGCAATAGATAACTGGAACAGACTCAAAGGGCCAACTAGTCATAAAGTGTTTTTTTGCCTCACCTTGTCATTCCTGGAAATGACTCCCTGGAAAACCCTTCGCAGAGATGGGTGTCTGGGTTTCAGTTTTTAGAAATCTTTCCACATTAATATTTTCCTTAGTTGCCTAACATAACTGGCAGAAGGAGACAGGCAAGGAACAGGACATTAAGTACTCAACCAACTGTGGTCATAATTATCCAGAAAGTTTTTTTCTCTGTGAAAAAAAAATCACCACATATTGCTTTAAGTAGGTTTACTAGGAAGTTTCAGACCCAAACCCCTGTGTGGAATCCTTAGTTCTGGTGTTCTATCATGGAAACAACAAAGACTGTCTTTTTGTCTCTAGCCCAAGGCCTTCACTAAAAGTATGCCAATAGCTTCCTAGCCCTTTTTCTCACAGACACCATATCCTTAAGATCTTTTAACTCTAATTGTGTGAACAAAGGAAAAGAAGACACATTTGTTTTGATATGGCCTTTTTCATACTCCTGCTACCCATTCCCAATATGACCAATTGTCCTTGTTCTTGGCTGCCCATGTCCTAGCTCCTCCTCCCCAGAAGCTGAAGGGTTTGGAGCCTTCTTTTTTTTGAGACAGAGTCTTGCTCTGTCGCCAGGCTGGAGTGCAGTGGTGCGATCTCAGCTCACTGCAACCTCCACCTCCTGGGTTCAAGCAATTCTCCTGCCTCAGCCTCCCAAGTAGCTGGGATTACAGGCATGCACCACCACATCCAGCTAATTTTGTATTTTTAGTAGAACTGGGGTTTCACCGTGTTAGCCAAGCTGGTTTCCAACCTCAGGTGATCTGCCCACCTTGGCCTCGCAAAGTGCTGGGATTACATGCATGAGCCGCTGCGCCCGGCCGTGTTTTTTTATGTGAAAATTCACATATCTAAACGTGGGTCCCTGTTTTTGTATAGCCTTCAAGCTCAAAATAATGTTCACATTTTAAAATGGATTTTAAAAATAAAAATAAATAATATTTTGGGACACATGCAAATTATATAAATTCAAATTTCAGTATCCATAGAAAAATGTTTTGTTTTTGTTTTGAGACAGGGTCTGGCTCTGTTGCCCAGGTTAGAATGTAGTAGCACGATCTTGGCTCACTGGAGTTTGCACCTCCTAGGCTCAAGGGCTGCTCCCACCTCAGCCTCCACCTCCTGGGCTCAAGGGATCCTCCCACCTCAGCCTCCCATCTCAGCCTTCCGAGCATCTGGGACTACAGGTGCACACCACCACCTGTAGTGTAGTGTAGGCCTGGCTGGGCGCGGTGGCTCATGCCTGCAATCCCAGCACTTTGGGAGGCCAAGGCAGGAGGATCACTTGAGCCCAGGAGTTCAAGACCAGCCTGGACAACATGGTGAAACCCCCTCTCTACTAAAAATACAAAAATTAACCAGGGGTGGTGGCAGGTGCCTGTAATCCCAGCTACTTGGGAGGCTGAGGCAGAAGAATCGCTTGAACCTGGGAGGTGGAGGTTGCAGTGAGCCAAGATGGCACCACTGCATTCCAGCGTGGGTGACAGAGTGAGACTCTATCCCCCCCAAAAAAATTTTTTTCCAGCTGTGATAATAAAAAATATCCCATTCTCCTTTCTATGGTGGGAAGGAAAAGGTAGAAGTTGTGGAGAGGAAAGAGGTAGAAATTAAAGGGAGAATGGAAAAGAAGGGCAAACAAAGGCAAGTAGGTGAGGAGAAGGACAGGAAAAGAGACAGGGAGAAGGGAGGGACTTATAAATGGGAAAAGAAGGGTAGGAAGGATGGGAATAAGTAAAAACAACAACAACAAAAAGAAAGCAAGGAGAGAGAGTAGAGATGGGGAAGAGCCAGAAAATGCTGAGTGAGCTAAGAAAGGACCACCAAAAGAAAAAGGAGAATGGGGGTGGTCAGACAGAGGGCTATACCACTATCTTCCTCTCCTGTTTGCTTTCGTTTACTAACGTCCTGGTCACTCTGCCCTAAACAGCTTAGTTCCTTTCCCATAGTCTTTGTTCACTCCAGCACTATCTGACTTGAACTTGTACCTGTACGACAAATCTAACACCCTGGACTCTTAGTTCTAAAAACAGGACATGCATTCTGCCTCAGTCTTCCATTCCCATGGTCTCACCCTGGACCTTGGCATCATCAGAAACTCAGAAGCTGGGACATTTCAATTCCAAATATCCCACTCAGACCAGCAGCATCCATACTGCCAGAGCACTTGCTCATATACCCCACTGCAATCTTTCTTGGGCCAATGCTCTAAGACATTGGTCCCTTTCCCCACCACCCTCCAACCCCTCCACTACCAGGCTTCATGTGCCATTATTTGCTTTCCTGTATGGTTTTGATTCTACACACAGCATCATGAACATTCTCTTCCAAACACTCTCATCACTTGGCCCCCTCTCTCTGTTGTACTTGCCAGGCAAAATCCCAACCCTCAGTAAATGCAACAAGCTGCCTTCTCTGCCTGTGCCTGAATGGCCAAACATCTTCAATTATTTTGAATCCGTTACCTCAAATATCAAATGAGCTCTTAACGTTGGCCAGAAGGCCTTTTAAAGGCCTGTATGCACCAAGGCTCAGTTCTTGAACGTCTCCTTTTCTTCTCCCTTAAGATTCTTCCCTAATGAAGGGGGCAGGCGAACGGAGTTAAAGGGCTTCCATTGCTGTTAGAATACAGCCCAAATTCCTTTCCATAATCAAAAGTCCTGATCTGCCACCGACCTCACTTTCTCAACTTTTCACCTTCCATTCTCCCCTCATTTGACTCAGCCCTGGTCTCACTGTCACTGGCCTTTTTTCCTTTTTTTTTTTTGAAGCAGTCTCATTGTCACCTAGGCAGGAGTGCAGTGGTGCTATTACGGCTCCTAGGCTCAAGTGAACATCCCAGTAGCTGGGATCACAGGCACGGGTCACGGTGCCCGGCTTTTAAATTTTTGGTCGAGACGGGGTCTCGTCATGTTGTCCAGGCTGGTCTCGAACTCCTGGGCTCAAGCCATCCTCCTGCCTCAGCCTCCCAAAATGCTGGGATTACAGGCGTGAGCCACCGCGCCCAGCCAGGCCTTCCTTCAATTGCTTTAACATGCCAAACCAACTTAGATTTTTTGCACATGCTTTTCTCTGTGGGACACTCTATCCTGGTGTTTGCCTGGTTTCGCTCTTTTCTATCCTTTTGTCTTGGCTTGAATGTCACCTCTTCTGAAGCCTTCTCTGGCGACCCTGGCCATCTTATGTCCTACTTGTTATTTCTTCAAAATCGTACTGCCTTTTGTATGTACTGGTGTTTACTCATTCACACTGGCTACCTCCCCATACCTCACTGGCTGGAATGGAAACTCATTGCGAGCAGAGACAATAGGTTTTGCTCTCCCGCGGATCACGTCCCAGCCTCCAGCTCAGCACCAGACACTTGAGGGCGCAGGATAAAATATCTGCAGTCAGAAAGCACTAATAACCACCCAAGGGTTGGAGGAAAGCTGGCGCGGACCGCACGAGTGTCGCCGAGACGCCGCCGCCGTGCGAAGCTCCTCCCCTTCCGACAGGGCCGCGGACGCCCGGGCAGCCACGGCGGCGGGGCCGCGGCGGGCGCCGGCTCAGCCCGCCCCTTTCTCCCGCCGCCTCCCCGCCCCGCCCCGCGCCGCGCCGGCCGCTGTCAGCTCCCTCAGCGTCCGGCCGAGGCGCGGTGTATGCTGAGCCGCTGCCGCAGCGGGCTGCTCCACGTCCTGGGCCTTAGCTTCCTGCTGCAGACCCGCCGGCCGATTCTCCTCTGCTCTCCACGTCTCATGAAGCCGCTGGTCGTGTTCGTCCTCGGCGGCCCCGGCGCCGGCAAGGGGACCCAGTGCGCCCGCATCGTCGAGGTGAGGCCCGGGCAGCAGGCGGGCTCCTTGGGGCTTGACGGGATGCGGGCCGGCCTGTCCCGCCGCCCCTAGTCCGCGCCCCGCGGAGTCGCCGAGCCGCAGACTACGAGTCCCGGCGGCCACCGCGCCGCCCGCGTGGCAGTGGCCGAGGGCCGCCGGCGCGCGGCGTGCCGGGACTTGTAGTCCGCGCCCGCCCGCCTTGGGGGCCACCGCTTGAGGTCGCTTTGTTCCTGCGCCCCTTCTTTTCTTACATTTTGGGGACCAGATTCGTCTCTAGAGTGGGCTGGGAGAGGGATCCCGGAGGCCAACCTTTGGGGGTCCCCCAGCGCGCAGAGGTTAGCGTGTCGCTGATCGTGTGGCAGGTGAAGGCAGCAGGAGCGCGGATTTGGGTTAGAGGCCGTGTGCGCCCACAGTTGTCTGAAGGAGAGACCTATTTTTCTTCTCCGCGCCTTCCCTCTGGTTCCCTAAACTCCGCACTGTCACCGAACGTGTCTTTACTCTAGAAAGGAGGCCCGTGGGGCGGGGTGTTATTTTAGGCGTGCTGTGGGCTGCCGCTGGCACTCTCGAGCCCCGTCCCCGCAAGCTTTAGGGCGGAGCCAGCCCTGAGGCTCGGCCCGGGTCGGGGATGGGGAAAGCCGGGAGTGCTGTTCTGAGATCAAGCTTCAACCTTTGGCCCTGCTGCCAACTCACGCTCGGCCCTCGGTCACTTCCTGTCTCCCAGCCTCAGTTAGCCCTTGTAATACAGTAAAAAGAGTCTCTGAACCCAGATTTTCTCAGGATATAAAACACCTCCCAAATGTAAAATGCTGTTACTTTTTTTTCTTTTGCTTTGAGACAGGTTACCAGTTCAATTCTTTTAACAATTTTTGAGCTAGATGTATGGTTGGTTAGCTGCATTGACACTGTGGGAAAAAAAGGCTTCATGGACAATCTGGGGAATGCTTGGGAAAGAAGGAAAACAGGATATCTAGAAACAGAAGAGGCGACCATTGGTGGCCTCTAGTGAAATCACTCTGAAACCCTGTAACCAACAAAAGTTTTTTTGACCTAGAACTTATAATTTCCTCCTCTTCTAGGATATGGCCAATATTAGCATGGGGCTTTTGCTTCTCTCCTTATATGTTCATAACAATCAACTCCTGTCCTGTATTTTATTCCCTAAATAGCATCCAGAGAAAGTTAGATGAGTTCAACAAGTCATTATGTGTTGGACAGATGTATTTATAAATATTGATCATTTTGCCAGGCGCTGTGGCTCACTCCTGTAATCCCAGCACTTTGGGAGGCCGAGGCTGGCGGATCACGAGGTCAGGAGTTCGAGACCAGCCTGGCTAACATGGCGAAACGTTGTCTTTACTAAAAATACAAAAATTAGCCTGGCGTGGTGGCGGGCGCCTGTAATCCCAGCTACTCCGAAGGCTGAGGCAGGAGAATCGCTTGAAACCGGAAGGCGGAGGTTGCGGTGAGCCCATATCGCGCCACTGCACACTAGCCTGGGCGAAAGAGTGAAACTCCGTCTCAAAAAAAAAAAAAAAAAAAAAATCATTTTAGGTGTCAAAGTGGAACTAGTCCAACTAAAAAAATACATAACATTTACATCCTCTTAAAAAAATTTTTTTTTGTTGGTTCTCTTTCTTTTGTTGTTTTTTTGTTTTTGTTTTTGTTTTTGTGACAGTCTCACTCCGTCACCAGGCTGGAGTGCGGTGGTGCGATCTCAGCACACTGCAACCTCCGCCTCCCAGGTTCAAGCGATTTTCCTGCCTCAGCCTCTGCATAGCTGGGATTACAGGCGTGCGCCACCACGCCTGGCTAATTTTTGTATTTTTGGTAGAGACAGGGTTTCACCATGTTGGCCAGGCTGATCTCGAACTCTTGACCTCGTGATCTGCCCGCCTCAGCCTCCCAAAGTGCTGGGATTATAGGCATGAGCCACCGTGCCTGGCCTTGTCACTTGTCTTTTAAAAAGTAAAGAGACTGGCTGCTGCACTCCAGCCTGGGCGACAGAGCGAGACTCCGTCTCAGAAATAAATAAATAAATAAATAAATGGCAAGTGAAAAGTGGGAGTGATTTCAAATTTTTGTTTAGTATATGTGATCTTTCTTAAATAGCATGATGGGGGAAGGGGCAAAGACTTTAGAGTCAAAGAGATATAGGTTCAAACCCTGACTCTGCCATTTACTGTTTCTCTAGGCCCAGAGATGTTGTTGCCTTTAGTTCCCTGTGAAAAGGGAAAACATAGAAATGGCTGTTTTGTATGGTATTTGTGAATATTAAATGAGGTAAAATATCTGGCACACAGAGACAGATGCAGATAGTTTTTTTCTCCACTTTAAACTTCTGATCTTATTACCTCTACTTTAAACTTCCTGATCTTATTATATTGGTTATTTTTATTGGTGGGTTTTGTTGTTGTTGTTTGTTTTGAGATCGAGTCTCTCTGTGTCACCCAGGCTGGAGTGCTGTGGTACCATCTTGGCCCACTCCAACCTCTGCCTCCTGGGCTCAAGCCATCCTCTCACCTCAGTCTCCCAAGTAGCTGGGATGACAGGTGTGCACTGCCACTCTCTGCTAACTTTTTTTCAGGTTTTTGTAGAAACCAGGGCTCACTATATTGCCCAGGCTGGTCTCGAACTCCCAGACTCAAGGGATCTTACTGCCTTGGCTTCTCAAAGTGTTGGCATTACAGGCATGAGCCGCCATGCCTGGCCTGGTTATTTTTATTGCAAAATAGTATTTTTCTTTTAAATTACTTTATGCGTGTTATATTTGAATGCATTTAAATACAGTATGCTGTTTCTGAATCATAATATGCCTTTAAAATATCTGTACCTAAATTAATAATACCCATACTACTACACTGGTTAAAAAATAATCTACACATTCAGGGCTGGGCGCAGTAGCTCACGCCTGTAATCCCAGCAGTTTGGGAGGCCCAGGCGGGTGGATCACGAGGTCAGGAGATTGAGACCATCCTGGCTAACAAGGTGAAACCCCATCTCTACTAAAAATACAAAAATTAGCCGGGCGTGGTGGCAGGCGCCTGTAGTCCCAGCTACTTGGGAGGCTGAGGCAGGAGAATGGCATGAACCGGGGAGGCGGAGCTTGCAGTGAGCCAAGATCACGCCACTGCAGTGCAGCCTGGGTGACATAGCGAGATTCCATCTCAAAAAAATAAAATAAATAAATAAATAAATACATAAATGAAATAATCTACACATTCTGCAATTATTCTTTATTCTGTTCAGTAATGGCAAATAATATTTTAAACTTGTTAATTATCAGTTACAAGATTCCATGATGAGATATGTTCTGTAATGTATTATATTATTAAGATTTCAACAATTATTTGACCTTAAACTGTTATCTTCTTTAATGAAAAGTATTCTCTTGAGTCTAGTTGCCATAAACTTTATTAAGCTGTCAATCAACTAATTCCAAATAGTTTATAATTTAGCAATTGCTATTCCCTAGCTGGCTAGACAGACACTGGAATATCTATTTTTTTTTTTTTTTTGAGACGAAGTGTCACGCTGTCGGCCAGGCTGGTGTGCAGTGGGGCAATCTTGGCTCGCTGCAGCCTCCATCTTCTGGATTCAAGCGATTCTCTGCCTCAGCCTCCCGAGTAGCTTGGACTACAGGTGCGCGCCACCATGCCCGGCTAATTTTTGTATTTTTAGTAGAGACGGGGTTTCACTATGTTGGCCAGGCTGGTCTCGAACTCCTGACCTCGTGATCCACCCACCTTGGCCTCCCAAAGTGCTGGGATTACAGGTGTGAGCCACTGTGCCCGGCCTGGAATATCTATTGTTAGTGAAGTCAGCGGTATGTTGTTTTTTTCCTTTGTGAATCTCTTTATTTTGACTCAATATTTTTTTATACAGGCAATTATAAACTAAATTCCAAAATAATGTAAGTTTTGGAGGTTTTTTTCCTGTAGGAAAAAAATTACATAAATCCACGGTAAATTCTCCAATTAATCTGGCTGAAGCTAATGCAGCTCACAGGGCACCTGAAATTGTTACTTTAGTATGTTGATTTCCAACTCAGGCTGCCAGAAGTACATATTTGAGTCCTAGCTACAGAATCTTCAGTTGACAGGAAGAGAAGAAAAAGAGAAAACCAAAAACCCTTAGGGATATCTTGCTCTCTAAGGCACTGAAATTAGTGAAGTGGGTATTGTTAGAGGGAAGCTGGTATTTTTTCTCTGGAGGTGAATTCTGCTCTGCAAATTGCTCCTGGAGACCTAGAGAAGGTAAAGGCAAATCTGATACAGTGTCTTCTGAGAGTGTTCTGTACTGGGAAGGAAAGATTGGAGGGAGGTTTTGGGATTGATTTTGCACATTTATTTGTACTGATGTTTTTCAGTTTTGTTTGCTTTTCTCCTTCCTTCCTTCCTTCCCTCCCTCCCTCCCTCTCTCCTTCCCTCCCTCCCTCTCTCCTTCCCTCCCTCCCTCTCTCCTTCCCTCCCTCCCTCCTTCCTGTTCTTTCTTTTTCTTCTTTTCTTTTTTTTTTACCAAATACCCAGACTTGGAGAATTTGTTTTATTTTCTAATTGTTTGTAAATCTGTATCCTCTAATACTGAATTTGTTTTTGAAAATGAGCTATTTTCTAAATCAGTGTGATACTTAGAGTTAAGTTTCCAGAATGGAATTATTGTGCAATAATTTAGTTATAAAATCATGATGGGAATACTGTGTCATTCTTGAATTTTTAAAATTAAGCTTTATTTATATTTGTTGTTTTGGCCCAAATGAAATTATGTCAATGTAACCTAAATTTATATTTGAAAATAACCACCATTTTACATGCATTAGTTGGAAGAAATATTTAAACCTCTCTTTTAAAGATTGTGAACATTTTGCTTACATAAACAAATTATGACTAAAGCTTATAACCATGCCAAATTGCTTTCTGTAGCACCCAGAAAACTTTTTTTTTTTTTTTTGAGAGAGGGTCTCACTCTGTTGCCCAGGCTGAAGTACAGTGGTGTGACCTCAGCTCACTGCAACCTCCGCCTCCTGGGTTCAAGAGATTCTCCTGCCTCAGCCTCCCAAGTAGCTGGGACTACAGACACATGCCACCATGAATGCCATGTTGGCCAGGCTGGTCTCGAACTTCTGACCTCAGGTGATCCACCTGCCTCAGCTTCCTAAAGTACTGAGATTACAGGCATGAGCCTTTGCGCCTGGCCTCACCCAAGAAGCATTTTATCATCTGTGTCAACTTCCTCCAGGGCCTGTGTGGGTAACTCTTACTTTGCCTGGCCATCCTACTTACTGCACTTAGAAAAAGTTTTGGATGATAATTGACTTTAAGCATATATAAATCAGAAACTTGATTTCATTTATCTTTGTGTCCCCAGTGTTGAACATTGTGCCTGACACATAGTAACTGCTTATTAAGCACTTATTGAATTATAAGTTGAATACGTTGGATTCATAGAGTTTATTGTTTGTCCTGAAGATGTAAAATTTTTAAAAATTCGATCCCCAGAGGGCGCTCCAGTGGCAGTTGGCTCTCCCATTTTAAGGACCAGAAGTGTTTGAATGTCTTCCTCTGATTTCTTTTTCTTTCTTCCTTTCCTTTTTTTTTTTTTTTTTTTTTTTTAAGACAGAGCCTTACTCTGTCGCCCAGACGGGAGTGCAGTGGCATGATCTCGGCTCACCGCAGCCTCCGCTTCCCGGGTTCAAGCGATTCTCCTCCCTCAGCCTCCTGAGTAGCTGCAATTACAGGCACCCACCACAACGCGTGGCTAATTTTTGTATTTTTAGTAGAGATGGGGTTTCACCATAATGGCCAGGCTGGTCTCAAACTCCTGACTTCAGGTGATCCGCCTGCCTCAGCCTCCCAAAGTGCTGGAATTACAAGCGTGAGCCACCGCATCCGGCTGCCCTCTTCCCTCCCCTCCCCTTCCCTTCCCTCCCCTCCCCTCCCCTCCCCTCCCCTTTCCCTTTCTTTCCTATTTATTTATTTATTTATTTGAGATGAGCTCTCCCTCTGTTGCCCAGGCTGCAGTGCAGTGGCACAATCGTGGCTCATTCTCACTGCAGCCTCCACCTCCCAGGCTCAACTGATCTTTCCACCTCAGCCTCCCAAGTTGCTAGGTCTACAGGTGCATGCCACCATGCCCAGCTAATTTTTTTTATTTTGTAGAAATGGGGTCTCCCCAGAGCAAGACTCCGTCTCAAAAAAAAAAAAAAGAGAAATGGGGTCTCCCTATGTTGCACAGGCTAGTCTCAAACTCCTGGATTCAAACGATCCTCCCACCTCAGTCTCCAAAGTGCTGGGATTGCATCGTAAGCCAGCGTACCCAGCCTGTCTTCCTCAGATTTCTCATGTAACACTTTTGTTTACTCTCAATGAATGAATCAATGATATGGTTGTGAAAATCTGCTGAGCAGATTTCCAAGCTCCTCATTACAAATTCTCAAACAGAGCAGCATTCAGAAGAAACTAGATAGGAAAATCCACTGGATATTAAGGTCCAGTGTTTAAGAATATGCTTCTTTCCTTCTGGTGGAATAATAATTTTTTTTTTTTCGAGGCAGAGTTTGAGTTGCCCAGGCTAGAGTGCAGTGGCACGATCTTGGCTCACCACAACCTCTGCCTCCTGGGTTCAAGCGATTCTCCTGCCTCAGCCTCCTGAGTAGTTGGGATTACAGGCATGCGCCACCATGCCCGGCTAATTTTGTATTTTTAGTAGAGACGGGGTTTCTCCATGTTGGTCAGGCTGGTCTCGGACTCCTGACCTCAGGTGATCCGCCCGCCTCAGCCTCCCAAAGTGTTGGGATTACAGGTATGATCTACCATGCCTGGCAAATTTTTTCTTTTTTAAGAAAGTTTACATTATCTGGTCCACAGGATACTTGACTCTTCAGAAGCACCACTGTTTGATTAAGGGTGCTTATGACATGGGATTTTTGTTAAGAACTTGGAGGAGGGGAGATCTTCAGATTATTTACTGCCCTTAATTTTGAAAACTTTCATTTTTTGCCTTTCCATTTTAAGTTATAAGAGTAACACATGCCCATAGGGAAAATGTTACATCTTTTCTAATCCTGAGATCACCAGTAGTAACTGCTTGTTATGAACTGCTTTCCCATCTCTTTCTCAATGTTCTTGTGAACAAAAATGCAAATATTTATATTTTTTACCTTCAAGTGAGATTAGTGTATTTTTTGCTGACTGTATCATAGATATCCTTTCAGTTCTTTACCTATAGATTTAATTCATTTGTGTTTTTTTGTTTGTTTGTTTGTTTTGAGACAGAGACTCACTCAGTCTGTCACCCCCAGGCTAGAGAACCTTGGCACTCTCTTGTCTCACTGCAGCCTCTGCCTTCCAGGTTCAAGAGATTCTCCTGCCTCAGCCTCCCAAGTAGCTGAGATTACAGGTGTGTGCTACCACGCCTGGCTAATTTTTGTGTTTTTAGCAGAGACAGTGTTTCATTAGGTATTTCTTTATAGCAGTGTGAGAATGGACTAATAGAGTCTACTTTAAGATTTTTATTTTTATTTTTTATTATTTATTTATTTATTTGGACAGAGTCTTGCTCTGTCGCCCAGGTTGGAGTGCAATGGTGTGATCTCGGCTCACTGCAACCTTTGCCTCCCAGGTTCAAGCGATTCTCATGTCTCAGCCTCCCGAGTAGCTGGGATTACGCCCAGCTAATTTTTTAGTATTTTTAGTAGAGACAGTTTCACCGTGTTAGCCAGGATGGTCTCGCTCTCCTGACCTCATGATCCACCCACCTCAGTCTCCCAAAGTGCTGGGATTACAGGTGTGAACCACTGATCCTGGCCAATTTTTATTTTTTGGGGACAGGGTCTTGCTCAGTCCCCCAGGCTGGAGTATAGTGGCTCTATCACTGCTCACTGCAGCCACTTGGCTCAAGCGATCCTCCTGCCTTATCCTTCAGAGTAGCTGGGACTACAGGCTCACACCACCAGGCCTGGCTAATTATTTTTTATTTTATTTTTTTGAGATGGAGTCTTGCTCTGCCACCCAGGCTAGAGTGCAGTGGGGTGATCTCGGCTCACTGCAACCTCCGCCTCCTGGGTTCAGGCAATTCTCTTGCCTCAGCCTCCCGAGTAGCTGGGATTACAGGTGCCTGCCACCACACCTGGCTAATTTTTGTATTTTTAGTAGAGACAGGGTTTCACCATGTTGGCCAGGCTGGTCTTGAATTCTTGACCTCAGGTGATCTGCCCGCCTCGGCCTCCCAATTAGCCAGGCCTGGCTAATTATTTTTTGTAAAGACAAGGTCTCACTGTGTTGCCCAGGCTGGTACTCACTCGACTGCTTCAAATGCTAATCTCTTCCGGAAATACCCTCACAGATGATAATGTTTACCAGCTATCTGGGTATCCCTTAATCCAGTCAAGTTGACACCAAAAATTAACCATCACAAACATTATTATATTTCTATCAAAAGTATATGAATATCATCTTGGAAGATTATTTTAATTTTTACAAATTTGTTAATCTATTTTCTGAGATTTTTGAGAATCTTTTCCTTTTTCTCTTTTTTCTTTTTTTTTTTTTTTTTTGAGACAGGGTCTCACTCTGTTGCCCAGCCTGGAGTGCAATGGTGCCATCTCAGCTCACTGCAGCTTCTGCCTCCCGGGTTCAAGAAATTCTCCTGCCTCAGCCTCCCAAGTAGCTGGGATTACAGGCACTTGCCACCATGCCCAGCTAATTTTTGTATTTTTAGTAGAGATGGGGTTTCACCATGTTGGCCAGGTTGGTCTCAAACTCCTGGCTTTGTGATTCACCCGCCTCAGCCTCCCAAAGTGCTAGGATTACAGGCATAAGCCACTGCGCCCGGCAATTCTTTTTTTAAAGTGAAATGGCATAATTAACCATTTGTATTTTTTTTTTTTTTTTGAAACGGAATCTTGCTCTGTCGCCCAGGCTAGAGTGCAATGGCGTGATCTCTGCTCACTGCAACCTCCGCCTCCCGGATTCAAGCAATTCTTGTGCCTCCACTTCCCGAGTAGCTGAGAATACAGGCACATGCCACCACACCCAGTTAATTTTTGTATTTTTAGTAGAGATGAGGTTTCACCATGTTGGTCAGGCTGGTCTTGAACTCCAGACCTCAAGTGATCCACCTGCCTTGGCCTCCCAAAGTGCTGGGATTACAGGCATGAGCCACAATGCCCGGCCCTCTGTGTATTTTTAAAAAATATTTTCCTGGCCGGGCGCAGTGGCTCACACCTGTAATCCCAGCATTTTGGGAGCCAAGGCGGGTGGATCAGGAGGCTGTAATCCCAGCTACTCCGGAGGCTGAGGTAGGAGAATCGCTTGAACCTGGGAGGAGGACGTCGTAGTGAGCCAAGACCACACCATTGCACTCCAGCCTGGGCAACAGAGTGAGACTCCGTCTCAAAAAAAAAAAAGTCTCAAAAAAACCCACAAAACTTCCCTGTACTTGTCATTTATTCAGAAAACATTTTTTGAGAGCCAGGCACTGTGATATTGGTTGTTGAGTTGAGTCAGAAGACGCAGATTGGCCAGTTGCAGTGGCTCATGCCTGTAATCCCAGCACTTTGGGAAGCCAGGGTGCAAGAATTACTTGAGCCAAGGAGTTCAAGACCAGCCTGGGAAACATCAAAAGCCCATCCCTGCATGGTGGCGGGCGCCTGTAGTCCAGCTACTCAGGAGGCTGAGGCAGGAGCATGGCGTGAACCCAGGAGGCGGAGCTTGCGGTGAGCCGAGATCGCGCCACTGCACTCCAGCCTGGATGACAGAGAGAGACTCCGTCTCAAAAAAAAAAAAAAGCCCATCTCTACAAAAAATTAGCTGGGCCTGGTGGTGCGTGCCTGTGGTCCCAGTTACTTGAGAGGCTGAGGTGAGAGAATCACCTGAGAAAGAGAATTCAAGGCTGCAATAAGACATGATCACGCCACTGCGCTTCAGCCTGTGCAACAGAGCAAGACCATGTCTTAAAAAAAAAAAAAAGACGACAGACCCTGCTGCCAAAAGTTTACAATGTAGTGAGGAAACAAGGAAATTAATTGGTGATGACTACAGGATAGAATGATAAATCCTATGATATAAATATACCAAATATCCCATTTAGGGACGTTTAGGGAAGGGACATCTAAATGTCAATTTAATGAGTCAGGGAGGGCTTCCCAGAGGAGGTGATGTGTATGAGCTCAATTTTGAAGGACAGTGGGAAAGAAGCAGTTGGGAGATGGAAAAACGCTTAGAGCAGTTATCCTTGTATAGGGTTACTGAAGGATTCAATTCTGAGTAAAGTGTGAGAGGGTAAACCGACATACGTGAGGCTGACTCAAAAAACACTCCCTTGAATGCAAACAGATATGAAAGAACTTTGCAGGTATTAAAGTTCAACTGTAAATTATTATTATTTTTTCTTTTTTTTTTTTTGAGATGGAGTCTCACTCTGTCACCCAGGCTGGAATGCAGTAGCACAGTCTTGGCTCACTGCAACCTCCACTTCCCGGGTTCAAGCGATTCTCCTGCCTCAGCCTCCCAAGTAGCTGGGATTACAGGCACACACCACCATACCTGGCTAATTTTTGTATTTTTAGTAGAGATGGGGTTTTACCATGTTGGCCAGGCTGGTCTCGAACTCCTGACCTCAGGTGATCTGCCTGCCTCACCTTCCACAGTGCTGGGATTACAGGTGTGAACCACCATGCCCGGCCTAACTGTAAATTATTTCAAAATTGTTTATCTTTTAGTTTTGCCTCCCTAACTAGAGTGTAATGTCTTTAAGGGTGGGGACCCTGTCTTTTCCCTCTCATTTCACTACACGTTTTTCATTTATTTATTTATTTATTTTTACAAGGACTCTGGCTCTGTTGCTCAGGCTGGAGTGCAGTGGTGCGATATTGGCACATTGCAACCTTTGCCTCCTGGGTTCACGCGATTCTCCTGCCTCAGCCTCCTGAGTAGCTGGGATTACAAGCGTGCACCACCATGCCCGGCTAATTTATTATATTTTTAGCAGAGATGGGGTTTCACCATGTTGCTCAGGCTGGTCTCAAACTCCTGACCTCAGGTGATCCGCCTGCTTCAGCCTCCCAAAGTGCTGGGATTACAGGCGTGAGCCACCACGCCTGGCCTTCATTCTACTACATGGTTTTTGAAATGCCTTAGTCATCCTTCAGATCTTAGCTTAAAGACTCTCAAACGTTCTCAGTTTATGATGCCCTTAGTGTCTCAGTTTTTTTTTTTCATAGAAACTCTAGTGCAAAAGAAATACCTAACAGCTATATTAAGTAAGTAATTAGGTCTAAACAATACTTAAGAAGTATTTTCTAACAAGTTAGTAGCTGTTTGAAGAAATGATACATAGAAATTAGGATAAAAAATTAGGAGAAAAAAAGTAGCAATTTAATTTCTTTTTTTTTTTTTTTGAGACAGAGTCTCACTCTGTTGCCCAGGCTGGAGTGCAGTGGCACGATCTTGGCTCACTGCAAGCTCCACCTCCTGGGTTCACACCGTTCTCCTGCCTCAGCCTCCTAAGTAGCTGGGACTACAGGTGCCCACCACCACGCCCGGCTAATTTTTTGTATTTTTAGTCAATCTCCTGACCTCGTGATCCCCCCACCTCGGCCTCCCAAAGTGCTGGGATTATAGGCATGAGCCACTGCACCTGGCCTTTTTTTTTTTCTTTTGAGATGGAGTTTCCCTCTTGTTGTCCAGGCTGGAGTGCAATGGCTTGATCTTGGCTCACTGCAACCTCCACCTCCCAGGTTCAAGCAATTCTCCTGCCTCAGCCTCCTAAGCAGTTGGGATTACAGGCATGTGCCACCATGCCCAGCTAATTTTGTATTTTTGGTAGAGATGGGGATTCACCATGTTGGTTGGACTCCTGACCTCAGGTGATCCACCCACCTTGGCCTACTAAAGTGCTGGGATTAGAGGTGTGAGCCACAATGCCTGGCCTTTTTTTTGTTTTGTTTTGTTTTTGAGACAGAGTCTCACTCTGTCACCCAGGCTGGAGTGCAGTGGCTCCATCTTGGCTCACTGCAACCTCTGCCTCCCGGGTTCAAGAGATTCTCCTGCCTCAGCCTCCTGAGTAGCTGGGACTACAGGTGCCCGCCACCACGCCCGGCTAATTTTTGTTTTGTTAGTAGAGACGGGGTTTTACCATGTTGGCCAGGCTGGTCTCGAACTCATGACCTCGTGATCCGCCAGCCTCAGCCTCCCAAAGTGCTGGCCTCCCAAAGTGGCTCCCAGGCATGAGCTACTGCGCCCAGCCTAATTTCATTCTTAAGTAACCACACTTACTAATGAAATGTATATGCCTGTTGTGTACTGTTTCTCATACGCTGGAATCATATTGGACACTTCCACCTGCATTTCTTATTAATTTTATCTCCCTGTCTCTTTTCTTTCTCTCTCTCTTTTTTTTTTCTTTTTTGAGTCGGAGTTTCACTCTGGCGCCCAGGCTTGAGTGCAATGGTGCGATCTCAACTCACTGCAACCTCGGCCTCCTGGGTTCAAGCAATTGTCCTGCCTCATCCTCCCAAGTAACTGGCACTACAGGTGTGCGCCACCATGCCTGGCTACTTTTTATATTTTTAGTAGAGACGGGGTTTCACCATGTTGGCCAGGCTGGTCTCGAACCTCAGACCTCAGGTGATTGCCTGCCTTGGCCTCCCAAAATGCTGGGATTACAGGCATGAGCCACCGTGCCCGGCCCGTTTGTTTGCCTTCCTCTCCCCCTCCCCATCTCTCCTCCTCACTCCTCTCCCCTCTCCTCCCCTTCCCTTCCCTTCCCCAAGTGATTCTCCTGCCTTAGCCTCCCAAATAACTGGGATTACAGGCGCCCGCCACCATACCCGGCTAATTTTTGTATTTTTAGTAGAGACGGGTTTCACCGCGTTGGCCAGGCTGGTCTTGAACTCCTAACCTCAGATGATCCACCCGCCTCGGCCTCCCAAAGTCTTGGGATTATAGGCATGAGCCATTGTGCCCGGCCTATTTTATTTTTTTATTTTCTTTCTTTCCCTTCCTCCTTCTGTTCCTCCTTTCTTCCCTCCTTCCCTCCCTCCCTCCCTTTCTTCCTTCCTTTCTTCTTTCCTTCCTTCCTTCTTTCCTTTTTTCCTTCCTTCTATTCATTCATTCTCTCATTCATTCACTTTGTTGCCCAGGCTGGAGTGCAGTGGCACAATCATAGCTCATTGCAGCCTCCAACTCCTGGACTCAGGCCATCCTCCCACCTCAGCCTCATGAGTAGCTGGGACTACAGGCACATCACACCATACCTCTCTAATGTTTAAAATTCTTGTAGAGAGAGGTTTCATTATGTTGCCCAGGCTGGTCTTGAACTCCTGGCCTCAAGCCATCCTCCTGCCTCGGCCTCCCCAAATGCCGAGATTACGGGCATGAGCTGCTGTGCCTGTCCCACATTAATTTTCATGTGATACTTGTTTTTATCACAGCAATAGCCCATAAAATCAGCCTCACAAAGATATGATGTAATTGAAAGGAATGTGCCATGATCTTTTTGTTGTTGTTGTTTTTGGTTTTTGTTGTTGTTGAGACAGAGTGTCACTCTGTCATCCAGGCTGGAGTGCAGTGGTGCAATCTCAGCTCACTGCAACCTGTGTCTCCCAGGTTCAAGCGAATCTCCTGCCTCAGCCTCCCGAGTAGCTAGGACTACAGGCATGCGCCGTTACCATGCCTGGCTAATTTTTGTTTATTATTAGTAGAGACGGCATTTCACCATGTTGGCCAGGGTGGTCTCGAGCATCTGACTTCAAGTGATCTGCCTGTCTCAGTCTCCCACAGTGCTGGGATTACAGGTGTGAGCCATCGTGCCCGGTCCATGATCTTAAGTTGAAAATTAACTATCTTGTGTTCACTTAGTGTCACATTGACTATTGCTGTGTTTCCTTTAAAAAATTAAACCCAGGGCACTATTGTGAATTTGCTGTACCACATTCCAGTTTAGATGCTAATGCAAAAGGATTGTAATCACTGAAGACCTCCAAAAGTCACGTAGGAGTACAGTATTTTAACGGGTAGCTTTCTGAATTGAAATCCAGAGGATTAGAGAAATCAATCTAGTAGTGGGACTTTTTGTCCAGGTAAGAGAGAGAAAGGATGGGGACTCTGCTGGGAGTATAGAGACAGCACATATATTTTGATGTCTTATTTTTTTGTTTCATGTTGGCCTAGTCACACTGATTCTTACTACCTTAAAGCTAATACTTT
Source organism: Homo sapiens (assembly GCF_000001405.40). Lineage (NCBI taxonomy): Eukaryota > Metazoa > Chordata > Mammalia > Primates > Hominidae > Homo > Homo sapiens. Next base: position 47,348,321 of record NC_000001.11, read on the forward strand.
TAGCCCAATTGCCATATGAAAATGTGTTTGCTCTTACATTTTAGTTGCTTTAATCTGACAAATTAAGAACATTTTTACAGACTAAACATGTGATAAGAGCATTTAGAACTTTAATAGGGAACAGGTGTGACAGACATACTGTTTGCTGACAGTTTTATGCTGCCTGGTGCGTAAAGTTAACAAACCATCACTTTGGTAAAGGAAAAAGCACCAGTTGTTACTTACTAGTCTCAGAGGCCTTCACTTTGAGGGACTGGGTCCTATGAAACATGTTCTTCCATGCCTGGTTTCCATCAGTCTTCTCCAGAAGACCCATAAGCTGGTTCCATTCCCCGTTGGAATGTATCCTATGTCAACAAGCAATTGAATATGCCTAATTTGGGGCTACACAAAAGTCTGTTTCCATACCCACTTTGTGTTTGGAGCTTCCAGAATGTGTTAGTCATTGATTGGTATTGGAAAATGTTACATGTTTAATTTAACCCACAAGCTTTACCTGTATAATTATGTATGATTTAGTTAGGTAATAACATGAATTTTCATTTTCTTGGTGCCTACTGGGAGTATAGAGACAGCAAAGATGTTTTGATTGTATAATTGGGTGTTGACTTAATGGTTAATTTAGGTTTTCAAATAGAGTTTTTCCTTGCTATGTATCATTTGAAGGGCAAGGGAAGTGAAAAGTGGAAATGGTAATGTTTCAGAAGTGGGGAAAGGCAAGGAGGAAGCAAAGGAAGCAAGAAGGATGGTCAGAATCAGGCTGAATCAAGGTGGGTCAAATATGCCTAGCTTTCTGTGTGTGGATAAAGTTTCTGATCTCATCTGCAAGCCAGGACATAACAAAATGATCAACTTTGAGTTTCTTCTTTAACTCCCACCAGTAGATTCTGTTATTCAATGGCCATAGTAGCTTGAAGACGAAAGACTGCATCTCCATATGGGTCACCTAGGAATTACCTCAGAGGCCTGTTGTGGAATAATAGAGTTATTGAGAGTGAGGAGACCTGGATTCAAGTGCCAGATTTCTTTCCAGTAACTGGCAAGTCAGCTTATCTCAATTTCCCCTTTTGTAAAACGAAGCGTATAGAGGAGTAGATGGTCTTACCAGCTCCAAAACAGATCTGTACCTCAAAACTTCTGTGTTAGATAGCATATAACCCAATATAGTCACACCCAAAAGGCAAAATATCCAGTTACTATGAATATGTGTGCCTTCTTTGCTATTCTGTAGCGTACGAGTTGGAGCACCAAGGAATTATGTTTAATAAATTCCTTTATTTCATGTTCATCTAGAACTTCACAGTGGTAACATTGCACCTATAAAGTTGAGAAAAGGAAAGCTTTTTGAAATGTAACAGTTGCTTGTGTGTATTTTTAATTAAAAAATTTTAAGAAATGTGCTATTAGGGCCAACTTTCTAAATGTTCTTGTTTGTTTGTTTGTTTGTTTGTTTTGGAGACAGGGTCTTGTTCTGTTGCCCAACTTTCTAATTTTTCTTTTTTTGAGACAGGGTCTCGCTCTGTTGACCAGGCTGGAGTGCAGTGGCGCAATCTCGGCTCACTGCAATCTCCGCCTCCCGGTTCAAGTGATTCTCCTGTCTCAGCTTCCTAAGTAGCTGGGATTACAGGCACGCGCCACCACGCCCAGCTAATTTTTTGTATTTTTAGTATAGATGGAGTTTCGCCATGTTGGCCAGGCTGGTCTAAAACTCCTGACCTCAAGTGATCCGCCCACCTCGGCCTCCCAAAGTGCTGGGATTATAGGCATGAGCCATCTTGCTCAGCCTTATTATTATTTATATAGAAACAGGGTCTCACTGTCTTGCCCGGGATGGTCTCGAACTACTGGGTTCAAACAGTCTGCCTGCCTCAGCCTCCCAAAGTGCTGGAATTACAGGTGTGAGCCACCATGCTCCACCTACTGTTTTTTTTTCTTGAGACAGGACCTTGCGCTGTCACCAGGCTGGAGTGCAGTGACATGATCATGGCTCATTGAAGCCTCTACTTTTCGGGCTCAGGTGATTCTCCCACCTCAGCCTACAGGCACAAGCTTGTAGTCCCAGCTACTTGGGGCCAATTTATGGGTTGAGGTTGGGGAGGGGGTGTTGTTTTGGTAGAGGTGGGGTTTCACCATGTTACCTAGGCTGGTCTTGAACTCTTGGGCTCAAGTGATCTGCCTGTCTTAGCCTCTCAAAGTGCTGAGATTACAGGCATGAGCCACTGTGCCCAGCTATTTTGGTTGCTCTTATTTAAAGTAGAGTGTGCGTACATTATAGAAAAATTGGAAAATACAGGCCAGGTGCCGTGGCTTATGCCCGTAATCCCAGCACTTTGGGAGGCTGAGGTGGGCGAATCACGAGGTCAGGAGTTCGAGACCAGCCTGATCAACATGGTGAAACACCGTCTCTACTAAAAATGCAAAAAAAGAAAAGAAAAAATTAGCCAGGCGTGGTGGCACGCACCTGTAATCCTAGCTACTCAGGAGGCTGAGGCAGGAGAATTGCCTGAACCCGGGAGGGCAGAGGTTGCATTGAGCCGAGATCACGCCACTGCACTCCAGCCTGGGCGACAAAGTGAGACTGTCTCAAAAAAAAAAAAAGAAAAGAAAAATTGGAAAATACAGATCCCCCACCCTTCCCTAGCTCCTGGTAAGTTCTAATCTACTGTCTCTACGAGTTTGCCTATTTTAGGTACCTCATATAAGTAGAATTATATGATACTTGTCATTTTGTGTCTGGCTTATTTTACTTAACATAATTTTTGTTTGTTTGTTTGTTTGTTTGTGACGGAGTCTCGCTTTGTTGCCCAGGGTGGAGTTCAGTGGCACGATCTCAGCTCACTGCAACCTCCGCCTCCCAGATTCAATGATTCTGCCTCAGCCTCCCAAGTAGCTGGGACTACAAGCACATGCCACCACGCCTGGCTAAATTTTTGTATTTTTATTAGAGATGGGGTTTCACTGTGTTAGCCAGGGTGGTCTCGATCTCCTGACCTTGTGATCCACCTGCCTCGAGCTCCCAAAGTGCTGGGATTACAGGTGTGAGCCACTGCGCCTGGCCCATAATGTTTTTAAGCTTCCTCCATGTTAGCATGTATCAGAACTTCCTTTTTATGGCTCAATAATGTTCCATTATATGTATGCAGCACATTGTGCTTAGTCATTCATCTGTTGATGGACACTTAGGTTGTTTCCACCTTTGGTTACTGTGAATAATACTGCAGTGATTGGTGTTCAAGTATCTGTTTGAGTCTGTTTTCAGTTCTTTGGGGTATATACATAGAAATGGAATTGCTGAGTCACATGGTAATTTTGTGTTTAACTTGTTAAGGAACCACTAAACTATTTTCCACAGGAGCTGCACCATTTTACATATCCACCAGCAGTATACAAAGGTTCCAGTTTCTCCACATCTTCACCAATGTTTATTTTTTTTGTTTTTGTTGTTGTTTTTAAAATTATAGCCATTCTAGTAGGTGTGAAGGGTTTTTTGTTTTTTTTTCTCCTCAGAATAGTGCATTTAAAAAATTGTCTTTGGCCGGGTGTAATGGCTTACACCTGTAATCCCAGCACTTTGGGAGGCTAAGGCAGGTGGATCATTTGAGGTCAGGAGTTGATGACCAGCCTGACCAACGTAGTGAAACCCTGTCTCTACTAAAAATACAAAAAATGAGCTGGGCATGGTGTTGCACATCCGTAATCCCAGCTACTAGGGAGGCTGAGGCAGGAGAATTGCTTGAACCCAGGAGGCGGAGGTTGCAGTGAGCTGAGATTGCGCCACTGCACTCCAGCCTGGGCAACAGAGTGAGATTTCATCTCAAAAAAGTAAATAAATAAAAATAAAAAGATGTCTTTTAATTGGGTTATATATCTTCTTATCGAGCTGTAAGAGTTTATATATTTCAAAGATAAGCCCCTAATCCAGATGTATGATTTATAAACATTTTCTCCCATCCTGTGGGCTGTCTTTTATTTTCTTGGTAGTGGTATTTCTTTAAAGTAAAATGTTTTAAATTTTGAGGAGATCTTACATCTTGTACAATAGAACATCCAGTATGCTTTCTATTGCCTATGGTGCAGAGATTAAAAAGGCTGATAAGCTAGTCCAAAACTACAAAAATAAAGATGTAACTGGTATCTATATAGTGCCACGAGTTGGGAGTGGGAAAGAGACGGGGTAGTGGTAAATGGAAAGGAAGGTGGGGAGGGATAGGGGGTCACAGATTCTCATTACTTCTTTGACCAGTTCAAGGGCATAATTGAGTTCAAGTTAATTAAATCAGATTAGTGGGATGCCCATTAAGCAAAAAGTCACCTATTTTGTAAATGGTTTTCAGTGCTTTTTCTATTGTGTAGTCATGACAGGAAAAAAATATGGAAAAATTTTCCATAAGATTACCACTTCTTAGGTCATTTTCCTTGATGAAGTTAGGCTCTAATCAAGAACCAAGAGGCCCATGTAGTCTGCTGTACATTATAGAAATGGGTACAGTTATTTATGGTCATCATTAAATCCCATGCTGGGCTGTGGTTTGATTGCGATATTGTTTAAAAATGTATTATCACTAAACTGACTTTAATTTTAGATTGAGCAAAATATACTTATGAAGGTAAATTTTATACCAAAATTTAAAAAAAATTACTACTTTTCAAGCCAAATGATGATTTCTCTCACACTTCTATTAGCACAGGTTATTGGAGTAACAATGAAGGTGATTCTTTGTTATCTAAGCAGTGATTGATGTTTTTCTAAAAAGTCAATTAAGAGAGGTTACTTGGCACAATAAAGTTATGAAAGTGCTCCAATGGGTTATTTTGGAGACTAAGAGTAGTATGCTTATATTGTCTATGCCATAGAAGTGGCATTTCTAGAATATCTTGCTTATAATTTTAAACTCAAATGTCTGGAGTAGAGCTTCATTGAAATATGTTTCCTTTTAAACTTTTGCTGCTGTACCTTATGGATCCTCTCAACTGAGTATGTCTCTAAATTTCCTTCTGTTTCTAGGCTATAAAACTGGACTGTTTTCTGTCCCCTGTAACTCTTCATGCCCATGCAGTGTGTTTCTGTGTTACTATATTATACTTTTGTTTCTCCTTTGTTTAAGGAGTGGATCACTTTCCAGAAAAATTTTTATCTAAACACTTGAATTGATTTTTGTATTTAGAGCAGTTCACCAATATGTCTCCAGAGCTGCTATTCTCTATCATGATTTAGTTTTAAATTTTAGATAAGTTTTTGATTGTGCAGGTACTGTTTCCCTTTTTTTTAATACCATATGGTGGTTTTTATATTGGGATTCTTATCCTTACTTCATGTGAGACAACTGAATTTTATTTTGCTGTGCTCTTAGGATTTGATGTTAATAAAACATTTAAATCATCAGTCTTTCCTTGTGATATTTACCTTTTGTTTTGAGATGGAGTCTCACTCTGTCACCCAGGCTGGAGTGCAGTGGCGTGATCTTGGCTCACTTCAACTTCGGTCTCCCAGGTTCAAGCAATTCTCCTGCCTCAGCCTCCTGAGTAGCTGGGATTACAGGCACCCGCCCCCATGCCTGGCTAATTTTTGTATTTTTAGTAGAGATGGCGTTTCACCATGTTGTCCAGGCTGGGCTCGAATTCCTGACCTCGGGTGATCCTCCTCCCTTGGCCTCCTAAAGTGCTGGGATTACAGGCGTGAGCCACTGCGCCTCGCCTGATATTTACTTTTTAAAGATGTATAGGTTGGGCATGGTGGCTCAGTCTTGTAAACCCAGCACTTTGGGAGGCTAAGGTGGAAGGATTGCTTGAGCCCGGAGTTTGAGACCAGTTTAGACAACATAGTGAACCCCATCTCTACAAAAAATAAAAAAATGAAAAAATTAGCCAGGCATGATGGCATGCTCGTAGTCCCAGCTACTCGGGAGGCTAAGGCGGCAGGATCACTTGAGCCCAGGAGGTAAAGGCTGCAGTGAGCTGTGATTGTGCCACTGTATTCCAGCCTGGGCAGCAGAGCAAGACACTGCCTCAATAGATAGATAAAGATGTATGGATAGTGCATACTTTTTTAAAACTAAAATTTTTAAAGTTTATATGTATATGTGTATATTGTAAAAAAAATTCAAACAATTTTGGAAGTACACAAAGTAAAAAATGAAAGTTCTCTTTAATCTCATCCTACCCTCCTTATGTAATCACTTGTCAGGTTTTTGCGTGCGTGCCTTTCTGGATGTATTTGTACTCAGATATAATGCACATGTGTATGCACATACACATAGTGCTTATTGTTTTGTGACTTGCTTTTTTTTTTTTTTTTTTTGCTTAGCAGTGTATCTTGGAGAGCGTTCCATATCGGAACATACAGATAGTTCTACTTCATAATATGCACAATAGTTTACTTAGCCATTCCTATATTGGTGGAAGTTTAGATTTGTTTTGGTGGACATAGACATTTGTTTACAAAAGACACTGCTGTAAACATTCATGTACATATGTCTTTGTGCACATGTGCAACAGTGCCATAACTCCTAGAAATGGAATTACTGAGTCAAAGTTTGAGCAAACTTAAACTTGGATTGAATAAACTTAAATAATTTGCCCAAGACTGAACTGATTTATACTTCTATGAAGTATGAAGATACTGGTTTCTCCATATTCTTACCATTGCTGAATATAACATTTTATTTTATATTAATTTTATGAACATTAGTTTTATAAAATTTTTACTTTTAATCCAGTGGAAAATGGAATCACATTGTCTTTTTTTTTTGAGATGGAATCTTTGTCGCTCAGGTTGGAGTGCAATGGCATGATCTCAGCTCACTGCAACCTCTGCCTGCTGGGTTCAAGCAATTCTCCCGCCTCAGCCTCCCAAGTAGCTGGGATTACAGACACACACTGTCATGCCCAGCTAATTTTTGTATTTTTGTGGAGACAGGGTTTCGCTATGTTGGCCAGGCTGGTCTTGAACTCCTGACCTCAGGTGATCCGCCTGCCTTGGCCTCCCAAAGTGCTGAGATTACAAGCATGAGCCACCATGCCCAGTCTTTTTTTTTTTTTTTTTTTTGAGACAGAGTCTCACTCTGTCACCCAGGCTGGAGTCAGTGATGTGATCTCTGCTCACTTCTGCCTCAGCCTCCCAAGCAGCTGGGACTACAGGCATGCACCACTATGCCCAGCTAATTTTTGTATTTTTAGTAGAGACGGGGTTTTAGCATATCGGCCAGGCTGGTCTGAAACTCCTGACCTCGTAATCCACCCGCTTCAGCTTCCCAAAGTGCTGGGATTACAGGTGTGAGCCATCATGCCCGGCCTTTTTTTCTGGGGGGACAGAGTCTCGCTCTGTTGCCCAGGCTGGAGTGCAGTGGTGCAATCTTGGCTCACTGCAATCTCTGCTTCCCGAGTTCAAATGATTCTCATGCCTCAGCCCCGCAAGTAGCTGGGACTACAGGCATGTACCACCACACCTGGCTAATTTTTGTATTTTTAGTAGAGACAGGGTTTCACTATGTTGGCCAGGCTGGTCTTGAATTTGACCTCGGGTGATTAGCCCACCTCAGCCTCCCAAAGTGCTGGGATTACAGGTGTGAGCCACCGCGCCCAGCCAGAATCTCTTTATATGCAATATATAGTATCCCATCACCTTTGTATAGTGAAAATATTTTCCTCCAGGCTGTTACTTATTATCTGATTATACTTATGATGCCTTTCTTTGTTCAAAAGTTTTTATTATTAATGTGGTCAAACATAAATCCTAGCTGTTTTGGTTCTTGTTTAGTGCCAAGCAAGATGTCTTTTCCTATCTCAGTTTATTTTCCTCTAGTACTGTCATAGGGTTTTTACTTGTTTTGTGTTTTAGAACTTTAATTCACCTGGCGTTTAGTTTTGTTGTAGTGTAATGCAGAGATCTAATTTTATTTTTTCCCAGATGGATAGCCAGTTGCACAAGTATCATTTACTAAATAGAAATAAATAAAAGCACCTATTTTAGGTGCTTTTATTACTTGTTGAATTCTTATTTATACTTGGGTCTATTTCTGGAGTCCCTTGAGTTTCATTGTTCTATTTGTCTATTTTTATACCAGTACCACCCTGTTTTACTTGCTGTAGTTTTATAAAATCTTATGTCACAAAAGGGACAAGTCCTCATTTGTAGTTATTAATATTATTTCAGTTTTGGCCATTCACTCACATTTACTCTTTCTGATAAGTTTGAGAGTCAACTTACCAAGTTTCATTTAAAACAAACCAAAAAGACAAATGCCAATCAAAGTTTGCTTAAAGTTGCCATAAGTTTATAGATTAATTTGTGGAAAACTGAATAATTACAGTATGAATTTTTCTATCTAGTAATACAGAATGCCTTCTATTTATTTATTTGAGACAGGGTCTTGCTCTGTCACCCAGGCTGAAGTGCAGTGGTGCAATCAAGGCTCACGGCAGCCTCCACCTCCCAGGTTCAAGCAATTCTTGTGCCTCAGCCTCCTAACTAGCTGGGATCTGAGATGTGTGCCACCACGCCAGGCTAATTTTTGTATTTTTAGTAGAGATGGGATTTCACCATGTTAGCCAGGCTGGTCTTGAACTCTTGGCCTCAAGTGATCCGCATGCCTTCATCTCCCAAAGTGCTGGGATTACAGGCATGAGCCACCGCACCTGGTCTGCCTTTTTTTTTTTTTTTTTGAGACCGAGTCTTGCCCTGTCGCCCAGGCTGGAGTGCAGTGGCACGATCTCGGCTCACTATAAGCTCCGCCTCCTGGGTTCACGCCATTCTCCTGCCTCAGCCTCCTGAGTAGCTGGGACTACAGGCACCCGCCACCACACCTGGCTAATTTTTTGTATTTTTAGTGGAGATGGGGTTTCACCGTGTTAGCCAGGATGGTCTCGATCTTCTGACCTGGTGATCTGCCTGCCTCGGCCTCCCAAACAAAGTGCTGAGATTACAGGCGTGAGCCACCGCGCCCAGCCCTGCCTTCTTTTTATGATATTGATTTTATTTGTCTTACACTAAAGTGTTTTTAATTTCTTCATATAATTCTTACACATTTAGTTTTACATTTATTCCTAAATGTCACCAGCATCTGGTGAGGGCCTTCTCACTGTATCATCCCATGATGGGAGCCAAACTCATCCTTTTACAAGGAAACCACTCTGTGATAACGTGATAATGGCATTAATGGATTCTTTTTTTTTTTTTTTCTTTTGAGACGGAGTTTCGCTCTATTGCCTTGGCTGAAGTGCGGTGGTGTGATCTCAGCTCACTGCAACCTCTGCCTCCCGGGTTCAAGCGATTCTTCTGCCTCAGTCTCCTGAGTAGCTGGGATTACAGGCACCCGCCGTCATGCGTGGCTGATTTTTGTGTTTTTAGTAGAGACAGGGTTTCGCCATGTTGGTCAGGCTGATTTTCAACACCTAACCTCAGGTGATCCACCTGCCTCAGCCTCCCAAAGTGCTGGGGTTAAAGATGTGAGCCACTGCACCGGCCAATCTGTTGTTTTTTATGTCAAATACAATCCAAGCAGAAATCCATTCTTGAGGGTGGGGCTTCCATGATCCAAACACCTCTCATTAGGCCCCACGTCCCAACACTGCCACATTAGGGATCAAGTTTCCAACACAGGAACTTGGGGCACGTTCAAACCATAGCACATAATATTGATATTGAGCCAGTTTGGTATTTCTGTTCCTCTATCGGCGTGTAATTTGTAGTTAAGCCACTGATTATTTTGGACTTTGGTCTAGGAGTAACCTGTATGAGTTTGTCTATCTCTTCTCTGACCTATCTTGAGTGCTGTCATAGTAGGTCTTTTTTTTTTTTTTTTTTTTTTTAAGGGACAGAGTCTCATTCTGTTTCCTAGGCTAGAGTGCAGTGGTACAGTTATAGCTTACTGCCGCCTCTAACTCCTGGGGCTCAAGCTACCCACTTGGCTGAGCCTTCCGAGTAGCCAGGACTACAGGTGCACGTCACCATGACAGGCTAATTTTTCCATTTTTTGTAGGGATGACATCTTGCTATGGTGCATAGGCTGATCTCAAACTCCTGGCCTCGAGCAACCCTCTCGTCTTGACCTTCCAAAGTGCTGAGATTACAGGCATGAGCCACAGTGCGTAGTCCCTGTTTTTAGAAGTTTGTTCTTCAAGAGATTCTTCTAGTTGTAACATCTAATAATGATATTTTGCTGTGGCTGTTAGTATAGTATAGTATGTGTAGATGTCATTTTTGGTAGCATACATATTATTTCTGTTTTATAAATAAACAGATCTAAGAAAGATTAAACAAATTACCCACTGTCACACTGGGTTGTGACAGAGTTATAAAACTTTAGTTTTAGTTATAAAACCTTAAGCACTCTAGTTCAGTGTTCTGAGTGTGTGATTTCATGTAAGGTTCAGGTTCTTGTGATCTTTGCTGAGTTCTTTGTGTTTCTCCAAATTTATTTCCCCATTAGTTTGATAATTTTGCAAATGCTCAAATGTTATGTTTGCTTAATATTATTATTTAGGATTCTGTCTCCTTTGTACATTTTTCTGGTGTTGATTCTTAAATTCAAATAAATTCTAGTTCCTAAAGAGCACCTGAGATACTAAAATGTGATTATTTCATGAAGAGGATCTTTACATGTTGCATTTTCAAGCAGTTGAATCTTTTGGGCCAACTTTCTTGCTTTTGAAATTCCTTAGGCAAATGATATTCTCATTTTAATGTTATTTACCTTTTTATAATAAGAAAGAAGTACAGGCCAGGCGCGGTGGCTCACACCTGTAATCCGTGCACTTTGGGAGGCCGAGGTGGGCGGATCACGAGGTCAGGAGATCGAGACCATCCTGGCTAACATGGTGAGACCCTGCCTGTACTAAAAATACAAAAATTAGCCTGGCATGTTGGCGGGCGCCTGTAGTCCCAGCTACTCGGGAGGCTGAGGCAGGAGAATGGCGTGAACCTGGGAGGCAGAGCTTGCAGTGAGCCAAGATCGCGCCACCGCACTCCAGCCTGGGCAACAGAGGGAGACTCCATCTCTAAAAAAAAATAAAAAATAAGAAAGAAGTACAGTGTGGCCTGTTTAGTGGTTGTTAAGAAACCTTTTTTCTTTTTTTTTTTTTTTTTTTGAGATAAAGTCTTGCTCTGTCACCCAGGCTGGAGTGCAAAGGCATGATCTCAGCTCACTGCAACCTCTGCCTCCTGGGTTCAAGTGATTCTCCTGTTTCAGCCTCCTGAGTAGCTGGGATTACAGGTGCCCGCCACCACGCCTGGCTAATTTTTTTGTATTTTTGTAAAGATGGGGTTTCACCATGTTGGCCAGGCTGGTGTCGAACTCCTGACCTCAAGTGATCCACCCGTCTCAGCCTCCCAAAGTGCTGGGATTACAGACCTGAGCCCCCACACCTGGCCTGAAACCTTTCTTTTATAAGGAGAAATAGGAGAGGCTGGTCTTGAACTCCTGACCTCAAGTGTTCCACCTGCCTCAGCCTCCCAAAGGGCTGAGATTACAGGTGTGAGCCACCACACCCAGCCTGAAACCTTTATCTTATAAGGAGAAGTAGGAGAGGCTAGGCCTTCATCTGAGTGATTTGATGTATACAAAGATCCATGTTACCTTTGCTGTGTGCCTTTCTCCAGGTATTCTCTTAAGAACTGAATTAACTGATTCCTAGGCTTTTAGACCACCTGCAACAATATCTAGGTTGTAGTGATACATGAGAGACTTCTTAAGATATTGCTTCTTCCTAGAAATAAGATGAGTATGTAACTTGTATGTTCTACAGTGACAATAAGAATTTATCATTTAATTAACAAGACTAAGTGAGCGTTTCCTAAGAGTAACAAGACCCCTGTGCCTATCCATTAATGCTGGAAGTTTTCAAATTATTGCCTCTGAGCTCCTGGACTCCCTGAAGGTGTCTAAGCCTGGTCTCCATCTTTGACCATTTTCCATTCCTTCTAATGTAGGGAATGCAAATTGATTCAAAATGGCTGAGATGAATTAAAAGAAATAAAAATACTGGAATTGACCAATTACAGAATAAAATTAAAGTGTGAAAATTCCAGTTTACGTTTCCTATAGGGTCCATTTGGCATATAAATCAGATGCTATAATCCTCTATTATCTGAGAAGCCATCCGTAAAATGTTAGAGGGACATCCAGGCCTTACATAGATGAGGAAACAATCTGTTTAGTGGCTTCTAACTCACTCTTAAGTTTTATTTATTCTATTTTCTTGCCATTGCTTCTGAAGAATCAGCTTCCCCAAGCAGACAATCATCAAGTCATTAAAGTCATAAAGACTTTAAGTTATGCAAATATGGAGAATTACTTTTATTAATTAGTAGTGAGGCTCAAGTCATTTTATAGATGCAAGTCACTATTGCATCCTTTGTTAATATAACCCTTTTCCTTCCTCTGTGTCAGCACATTGCTTGGCACTTTGTAGACAGCAAATATTTATGGATTTACAGTAAGTCGAAGTGTTGCCTGAATTAAGGTTTTGTTACATGAATATTGTCATCCAAAAGACCACCAGGATGGCTACATAGTAGAAAGAAGAGCTTTATTGGTGATATCAGTTTGCATACTGGGGAGAGAGTCCCTGGCATAGATTGTGCTCCATCTTTGAGGAGGAGATGGGCAGGTTGGGTTTTATGCTTCACAGGGCTTAATATTATATAGTAGTCTTAAATATGAAGCTGGTTTGGGAGAAAAGCTATACATATTTATGAGGGGAATTGGGCACATGTGCAATGGGTAAACATATGTAACATACATCCCATGTTCATTTTGGGGTGGGCTTTTAGCATTAAAATAAGGTGGACTTGTTGGGCGTGGTGGCTCACACCTGTAATCCCAGCACTTTGGGAGGCCGAGGCCAGTGGATCATGAGGTCAAGTGATCAAGACCATCCAGGCCAATATGGTGAAACCCTGTCTTTACTAAAAATACAAAACTTAGCTGGGCATGGTGGTGCGCACCTGTAATCCCAGCTACTCTGGAGGCTGAGACAGGAGAATCACTTGAACCCAGGAGGCGGAGGTTGCAGTGAGCCGAGATCGCGCCACTGCACTCCAGCCTGGGCGACAGAGCAAGACTCTATCTCAAAAATAAATACATAAATAAAATAAGGTGGAATTTGGCTCTTTAGGTCAAAGGCGAACTATAGGACACAAAGACAAGTTTGTGTGCAACCTCTATAAAGTGGCTGAAACTGGCTTAAGATCTGCAACTGCATATCAGAAAAGAATGTTTCTGAGGCTGGTCCTCTGTCCAATCACAGTTACAGTGGTCTGGGTTGTAAATCAGAGTTAGGAGGGGTCTGATAATTTGCAAGAGTGTGATTTTTTCTTGTAGCCGTAGGAATTTAGAAATTTGCCATGTCAGCCAGGCCCTGAGCCCCGGACCTGTAAGCAACTTTTGTTTCCTTAACCTTAGGGTCCATCTTAGTTGATAAAGGGATGTCTATTTTGGTCTTTCAGATCACAAGGGAAAAACATTGAGGAAAATGTTGTAATTGTCTGCAATTGAATGGATTATATCCTTCCTTTTTCTCCTTTCTAGGATATAAGCTTTTAAAATACTACTCTTTTTTTTTTTTTTTTTTGACGGAGTTTTGCTCTTATTGCCCAGGCTGGAGTGCAATGGCGCGATCTTGGCTCACCACAACCTCCGCCTCCCAGGTTCAAGCAATTTTCCTGTCTCAGCCTCCTGAATACCTGGGATTACAGGCATGCGCCACTATGCCTGGCTAATTTTGTATTTTTAGTAGAAATGGGGTTTCTCCATGTTGGTCAGGCTGGTCTTGAACTCCTGACCTCAGGTGATTCGCCTGCCTTGGCCTCCCAAATTGTTGGGATTATAGGCGTGAGCCACAGCACCCGGCCTTTTTTTTTTTTTTTTCGAGACGGAGTTTGGCTCTTGTTGCCTAGGCTGGACGGCAGTGGCACGATCTTGGCTCACTGCAACCTCCGCCTTCTGGGTTCAAGCGATTCTCCTGCCTCAGCCTCCCCAGTAGCTGGGATTACAGGCACACACCACCACGCCCGGCTAATTTTTTGTATTTTTAGTAGAGACAGGGTTTCACCATGGCCAGGCTGGTCTTGAACTCCTGACCTCAGGTGATCCGCCCGACTTGGCCTCCCAGAGTGTTGGGATCACAGGCATAAACCACCACGCCCAGCCTGGAGATGGAGTTTCACTCTTGTTGCTCAAGCTGGAGTGCAGTGGCACGATCTCGGCTCACTGCAACCTCCGCCTCCCGGGTTCAAGCAATTCTCCTGCCTCAGCCTCCTGAGTAGCTGGGATTACAGGCACATGCCACCACGCCTGGCTAATTTAAAATATTACTCTTTATTAGAAAAAGAAACATGCTTCATGCTAATTTGGAGGTTATCTGCAAAAGCTTTCTACTTAAGAAAATATTTAGCTTCGTTGAGAACTTCCATACTTTAATATGTGGATTTGCGATGAAATATGCATGGTCAAATGCAATGCACACATTTACAAATACTGTGAGAGCAAACTAAAAATGAGATTAGGAATCCACTAGCAATTTAAGTCAGATATTATACTCAGCTTTCTCCCACTAGATATTTTTTTCTTAATGATAAGCTTCCTTTAAGAGTGATTATAGGAAAAACCCTTTTTTCCAACCTCTATGGGTGGGACTGGAAGGAATTCTAAAAAGTTGGCCAGTAAATATCTGGGCAGTGTATTCTTACAGTCAAAGGAAAGTAAGTTCCCCAGGGATGGCAAGTATTTTTTCTGGAAAATCCTTATCATATGTCTTATTTATATTACAGATGTTCCTCAACTTAAAATGTGGTTGTGTCCCAGAAAACCCATTGTAAGTTGAAAATGTAGTAAGTCAAAGTGTGCTTTAAACTTACAATACAGTATTTTCAGTTTACGATGGATTTGGAGGTAACCCCCATCATAAATGAGGAGTGTACTGAATGTGTATGCTTTCACACCATTGTAAAGTCGAAAAATCCTAAATTGAACCATCCGAAGTTAGAGATTGTCTGTAACTGGTAAAAGTACTATTAGAACTGTTTTGAGGTTGGGTGTGGTGCCTCAGGCCTGTAATCCCAGCACTTTGGGAGGCCGAGGCGGGTGGATCATTTGAGGTCAGGAGTTCAAGACCAGCCTGACCAACATGGTGAAACTGTCTACTAAACATACAAAAAAATTTGCTGCGCATGGTGGCGGCTGCAGTGGTGGGCGCCTGTAGTACCAGCTACTTGGGAGGCTGAGGCAGGAGAATCGCTTGAACCCTGGAGGTGGAGGTTGCAGTGAGCCGAGATTGTACCACTGCACTCCAGCCTGGGCAACAGAGTGAGACTCCGCCTCAAAAACAAATAAACAAACAAACAAAAAACAGGCACGGTGGCTCACGCTTGTAATCCCAACACTTTGGAAGGCCGAGGCTGACGGATCATGAGATCAGGAGTTCAAGACCAGCCTGGACAACATGGTGAAACCCCATCTCTGCTAAAAATACAAATATTAGCCAGGTGTGGTGGCGGGCACCTATAGTCCCAGCTCCTCGGGACGTTGAGGCAGGAGAATCGCTTGAACCTGGGAGGCAGAGGTTGCAGTGAGCCAGGATTGCGCCACTGCACTCCAGGCTAGGTGATCGACCGAGATTCCGTCTAAAAGGAAAAAAAATGTTTTGAAACAGATAATAGACTTACATAAAGTGTTGCTGGGATGTTGTGGGCTCTAAAGCTGTTGTTTGCAGCAGGTACCAGACTGGTGCATCTGGATGACCTCCCCCCATAGTACCTGCAGCATTTTGGGGTGTTTGGGTGAAGGTGGATTGTTGACAGCACATAACCAGCATTTAGATTTTAAGGATCTGCCTTTAGATATGGGTTCATGGCCAAAAGAAAAAAAAAGATTCTAAGGTTTAGTAGTCTTATGGAGAATGCAACATAACCTTAGTCTTCGATGCTTCATAGATGTAAATCTAAAGGACGCCTAATAGTTTTATATATATATTTTTTGTTTGTTTGTTTTGTTTTGGTTTGGTTTTTTTGTTTGTTTGTTTGAGACAGTCTTGCTCTGTCACCCAGGCTGGCGTGCAGTGGCGCAATCTCAGCTCACTGCAAGCTCCGCCTCCCGGGTTCACGCCATTCTCCTGCCTCAGCCTCCCAAGTAGCAGGACTACAGGCGCCTGCCACCACGCCTGGCTAATTTTTTGTATTTTTAGTAGAGACGGGGGTTTCACCATGTTAGCCAGGATGGTCTTGATCTCCTGACCTGGTGATCCACCCGCCTCAGCCTCCCAAAGTGCTGGGATTATAGGTGTGAGCCACCATGCCCAGCCATATATTTATATTTTTAATATATAATAATATAAATTATATACTATATTACATATAAATTTTATATATTATATGCCATAAGTTATGATATAAATTGTATAATATATAATATATGAAAATGTAATTTATATATTATACATTATGTGAATTTATATATGTTTTGTTTTGTTTTTTAGAGACAGAGTCTTGCTCTGTCTCCCAGGCTGGAGGGCAGTGGCATGATCATAGCTCACTACATCCTGGGCTCAAGTTTTCCTCCTGCCTCAAACTCCTAAGTAGCTGGGACTACAGGTGCACATAGCCTTGCCCAGCAAATGTTTTTATTTTTTGTAGAAACATGTTCACTGTGTTGCGCATGCTGGTCTTGAGCGTCTGACCTCAAGCAATCCTCTCACCTTGGCTTCCCAAAGTGCTAGAATTACAGGTGTGAGCCACTGTACCTGGCCGTACCCAATAGTTTTAATTCACTTCAGTTGCTTTAAAAATACATTTGTATTTAATATCTCTGCTATGTTCCCTCTATAATGCAAGAGAAGCTCAGTAGCAGTTCAGTGGCAATTTCTAATTGCCACATTAATGGGAGGAAGTGCCTGGCATCTGGATCTCTTCCTGCCTTCAAAGACTTGCCATTTGTGCATCATTTGTACCCTGAAGATCTTTTTTTTTTTTTTTGTCTTGTGTTTTCGTTGTTTTCTGAATTTAGGAGAGATGCAGTTGCTAAGAAATGAGATAAGTTAGGCCAGTTGGGATGGCTCATGCCTGTAATCTCAGCACTTTGAGAAGCTGAGGCAGGTGGATTGCTTGAGCCCAGGAGTTTGAGACCAGCCTGGGTAACATGGCAAAACCCCATCTCTACAAAAAGTACAAAAATTAGCTGGATGCAGTGGCATGTACCACTAGTCCCAGCTACTCGGGAGGCTGAGGTGGGAGAATTGCTTAAGCCTAGGAGGTGGAGGTTATAGTGAGCTGAGATCGTGCCACTGCACTCCAATCTGGGTGACAGAGTGAGACCCTGTCTCAAAAAAAAAAAAAAAAAGTGAGAGAAATTGAACAAGATGGTTTGATATTTGACCCCATAAAGTTGTCAACATTTGCCTAGTTGTAGTAAAATAGAGTACCATTTTGTACTTGTTGTGAACATGGTGCTTTTTTCTCCCTCCAAATCTTAGTGCATGATCCGTAAAGGTTATTGAATTGTTTTTCAACTTCTTAAAGGAAAAATTTCAGTTAAAATTTTAGGCACTTATTCTAAATGAATTGAGTTTATATATTTGTCACTAGAAAATTACTATCTTTAGGTCAGGCATGGTGGCTCATGCCTGTAATCCCAGCACTTTGGGAGGCCGAGGTGGGTAGATCACCTGAGGTTAGGAGTTCGAGACCAGCCTGGCCAACATGGTAAAACCCCATCTCTACTGAAAATACAGAAATTAGCCAGGCATGGTGGTGCACGCCTGTAATCCCAGCTGCTTGGGAGGCTGAGGCACGCGAATTGCTTGAACCTGGGAAGCAGAGGTTGCAGTGAGCAGAGATGGTGCTCCAGCCTAGGCGACAGAGCAAGACCCTGTCTGAACAACAACAACAAAAAGCCACGATTTTTAGTTCAATAGTAGCTTGTAATTGTAGTTATAGTATTTGTAAGTTGCTATGGTTTTGAGTGTTGCTTTTAAGACTGTTGTTAGTTACCCACTAAGTTTTAATTGCAAGGAAATTTCAGAGAATGTGAAAAAGTTTTGGTTAAGACTGGAAAATATCTATTCTTGCTTTCCTCAAAACTGGCTTCAGTGATTACTTAATGACAGCAGAATGCTTTGAAAATATGCTCTTTAAAGTCTAGCTGTTACTAAAATACCATAATAACTTATATGTAAGTGATAGTTGCTTTTTTGTTGTTGCTGCAACTGTGGTAAGAGGAAAGCATTATTAGCAAAATCCTTAAGAAAAATATAGTATAAAAAACTGGTAAATAGAGAATTTACAAAAATGGAATGTGGGTGAGAACATGAGACACATGTGTATAGGTTTGACATCTTTATATTCATTTGAATTCTTTGTTTCCTTGGACTTTGCAGGTAAGGTTGTTTTTTCTTTTTGACAAACTGTATAATAATAATAATTATTTTTATTTGAGATGGAGTCTCACTCTGTCACCCAGGCTGGAGTGCAGTGGTGTGATCTTGGCTCACTGCAACTTCTGCTGCCTGAGTTCAAGTGATTCTCCTGCCTCAGCCTCCTGAGTAGCTGGGATTACAGGCACCTGCAACCACACCTGGCTAATTTTTTGTATTTTTAGTAGAGACAGGGTTTCGCCATGTTGGCCAGGCTGGTCTCAAACTCCTGACCTCAGGTGATCCACCCGCCTTGGCCTCCCAAAGTGCTGGGATTATAGGTGTGAGCCACCGCACCCAGCCTTTTTTTCTTTCTTTTAAAAAAAAAGTTTAATAGAGATGAGGTCTGTGTTGCTTAGGCTGGTCTTGAACTCCTGGGCTCAAGCCATCCTTCTGCATCAGCCTCCCAAAGTGCTAGGATTACAAGCATGATCTACCTTGCCCAGCCTGACCATTTCTTCTAATGGAAGGTCCTATATGACAGAGAGACATGGATGATATTAGGATCTTGTTTATTCTCATCAAACTTTATACTCAATTATAGTCAGCAAATAAACTATTTAGAGTTTTCTTTTCATTTGCTGACTACCTTACCGTTAACTTATTATTTAGTAAGCAAGAACAAATTTAACCAGCAATTTCGGGAATGAGAAAAGGAGTAAAGAATATATATGGCTTCTGTAATCCGAAAACAGAAAACTCACCATAACCTGGGTAATTGAAAGAGTTGCTTTTGTAAAATGTGCCGTTGAAATACTCTTTAAAAAGGGGGTTGGGAGTGTGGGCTGCCTCAAATCTTAACATCGAAGCTAAAGATAACATTTAATTTATCACATATTTATTGTATACTTGGATAAAATGAAAACTCCATTGAGGGAGTCTTAAGAATTTGGGATGATATGGTTGTTGTAACTGAGCGATAAATATAGTTATCTTGGTGTCTTTAATATTTGAGAGTAAAAGCATTTTTAAAATCAATTGTATGATTCTTTTAATAAAAAGGAACTTGCAAGTTTATGTGGAAGAAGAAGCTTTTCTTTTTGTTTTTCTTTTTTCACTTTTTGAGACAATGTCTTGCTCTGTCACCCAGGCTGGAGGGCAGTGGTGCAATCACGGTTCACTGCAACCTTAAACTCCCAGACTCAAACAGTCCTTTTGCATCAGCCTTACAAGTAGCTAGGACTACAGGCATGAATCACCATACCCAGCTAATTTTTAAATTTATTTTTTATTTTTTATTTTTATTTGAGATGGAGTCTCGCTGTCGCCCAGGCTGGAGTGCGGTGGCACGATCTCAGCTCACTGCAACCTCCGCCTCCCGGGTTCAAGCGATTCTCCTGCCTCAGCCTCCTGAGTAGCTGGGATTACAGGCATGCACCACCATGCCTGGCTAATTTTTGTGTTTTTAGAGAGATGGGGTTTCACCATGTTCAGGCTGGTCTCAAACTCCTGACCTCATGATCCACCCACCTCAGCCTCCCAAATTGTTGGGATTACAGGTGTGAGCCACTACGCCCAGCCAGGATATATTTATCTGAACATTATAGCTATGAAGAATAAAGATATCCATTAAGCAAACTGGATTATGGGAAATATCTTAAATTTTTCTTTATTATTTAATATACAAGCAAAACTTCTTTATTGTAGAAAAATTAGAATATAGAAATTAACACAAAGGAAAAAAAGTATAGTCCTACCACTGGGTTGAATGAATTCTGATATTTTTCCTATGTGTGCTTCTTTCAGAAATATGGCTACACACACCTTTCTGCAGGAGAGCTGCTTCGTGATGAAAGGAAGAACCCAGATTCACAGTATGGTGAACTTATTGAAAAGTACATTAAAGAAGGAAAGATTGTACCAGTTGAGATAACCATCAGTTTATTAAAGAGGGTAAGGAGTGTGAATGCCAACCAGTTCAAACCAGCGAGGAAAGAAGAAATTAAATTCACCTTTTGGCCAGGCAGTTGCTCATGCTTGTGATCCCAGCATTTTGGGAAGCCAAAGCAAGAGGATCACTTGAGGCCAGGAATTCAAGACCAGCCTGGACAACCTAGTGAAACCCCATCTCTACAAAAAAATTTTTTAAAAAGCCATGCGTGGTGGCATATGCCTGTAGTCCCAGCTGCTTGTGAGACAGAGGCAGAAGGATTGCTTGACCCCAGAAGTTCAAGTCCAGCCTGGGAAACATAGTGAGACCTCCTCTCAAAAATAAATAAATAAACAACAATAATAATAAAAATAAATCCACCTTTCATATGTGTAATGAAAAATATCAAAGATTTTTTGTTTTGTTTTGTTTTGAGACAGTGTCTTTGTCACCCACGCTGGTGTGCAGTGTCCTGATCACAGCTTGCTGCAGCCTCAACCTTCCAGGCTTAAGCCATCTTCCCACCTCAGCCTCCTGAATAGCTGGGACTACAGGTGCATGCCACCACACCTAGCTAATTTTTTTCTATTTTTTGTGGAGACAGGGTCTCACTATGTTGTGTAGGCTAGGCTGGAACTCCTGGGCTCAAGTGATCCTCTCACCTCGGCCTCCCAAAGTGCTGGGATTACAGGAGAGAGCCACCACACCTAGCTCAGAGTATTGAATTTCTTGCTTGTGGAAGGTGGTTATGCTTGAGAATGGCAGAACTGGAAACTTTGCTTTCACCTGGGAAGAAAGCGGACAGTGGCAAGGATTCTCTGCTTTGATTTAGGATCACCTATAGCTCAACTTAACATCCATTTATGTGCACTTGGTCCTTTCTTCCCAACATTCAGACAGTTATTCTCTTCCATTTCTGTTTCATCTTTTTTCCTCCCTCTCCTGCTCCCTTTCCTTTTTTCTTTTTTGCTTGCTTTCTTTTTTTTTTGAGATAGAGTCTCGCTCTGTCGCCAGGCTGGAGTGTAGTGGCGCGATCTCGGCTCACTGCAACCTCTGCCTCCCGGGTTCAAGAGATTCTCCTGTCTCAGCCTCCCGAGTAGCTGGGACTACAGGCGTGCACCACCATGCCCAGCTAATTTTTGTATTTTTAATAGAGATAGGGTTTCACCATGTTGGCCATGATGGTCTCGATCTCTTGACCTCATGATCTGCCTGCCTCAGCCTCCCAAAGTGCTGGGATTAGAGGTGTGAGCCACCGTGCCCGGCCCCCAATTTTTTTTTTTTTAAATAAACCTCTTTCTTTCTTCTTTCTCTCTCTTTTTTTTTTTTTTTTTGGCGGGGAGACGGAGTTTCGCTCTGTCGCCCAGGCTGGAGTGCAGTGGCGTGAACTCGGCTCACTGCAAGCTCCGCCTCCTGGGTTCACGCCATTCTCCTGTCTCAGCCTTCCGAGTAGCTGGGAGTACAGGCGCCCGCCATCAAGCCTGGATAATTTTTTGTGTATTTTTTAGTAGAGACGGGGTTTCACCGTGTTAGCCAGGATGGTCTCCATCTCCTGACCTCACGATCCACCCGCTTGGGCCTCCCAAAGTGCTGGGATTACAGGCGTGAGACACCATGCCCAGCCCTTTCTCTGTTTTTTAACCCACGTCCCTCTCATCATTGATGTTCGCTCAGCCATGGTGTCTACTTTTCTGGTGTATCACCATCTTCAATGTGAAATGCTAAGACTTAAGAACTTTTAAAACTAAAATATGTCACATCTGAGGCTGGGCGCAGTGGCTCACGCCTGTAATCCCAGCACTTTGGGAGGCCGAGGCAGGGGGATCACTTGAGGTCAGGAGTTCGAGACCAGTCTGGCCAACATGGTGAAACCCCGTCTCTACCAAAAAATATAAAAAATTAGCCAAGTGTGGTGGCACACACCTGTAATCCCAGTTACTTGGGAGGCTGAGGCAGAAGAATCGCATGAACCTGGGAGGCAGAGGTTTTGGTGAGCCAAGATCATGCTACTGCACTCCAGGTTGGGTGACAGAGTGAAACTCTGTTTCTTAAAAAAAAAAAAATGTCCGGGTGTGGTGGCTCACGCCTGTAATCCCAGAACTTTAAGAGGCCAAGGTGGGTGAATTACGAGGTCAGGAGTTCAAGACCAACATGGCCAACATGGTGAAACCCCATCTCTACTAAAAATACAAAAAAAAAAAAAAAAAAATTAGTCGGCCGTGGTGGCAGGCACCTGTAATCCCAGCTGCTCGGGAGGCTGAGGCAGGAGAATTGCTTGAACCAAGGAGGCAGAGGCGGAGGTTGCAGTGAGCCAGGATCGCACCATTGTACTCCAGCCTGGGCAACAGGGTGAGATTCCGCCTCAAAAAATAAATAAATAAATAAATAAATGTCACATCTGAAAAACAGACACCCTGTATTTACTAGGTAACTCTTCATTCTAGATTCCTAGAACTATAATCATTAACAGGTATTTTCACATAGAAGAACAGTGAGGGAGAAAAAGAAATGCAATATTGGGAACAACAAGAAATGGCTGAAGCCTGATGGAAAAGAGCTATGTAAGCATCTGGTTGGAACTAAAGACATTGGGGATGAAAAGTGGCTTGTACACACATTCTTACCTCTTGTCTCAGAGGTTGGAGTAACCTGCTTCCATTCCAAAATAAACAAATCTCTCTCCCTATTCACTCTTTCTAATGTCCTTTCTCTGCTCTATAAAGCAGAGAAAGTATTATGAAAGAGCATATGGTTTTTACTTTTTCACTCTCTACTTTTCCACTCTCTACTTTTCAACCCTTTGCAGTCAGATTCTGTTTCCATCTCCATTGCAGCTGCTCTTGCATGTTACCAATGATGATCTCTATCAAATAATACTTTTGTCATTATTTTTCTTGTAGTATTTAACTTTAATCAGTCTGTTTGAAAATCATTCCTCCTTTGTTCTTTATGACAGCGTCTCTTTTTCTTCTCTCCCTACTGAGTGACTGCTATTTCTCTATCCTCTTTAATAGTTATTCTTTTGCAAGTTTCCAAAACCATGATGCTTCTCAGGGTTTTATACTTGGTCTTATTCAGCTCTCATTTCATATGTTTCTTTCTGGATGGTTTTAGCCATACCCAAAGCTTTCACTATGCTCATGCTGCTAAAGTCTATAGCTCTAAAACAAAATGTTTGTTTTGAATTCCAGACATATATTTTTAACTACCTAACTACTAGGCCTTTATTTGAATGTCTCACAAGTGTCTCAAAATCAACATGTCAGAGGCTGAGTGTATTGTCTAAAATGTGATCTTCCTTTACTTCCTGTCTTGGTTAATGGTTCTGCCATCTACCTAGCTACTCAAGGCATAAATCTGGGAATCATCCTATATTCTCCTGCCTCTTCCTCACTTTCCCAAATCCATTCAGTGAGCATATCTTTCCAGTTATTTTTCTTTTAATCCTCTTCTGTTAGTCTCTTCTCTGTCATCACCTTAGTTCACATCCTCTTTTTTCCTATTTTTTTTTTTTTTTGAGACAGAGTCTCTCACTCTGTCCGCCAGGCTGGAGTGCTGTGGCACGATCTCGGCTTACTGAAACCTCCACCTCCTGGGTTCAAGCATTTCTCTGCCTCAGCCTCCCCAGTAGCTGGGATTACAGGTGCCAGCCACCACGCCCAGCTAATTTTTGTATTTTTAGTAGAGACGGGGTTTCACCATCTTGGCCGGGCTGGTTCTTTTGTTGCCTTTGTTTTGGGGCAGCCAGTGACATTTGGGTTTAATTAGCTTCCGTTAAAAAGTATTTTATCCTACATTAATAATTAATGCTAATGGTCTTTTATATTTGTCCAAAGCTTTGTGTTGTTGGACTTGAATTATATGAATAGCAGAGTTGAGCACCTGTAGAAGTAATATACTTTCCACTATAGCAAAACGACTTGGGAAGAGCAAAGGGAATAAAGAGAGGGTCTCCAGTTGCTGGAGCAAAGATAATGGTTAATGGTTATTTTCCTCTTATTGCCGCTCTTATTGTTTATTTATAACTTTGTGAATGTGTATGTGAAAGTAACATATACTTAACTGTAGAAAATTTGGAAACCACAGAAAAAAATTGTGTGTATAAAATGAGGTGGTTTTGAGAGGGGCATATACCCATAACCACACCAACTTGAGGCAACCATCTTAATACATTGATAGATTTCCTTCTAGTCTTTTTTCTTTCTTTCTTTTTTTCTTTTCTTTTTTTTTTTTGCTATGTACCCTCCACCCTTTACTTATGGTTTAAATAATAATAATAAAACACCCATGTATACACTACCATGCTTGAGAAATTTCATTTTGTTAATGTTGTATTGAACCTAAATCTTCTTTTTCCTTTAGGAAATGGATCAGACAATGGCTGCCAATGCTCAGAAGAATAAATTCTTGATTGATGGGTTTCCAAGAAATCAAGACAACCTTCAAGGATGGAACAAGACCATGGATGGGAAGGCAGATGTATCTTTCGTTCTCTTTTTTGACTGTAATAATGAGGTAATGAAAATCTTCATCTGCCCACATAGGCTTTAAGCAACTGTTAGTCAACTATTAGAAAAAACAAAGGATTTTTTAACTTATATTTTATATTGGCAGCAGTGTTTTTTGAATTGGTAGATTGGATGGACGGAACAGCACTGTCTTGCTGTTGGAGTATTAAAAACTATTTGGCATTAGCAGCCTTGTGGAGCTAAATTTTCCTTTATTTTCAAAATAACAAGAATCAGTTTTGATTTTTAAAAAATAAGAATTGACATACATAATAATATTAGGTAATGAAGCTGAACTACTTTCTTAGGTAGACATTATTATCAAAGAGTATTTTGCCTTAGGGTGTTGTTTACTGGAAGAGAAACACGTTTCTGAGAAGTTGGGAAAACTTTCTGTTTTAAAGAAACATACAGGGCTGGGTGCGGTGGCTCACGCTTGTAATCCTAGCAGTTTGGGAAGCCAAGGTGGGCGATCACCTTATGTCAGGAGTTCAAGACCGGCCTGGCCAACATGGTGAAACCCCTTCTCTACTAAAAATACAAAAATTAGCCTGGCATGGTGGCATATGCCTGTAATCCCAGCTACTTGGGAGGCTGAGGCAGGAGAATTGCTTGAACCTGGGAGGCAGAGGTTGCAGTGAGCCAAGATGGCACCACTGCACTCCAGCCTGGGCGACAGAGCAAGACTGTCTCAAAAAAAAGAAAAAAAAAAAGAAACATACAGGATAGCCTGATTTGTCTTAAGAGTGAAATGATCTTGAAAAAAGTAAAAAAATGTACTTTTCTTTCTGGTAGTTCTAATAATGAAGCCAGACATACTTTTGAATAACTAAATACATTTCTCAGAATCATTTAATTAAAAAGCCTGAAGTAGTTAGTACCTTGAAAGAAGTTGGCTGTTCTTAGGTTGAATTGTAAATGTGCCCCTGGTGGAGAATCTTGCTGCAGCCTTTGTGTTGTTTTATTTTATTTTATTTTTTTGAGACAGAGTCTCACTCTGTTGCCCAGGCTGGAGTACAGTGGCACGATCTTAGCTCACTGCAACCTCCCAGGTTCAAGCAGTTCTCCTGCCTCAGCCTCCCAAGTAGCTGGGATTACAGGCATGTGCACCATGCCTAGTTAATTTTTGTATTTTTAGTAGAGACGGGGTTTTGCCATGTTGGCCAGGCTGGTCTCGAACTCCTGACCTCAGGTGATCCACCCGCCTTAGCCTTCCAGAGTGTTGGAATTGCAGGCCTGAGCCACCATGCCTGGCCTTTTGCATTGTTTTAAAACGTAACTCTCTTCTTCCAACCCCCCAAAATATGTTTTCATTTACCCTTCAAAGTTAACTTTAGAATGTTACCACAGCTTTATAACAAGGAATGTTTATTCACAATTAACAAAGGATGCTTTATTCAAATGCAAATATGTTGACTCAAATATTTTCAAATTTATGGAATTATCAAAAAGCAGCCAAAAATGAAACAAAGTTTGAGGCATGTAATTCATACCTAATAAGTTAATAATATATCTGAGATGGAATCATACACATACAGATCTTTTTATTACAGTTTGAAAAAAAATAAGCAGGAAAAACTGAGTCATGAATGAATTCTTATTATGCTCTGTACTTATTTAACCTAGTTTATATAAATTGAACCACATGTTTACGTTTAAAAGGACTTTGCATGTTGATTAATGAATTAGACACATTGGGTTTATTGCAGGGTTTTTTTGGTCATCTCTTTAAACTCTTGTTTTCTTTGCAGGTTAAAAGAATGGCAAATTCATATCTATATTTTTAATAACTTTGTATCTCTTTTTAGATTTGTATTGAACGATGTCTTGAGAGGGGAAAGAGTAGTGGTAGGAGTGATGACAACAGAGAGAGCTTGGAAAAGAGGTACTTGGCAGTTTTTACATACAACCACTTCAATCCCAGACCTGCCTTATTTGGTACAGGAATAAAAGAGTCACATTTAAACATGTAAAATGGCTTGTTTAAGATGTTAGGTCAATCAGTCGGGGCAGATCCAGTGTTCTGTGAGCTCTCCTATAACATGTAGAAGAAAGGATAGATACCTAGAACCTTGCAATATTTACTTCTTTTGCAGAATTCAGACCTACCTTCAGTCAACAAAGCCAATTATTGACTTATATGAAGAAATGGGGAAAGTCAAGAAAATAGATGCTTCTAAATCTGTTGATGAAGTAAGTGTTCCTAGCCTGTCTTTAAAAAAATATGTCAAATAAAAATGTGATTATTTGTTTTGGGGTAAGCAGGAAAAAAAGAAATACTATCACAGATTAGTTAGTTTTTCAAGACACTGGAAGCCAGTCATGGTGGCTCATGCTTGTAATCCCAGCACAAGTGTTCAAGACCAGCCTGGGCAACATACTGGGACTCTGTCTCTTAAAAAAAAAAGAAGACACTGGGGACTAAATGAAAAATTAGGGTTTTTTTCCTTTCTGAGTAAAACCTAAAATGAGGTTTATAACTTCAAACTTGTTCTTCATGAGAAATGGGTGGTTTATGAATTCTAAATTTGCTCCCAAGCACTAGAAAACTGGTATTTTAAGAAATGTGAGTTGGATCACATGAATGGCAAGTCATCTAGCTCAAGAGCTCCAGGCTTCTTTCTTCTGCCACAGAACAAGTAGCACCACAGGTGAAGGTTTCCATGACTTATCACTTCTCTTTCTTTTTCATAAATAGCGATCTCTAAATTGTGGTTTGCAAGCGCAACAAAATTTCTAGTGTCTCTTAAGGAACCTAACCTCCCTTTCCCCGATTCCCTGAATCTTCATCCTCTTATAGTCATAAGATAAAAAAGAAAGGCCCAGGGGAAGAAGATTCAGGGAATCTTTTTTTAATCCATTGACACTTTGTATAGAGGTGAGGTAATACATGAGAAAACTGTGTTTTAGAATCAGAACTAAGAAGATAAGCCACTTCAGTTATATTTTATATTTTATTTTACATTTTATTTACAGTTTATATTTTATCAAATTATTGGTAGCCTCTCAAGAATATTTTGTCCTAAAAGCACTAATCGAATGTAATATAGTCATAATTTTATATGTATTATTTATATAATATTACTGTCTAAAGTAAAATAGATGAAACTAAGTATGTGATTCAAAAAAATGATTCATTTTGAAAATTAATGTAAATTTGATTTTTTTGTGTGTGACCCTGTTTGGAGATGGAGTCTTTATTTTTTATATTATTTTATTTATATATATTTTTTGAGACAGTGTCTCACTCTGTTGCCCAGGCTGGAGTGCAATGGTGTGATCTCAGCTCACTGCAACCTCCGTCTCCTGGGTTCAAGTAATTCTCCTGCCTCAGCCTCCTGGGTAGCTGGGATTACAGGTGCCCGCCACCACGCCTGGCTGATTTTTGTATTTTTAGTAGAGACGGGGTTTTGCCATGTTGGCCAGGCTGGTCTTGAACTCCTGAACTCAAGTGATCTGCCCGCCTCGACCTCCCAAAGTGCTGGGATTACAGATGTGAGCCACCGCGCCCCGCCAAATTTGATTATTTTTAATAAGAACTTAGCTGTATGGTATTTTAACAGTACCTGCTTTTAAAATTATTATCATCTTTTTCCTTTACAGGTTTTTGATGAAGTTGTGCAGATTTTTGACAAGGAAGGCTAATTCTAAACCTGAAGGCATCCTTGAAATCATGCTTGAATATTGCTTTGATAGCTGCTATCATGACCCCTTTTTAAGGCAATTCTAATCTTTCATAACTACATCTCAATTAGTGGCTGGAAAGTACATGGTAAAACAAAGTAAATTTTTTTATGTTCTTTTTTTTGGTCACAGGAGTAGACAGTGAATTCAGGTTTAACTTCACCTTAGTTATGGTGCTCACCAAACGAAGGGTATCAGCTATTTTTTTTAAAATTCAAAAAGAATATCCCTTTTATAGTTTGTGCCTTCTGTGAGCAAAACTTTTTAGTACGCGTATATATCCCTCTAGTAATCACAACATTTTAGGATTTAGGGATACCCGCTTCCTCTTTTTCTTGCAAGTTTTAAATTTCCAACCTTAAGTGAATTTGTGGACCAAATTTCAAAGGAACTTTTTGTGTAGTCAGTTCTTGCACAATGTGTTTGGTAAACAAACTCAAAATGGATTCTTAGGAGCATTTTAGTGTTTATTAAATAACTGACCATTTGCTGTAGAAAGATGAGAAAACTTAAGCTTTGTTTTACTACAACTTGTACAAAGTTGTATGACAGGGCATATTCTTTGCTTCCAAGATTTGGGTTGGGGGCACTAGGGGTTCAGAGCCTGGCAGAATTGTCAGCTTTAGTCTGACATAATCTAAGGGTATGGGGCAAGGATCACATCTAATGCTTGTGTTCCTTATACTCTATTATATAGTGTTATTCATGATTCAGCTGATCTTAACAAAATTCGTAGCAGTGGAACCTTGAAATGCATGTGGCTAGATTTATGCTAAAATGATTCTCAGTTAGCATTTTAGTAACACTTCAAAGGTTTTTTTTTGTTTGTTTTCTAGACTTAATAAAAGCTTAGGATTAATTAGAAGAAGCAATCTAGTTAAATTTCCCATTTGTATTTTATTTTCTTGAATACTTTTTTCATAGTTATTTGTTTAAAAAGATTTAAAAATCATTGCACTTTGGTCAGAAAAATAATAAATATATCTTATAAATGTTTGATTCCCTTCCTTGCTATTTTTATTCAGTAGATTTTTGTTTGGCATCATGTTGAAGCACCGAAAGATAAATGATTTTTAAAAGGCTATAGAGTCCAAAGGAATATTCTTTTACACCAATTCTTCCTTTAAAAATCTCTGAGGAATTTGTTTTCGCCTTACTTTTTTTTCTTCTGTCACAATGCTAAGTGGTATCCGAGGTTCTTAATATGAGATTTAAAATCTTAAAATGTTTCTTATTTTCAGCACTTACATCATTTGGTACACAGGGTCAAATAGGGCAAATAATTTTGTCTTTGTATAATAGATTTGATATTTAAAGTCACTGGAAATAGGACAAGTTAATGGATGTTTTTATATTTTAATAGAATCATTTATTTCTATGTGTTATGAAATTCACTTAATGATAAATTTTTCAACATACTTGCCATTAGAAAACAAAGTATTGCTAAGTACTATAACATATTGGCCACTAAAATTCATATTGAGATTATCTTGGTTTCTTGGAAGAGATAGGAATGAGTTCTTATCTAGTGTTGCAGGCCAGCAAATACAGAGGTGGTTTAATCAAACAGCTCTAGTATGAAGCAAGAGTAAAGACTAAGGTTTCGAGAGCATTCCTACTCACATAAGTGAAGAAATCTGTCAGATAGGAATCTAAATATTTATAGTGAGATTGTGAAAGCAACCTTAAAGTTTTGAAGAAGACTGATGAGACTAGGTGCTTTGCTTCCTTTCATCAGGTATCTTTCTGTGGCATTTGAGAACAGAAACCAAGAAACATGGTAATTACTAAATTATGAGGCTTTGCTTTTTGTTTGCTTTTAAGTAGAAAAACATGTTGGCAACATTGAGTTTTGGAGTTGATTGAGATAATATGACTTAACTAGTTTTGTCATTCCATTTGTTAAAGATACAGTCACCAAGAATGTTTTGAGTTTTTTGAAAGACCCCAATTTAAGCCTTGCTTATTTTTAAATTATTTCCATTCAGTGATGTTGGATGTATATCAGTTATTTAGTAAATAATCTCAATAAATTTTGTGCTGTGGCCTTTGCTATTTGTTGGTTTAGATTTCTGTTCTCTAAGCATATTGAAGATCAAGAAGTATCCTATTTAACATGTGGGTCCTCACACTACAAAAGCAGAGTTCAGGACTGTCGATGCAAAGAGTCAAACTCTGTAAAATATTTGAAGAGATTTATTCTAAGCCAAATATGAGTGATGAGTGGCTTGTGACACAGCCCTTAGGAGATCCTGAGAACAAGTGCATACAGTGGTCGGTGTGCAGCTTGTTTTTATACATTTTAGGGAGACATGAGACATCAGACAATACATGTAAGATGTATACATGGTTCAGTCCAGAAAGGTGGGACAACTGGAAGCAGGTGTGGGGAAAGCTTCCAAGCCTTAGGCAGATTTAAAGATTTTCTGATTGGCAATTGGTTGAAAGAGTTACTATAAATAGAAAGGAACGTCTAGGTTGATACAAGGTTTGTTGGAGACCAAGGTTTTATCATGCAGATGAAGCCTTCAGGTAGCAGGCTTCAGAGAAAATAGACTGTAAATGCTTCTTATTAAGAGTGTGTTCTATCAGTAATTTCAAAAGGGAGGAGAAGTATAATGAGGCATGTCTGGCTCTCCCTTCCCCATGATGGCCTGAAACTGGTTTTTCAGATGAACTCTGGAATGCCCTTGGCCTAGAGGAAGGGTCCATTCAGATGGTTGTGGGGGCGCTTAGAATTTTATTTTTGCTTTACAGGATTGAGGAAAATTTTTCATCCTGTTTTTGTGTTTTGGCTTAAGCAGAAAGCATGATTTTATCCCGTTCCTTCAAGAAGTAATCTCCACTGAGACAAAAGCAGTCTATTTCATTACCTACCAGCAGCATCAATCACTTATCTCTTTTGGGGGAAGATGACAGTAAGCAATGTATATCAGGATGTGGGCTTTTTGTGGACTTTTGGCTTTACTCTTGTAATTTAAGTGGTTCACAAACATTCCAGTGGTCCCTGGAGATAATAGTGGCTGAAAGTACTGGCCAGATGAGGTCAGCATCTTCTCCCCGGAGGTTTGGTTGTCATCTTCAAACACATACTAATTGCACAAGCAAATAGTGCTACAAACACTTTTTCTGGCCGGGCGCGGTGGCTCATGCCTGTAATCCCCAGCACTTTGGGAGGCCGAGGCGGGTGGATCATGAGGTCAGGAGTTTGAGACCAGCCTGACCAACATGGTGAAACCCTGTCTCTACTAAAATTACAAAAAAGTAGCTGGGCATGGTGGTGGGCGCCTGTAGTCCCAGCTACTCAGGAGGCTGAGGCAGGAGAATGGCGTGAACCCGTGGGCGGAGCTTGCAGTGAGCTGAGACTGCGCCACTGCACACCAGCCTGGGCGACAGAGCGAGACTCCGTCTCAAACAAACAAAAAAAACAAAACAAAAAAATATATTTTCTGCCTTCCAGGAGGTGTTTTTTTTTTTTTTTTTTTTTTTTTTTTCCGAAAACATTCTGATATAGACCGACCTTCCAGTGTCTTCTGTTGGTTAACTTTAATCATTCTTATGTTTTCTATTTCAGTTCTCCCTAGCCCACCTGCATACTTCAGCTAAATTAAGTATTCGTTAATTATACACATTTATTTATTTCTTATTTTTTATTTTTTTTGAGACGGAGTCTCGCTCTGTCGCCCAGGCTGGAGGGCAGTGGCGCGATTTCGGCTCATTGCAACCTCCGCCTCCCGGGTTCACGCCATTCTCCTGCCTCAGCCCCCCGACTAGCTGGGACTACAGGCGCCCGCCACCACGCCCGGCTAATTTTTTGTATTTTTAGTAGAGTCAGGGTTTCACCGTGTTAGCCAGGATGGTCTCGATCTCCTGACCTCGTGATCCGTCCGCCTCGGCTTCCCAAAGTGCTGGGATTACAGGCGTGAGCCACCGCGCCCGGCCTAAACATTTATTTTTAATGAAAGAAAGGAAGCTCATTTATTTTGTACCAAAGAGAAAGGAAAACAATGATCCTAATCACTTACTCCTTTATTTCCTCATCCCTGAAGCCAGTGTAAATACTCTCTTGGATTCAGGTATGCTTTTCTTTGGCTGGGTGTAGTTACTGTGTTTGTGATGTTACTCTTGGACCTCAGATAAGCCTGGAAGGTCACCATCTTTCCTGTTGTGCAGAGAGCTGATGGACAAAGTTGAATTTCTGGCTGCCGCCATATACCTGATGTCAACTGTACCATATCTAGATTATCACTCAGGCCCACACCTTTATGGGAATGCCTTTATGGGAGTTCATCAGAGCAGAACCTGCTTCTCTTAGGTTCCTCTTCTTCAGTGAGGCTTTTCCTTCATGGCTTTGTCCTCCTGAAATAAAGAGGGTAAGAGAAGAGGTTTTAATTATTTTGTCTTATTTAGGGAGACATGGGTAATACATCAGAACATTTCTCTAGGTGAGGTTCTTTCAGCTACAGAATATAATTTTTTATTTATGATACATTTCGAAGTAACTGTATGCGACTTGTGAACACTGGCCTTTCACACCATCCAAAGTAAAAGATCTGCAGAGACAGGTTACCAGATACTTTCCCACATCCCAGCCCTAATGTTAGAAAAGCACAGATACACTCTAAGAATTGCCTTCCACACAATGAAATCAAGCAGTTAAGCAGCATACCACATATGCATCCTCCTTTAATTGAAGAACCACATATTAAAAGAGAAAGTAAGATTTTAAAAAAGCCATGAATGTGAGCTTTGGGTATGTTCTTACACTACTATTTTGAAGGCTTTCTGGAAGATATGTACTCTCAGTAGCTATTTCTATGACATTAGAAAAAAAAAATGATATGTAGTCTCAAGATGAGCTTCCAAGAAAAACCCTGAACTGAGTAAGTTTCCTTGCTAATGTCTAAGACTTTGCAGCCCTTTGAGGACTGTGGGTTGAACTGGCCTTCTTATAGCTGCTTGGCTCCAAGAACTTCCAGGAGGGAAAGACAATGAATAGGTTCATTAGTTGGTACTTAAAAGGACAAAGCTGTGTGCATGGCTAAACCTAAGTTGTTTATTAGTTTTATCAAGAAGGATTTTCACAAATGGCTCCAAAACAGCTGCCAACACTTGGCCAGTCTAGTAGGTATGATTGTGAAGAGACTGCATCAAAACGTCCTTGACAAAATGTCACACTGTTTTCTTTTTAATTAACCAGGTGCACAATAAGCACTACCATTGTTCTATCCTCAGCTGGGATAATAGTCAAATGATACATTATTTACATGATTTGGAGGGGAAAATGCTGAAGTATAAAGACTCATTTTTTAGGGGCTGGGTGTGGTGGCTCACGCCTGTAATCCCAGCACTTTGGGAGGCTGAGGCCCGCAGATCACTTGAGGTCAGGAGTTTGAGACCAGCCTGGCCAACATGGTGAAACCCCGTCTCTACTAAAAATACATAAAATTAGCCGGGCATGGTGGCGTGCACCTGTAGTCCCAGCTACTCAGGAGGCTGAGGCAGGAGAATCACTTGAGCCTGGGAGGTGGAGGTTGCAGTGAGCCGAGATCATGCCACTGCACTCCAGCTTGGGCGACAGATCAAGACTCCGCCTCTAAATAAATAAATAAATAAAGACTAATTTTTTATTAGTCTTTAAACATTAAAATGAACAAGTTGAAACAGCTACATCAAAATCCCCCTGGTTCCAAAATAACTGTCAGAATGTCTATGTCATATTCAGTATCAAAGATGATTGAGCAGAGACTGTATCTATATTCCTTCCTTCCTTTCTCTGTTTAAGGCCTTTACTTAGGTCTGGATAAGTGCTGTCTGGGGAAAGAAGATAACTCCTGGACTTGCACTGCTGCTACTGTGTGCAAATGGAAATTCTGAAATGCAGGGGATGTGATGGGATGAGAGTAAAACCATTTGTATAGAGAAGCAGGATTTTGTTCCATCTAGTTCTACTTTATACGTGATGTTTCTTTTTTATTGTTCTTTTCTTTTCTTTTCTTTTTTTTTTTTTTTAAATGGTAGCAGCAGAGGAGGAGACACACAGCTCAGCCACCAGCCACAGGGGACATGATGGTTCTTGCTGGAACTTTTTTATTCTATCAATAATCACTCCCACAAAACACTGTGTCTTAATCTGTTCAAAAGTCTTCAGGTTCACAGGCCACACTCGCACTTCTCTCCACGAGTATTTTGTTGATGAAAATGGGATTAAGGAATGTGATTTCCTTAACACCATCTATCTTCATTTATCTTTAACTTGTGGTTTCAGTAATTTTGTGGCTATTTCTGAGTTTTGTTTATGTATTTGACTTAAGAAAGTAGCTGTTTATAGTCAGCAGCCAAATCATTGTTTTATATGACACAGATTATGGCTAGTTGGTGAAATAATAGCTAGGTACACATAGGAGGTATTACCACAGTCTGTAATCACATTCATGCAAGGGTCTGTCATTTTAATTTAGCTAACTGGTCACTAGCAAGCCAATTTTCAGAGATGCTGACCCCTGTGACTGGAATCAGATTTGTTGCAGGTAGTCCACATCTGCCTTAGGCCACGTGACTGTCACTGGACCAAGGGATGACAATAGCACCAAAATAATCACATTACAAAATTTGGCTGGCCATTCATTCAAAATATGTTTGAGACATTGCGGATACAACAGTCAGTTAATGTACAACCACTACCCTCAACAGGCTTACTAGATAAGCTCAAATCCAGTGGTTTCTTAGCTGATTGTGTTTCTGTGTAGTGCTTTCATTGCTGGCAAACTTTTTTACCTCTGTGATTTTGTTTTCTTTTCCCAGCAATTCTGAGGCAGGTTGGAATGGTGATTTTCCTGTTTCAAGGATGATTAAACTGAGGCCCAAAGAGTTCAAGTCAATTGCCACAATCTTTATGCTAGAGAGTGGTGGGTTTGGAACTAGAACCCAGACCTCTGGGCCTTAAAGATCTGCCTCCCAGGTTGGGTGCGGTGTCTCATGCCTGTAATCCCAGCACTTTGGGAGGCTGAAGAGAGCAGATCACCTGAGGTCAGGAGTTTGAGACCAGCCTGGCCAACATGGTGAAACCCCATCTCTACTAAAAATAGAAAAATTAGCTGGGCATGGTGGCGTGCGCCTGTAATCTTAGCTACTTGGGAGGCTGAGGCAGGAGAATTGGTTGAACCTGGGAGGTGGAGGTTGCAGTGAGCCAAGATTGCGCCACTGCACTCCTACCTGAGATGGAGACTCTGTATCAAAAAAAAAAAAAAGATCTGCCTCCTGTCCAGTAGCCCCTGCTGCCTATCTGTAATAAGGCAATGTGACCTCTAATATACCCCCCGTGCTTCCCATCACTAGTCTATTACCCTTGTTTATTTTCTCAGTGCATATATCACCATGTGAAGTTACTTTTACTTATTGTTGATTTCCCCTCTAGATTTTAAGTGCCAGAAGAGCACTTACCTTGTTTATTCCTGTTTTCCAATACCTAGACCAGTGCCTGCACATAGTAGGCACTCAATATTTGTTGAAAAAATAAACTGAAATGGAAAAATATTTTTGGCAGTAGCTGTAGCTACAAGTTATATCACTGAATTTTGGATCCCAGTAGAGTCTGCTTGTGACCTCTTAGGATTCTATTTTCGTTCCCCCTGAAGATTGGGAGCTGATAATCGTAAAGTACTGGGACCCCATCAGCTTCCCTCTGTTTTCAGTACACAACTCATGAAAAGACTTACAATGTGACTATCTTGGAGAAAAAAAAAGAAAGGGATAAGAAAACAATGTTTGGGCGAAAAATCTCACCCACTCATCCATAGTTCAATCTATGTTGATAGATTTGTTTTACCTATTGTACCTCTGTTTCACTATATGTTAGGACATGGGAAATCTCTGCTTTCTGAAGGCTTTTGACAGTTTTTGTTCACGCCACAGATTTGAAACGACTTAATATAAATTTCTACTTGAAGCCTTATAAGATTATAGTACATCCTAAGCACTTTAGTATCTATTTATTAAATTCAAAAAGAATAAAGTTAGATGCTTTTAGCCTGCCTTCTCCTCTATAGCTGTGTGTTGTGGTTCTTAATCAATGGAGTCTTTGAATGGGAAAGAGATTTCAGAGGTCTTAGTTGGATTTCTCTATTGTCTTAATAGCCTGACACAGAGTAGATAAATAAATGTTTGTATATTGAAAGAAGGAAAGTGTCCTCTTCAAAGCCCTCCAGACAGTTAGGAGCAGAACTAGGCCTAGAACCCAGTTCTCCTTTCTCCCAGCTCTTACTCCTCAACACCAACATGTTTTTTTTTTTTTTTTTTTTTTTTAAAAAGGACAGGGTCTGGCTCTGTTGCCCAACTGCAACCTCTGCCCTTGATCAGGCTCAAACGACCCTCCCACCTCAGCTTTCCGAGTAGCTGGGACCACATGCATGTACCACCACGCCCACCTAATTTTTAAAAAAACTTTATAGAGACATGTTGCCCAGACTGGTCTCGAACTCCTGACCTCAAGTGATCTGCCTGCCTTGGCCTCCCAAAATGTTGGGATTACAGGTGTGAGCCACTGAGCCACCGTGCCCGGCCACTAACATGCATTTACCTCAGTCATTCCTAACAAACACTTGGAAAAGCAAAGTAGTATCCTGTGATACTCCAGAACCACTATGTTACTATGTAGCAGGATTTCATTCAGTATGCTGAGCATTTGTTGAATGTCTTTTTAACCATATTTAAAACAAGAACCAATGCCTCAGGCCCTGCCCCCAGAAATTCTAATTTAATTACTTTTATTTTATTTTATTTTATTTTTGAGACAGAGTCTCACTCTGTCATTCGGGCTGGAGTACAGTGGTGCAGTCTTGGTTCACTGCAACCTCTGCCTCCCAGGTTTAAGTGATTCTGCCTCAGCCTCCCAAGTAGCTGGGACTACAGGCACATGCCACCACACCTGGATAATTTTTGTATTTTTAGTAGAGGTGGGGTTTCACCATGTTGGCCAGGCTGGTCTCGAACTCCTGACTTCAAGTGATCCCCCTGCCTTTGCCTCCCAAAGTGCTGGGATTGAAGGCATGAACCACCGCGCCTGGCCTCTTATTTATTTATTTATTTATTTAGAGCCAGAGTCTCGCTCTGTTGCCAGGCTGGAGTGCAGTGGCGCGATCTTGGCTCACTGCAACCTCTGCCTCCCGGGTTCGAGCGATTCTCCTGCCTCAGCCTCCCGA
Organism: Homo sapiens; assembly: GCF_000001405.40. Taxonomy (NCBI): domain Eukaryota; kingdom Metazoa; phylum Chordata; class Mammalia; order Primates; family Hominidae; genus Homo; species Homo sapiens. The sequence goes on from NC_000001.11 coordinate 47,385,985, forward strand.
GTAGCTGCGACTACAGGCATGTGGCCCCACGCCCAGCTAATTTTTGTATTTTTAGTAGAGACGGGCTTCACCATGTTGGCCAGGATGGTCTCGATCTCTTGACCTCATGATCCGCCTGCCTCGGCCTCCCAAAGTGCTGGGATTATAGGCGTGAGCCACGCTCCCAGCCCTGCATTTCTTTTATGTGTAAAGTGATACTGATATTGATACTTTGAGAACCACCACAGTAAACAAAGTGATCAGAGCAGATAATGAAAACTCACAGCCTTGTATCTTTGTGGGCAAGGGATCAAGTCTTGGTCTTTTTGATGCATTCGCTCATAAGTTCAACTTGGTCTTTTTGATGCATTCACTCATAAGTTCATCGCAGCACTATACACAATAGCAAAGACATGGAATCAAGTCAGGTGCCCTTCAGCGGTGGACTGGATAAAGAAAATGTGGTACATATACACCCTGGAATACTATGCAGCCATAAAGAAAACCCAAAAGTATGCCCTTTGCAGCAACATGGATAAAGCTGGAGGCCATTATCCTAAGCGAATTAATACAGGAACAAAAGTAAATATATGTTCTCACTTAAAAGTGGGAGCTAAGCATTGGGTACGCATGGACACAAAGATGGGAACAATAGACACTGGGGGCTGCAAAAGAGTGAGAGGCAAGGAAAAACTACCTATTGGGAATTATGCTCACTACCTGGGTGACAAGATCAATTGTACCCCATACCTCAGCATCATGCAATATAACCATTAAGAGACCTGCACATGTATTCCCTGAATTTAAAATAAAAGTTGAAAAAAAAAAAGTCTTGGTCTTTTTATCCACAGTGTCTAGCACAGAGTAGGTACTTAGTGTTGATGAATTGACAGTTGGTGACAAACCATAGTGAAAGCTCACAAATTAAACAGCTGCTTAGTCTGCTGCCATTCCTGAGCTCACAGAGTGAGAGGGAAGTACTGCATGCAACAGTATCACAAATGCTCTCCCACTAAGGGAGTTGTCACATGGATGGCAGCTTGGCATAGTGGGCTTTCTATAATCTTACTTAGCAGCTGCCACTGTCTTAAAAGGTGAGGAGAGGCTGGGCACGGTGGCTCATATCTGTAATCCCAGCACTTTGGGAGGCCGAGGCAGGTGGATCACTTGAGGTCAGGTGTTCCAGACCAACCTGGCCAACATGGTGAAACCCCGTCTCTACTAAAAATACAAAACATTAACCAGGCATGGTGACTAGTGCTTGTAGTCCCAGCTACTTAGGAGGCTGAGGCAGGAGAATTGCTTGAACCCAGGAGGTGGAAGCTGCAGTGAGCCAAGATTACACCACTGTACTCCAGCCTGGTGACAGAGTGAGACTCCATATCAAAACCAAAAACAAAATGGTGAGGAGAGGCCAGGGGACTACCACCACTGTCTACAATCCTCTGAAGGGAGATGGAGTACATGTATTCAATGTGGGCTTGAGGGCAGAACTAGGGCAGTGGAAACAACATAAGGAAGACCGTCTAAGGTCAGAGCCACCCAACACTGAATTGGAGCGCCTGAGGACATGATCACCGTCCCTGGAAGTGTGCACGCAGGCCCTGGATGCTTATTTGGCAGAATGCTTTAGTCTTTCACTCTGGAGATTCTGTGGTTTGGGGATCATCTTCTTCAAGTAGGTATCTAAGTCTGAAGTCCACCTGGAATTCCAGACATACTCTCTGACACATAAGAGTTCCCTGTATATACAAGTGGGGAGGAAAGGCTAAGGGGCATCATGAGGATCTGTGCCTTACCATAAGAACCCAAATGCTGAGAAGTTTCCCTAAGCCTCTGTTTCTGCCTCCCACCCCCTCCCTGGGTGTCCTCCCCAGTGCCTGGGATAAGTGCTTAACAAAGTTTACTGGCATTAATGCTGTTGGTGGGCAGGAGGTGCCCAGTTTGCATTGGAAAAGAGAGAAACAGCAGTAGCAAAAAGATAGCAGTGAGGGACAGGAGAGACCCACTTAGCTGGAGGGGGTGAGGGTCCATGCACCAAATAATGGGAGATAGGAGTATGCAAAGATAAAGCGATAAACCTTTCATAACAGGTAAAGGAAGGTGAATTTTATCCAGTGTCTGTTTAGCTGAGTCCAGACTAGGAAGCTGGGCTGCATGAGTCAGTTTGACAAGGGCTTTTTAGATTTAGGAGGCTGCTCCGTTTTCCTCCTCCTCCTCTTCACTGTAAGCTGTCCCTTGAGCTGTATTCTGAAACCCTGAATGGTTTTTCCATCTCACTAGGGACAGTTGGCAAACCCTCTCTGGCTTGGCCAGGGTTGGGGCTGGGCACTAGACGAGCCGGGAGAGGAGGTGGCTCCCAGCAATAAGCAACCCACAGAATTGTGTCTGTCATTTAAGAAAAGTTTCTGGGTTTTCGGCTAATTGCAAAAATACATAATGGATGCTTTTCGCATCTGCTAGTTATTCTGGAACAGGCCTGCATCCAAGAGCAAACTTTAAACAAACAATAAGATTATGGAGCTTAACTATTTCAATGTGTAACAGAAAGCCAAGCCCCATACACTTAAATTACCACACATGCACTCAGACACAAGCACACAAGAGATCACATCTGCACAAACATACACACATACAGATGCATGTTTTGGCATTAGTGCATGCAAATGCATACTTACATGCTAGCACCTAGTACATACATGCATGCACAACTTGCACATGTGCGCAGTCACCAGCACCAATACACATTCTCAGACACACAAATGAACGTGCATACACTCATACACAAGTATACACCAACGCATTTGGGCAACAAGACACACAGCCTCAGGCACAGATGCATTTACACAAATCATTCTTACTGCAATGAGAGATAGTCCGGGGTAGGTGTGGGTGTCCTCCCAGTGCAGAGTTAAGTGAAGCAGTCCATCAGCTGGGCACTGGCTGTCCGGGTGTTACCAGGTGTAGTTATCAGTATGGCCACCAAGAGGCGCCCAGGATCCATCCTGCATCCACCTTTCATGGCTTCTGCCAGCTGGTCAATTGTTTCTGTACCCACAAGCCTGCATCTCCCTGTTCTGGATCCCTGCACAGAACTAGGAGACTCCTTGATCCCAGCCCCAACCTTCCAGGATCCACTGTGCTCATTCTCATCCTTTCCCTGTCCCACACCACCAAAACAACCACAAGTCCCATCCCTCCTCCCTCCTAGCAGAACGCATGCTTCAGCACTCCCTGCTTGTCCTGTGGCTGCTCCATGGAGAACTGGATCTGTCAGGTCTTGATCATGATGTGACTTCTACCTGGAACTTTTTCCACAGGAGAAGCTGTCAAAATCTCACCTATTTTTCAGTCTATGTCAGAATCTCCCAGTGCAAGACTGCCAGAGTCAAGAATACATGTTCAAGTAATTCAGTGAATGAATTAATGCCTCACTCTAATACCTGACTCTGCCTTCCCCATTAACCCCAGCTGGAGAGGTCTCTCACCTTCTAGCACCTGCCTCCTGGCTTATGTGTGTGTGTGTGTGTGTATATATATTTCAATAAAACAAGTGCCAGGCTGGGTGCAGTGGCTCACGCCTGTAATCCCAGTTACTTGGGAGGCTGAGGAAGGAGAATCTCTTGAACCTGGGAGGTGGAGGTTGCAGTGAGCTGAGATCGCACCACTGCACTCCAGCCTGGGCAACAGAGAGAGACTATCTGAAAAAAAAAAAAAAATTCCCCCCACCACGCCGCCCCCCCCACAAAATGCCAGCTTGAAAACACAAGCTAGAGGCAGACTCAAGATGTCATGAAGTCAACCCCTTCCAGCATCCCTGACAGGTAGCTACCCTAGCAACAGATAACTCACCCCTCCCTGAGCAGCCCTCTTCACTGGATACTTCAGACTTCCAGAAAGTTCCACTGTGTTCTTCCACATTCTCAGAGCTCTTTCATCATGACAGGGGCTGAAGCAACGTCTGATAATGCAGTAGGAGAATAAGTGCAAAGTGCAGGGGAGGGTGTGCAAACTTTCCAGAGAAGTGGGGCAGGGAATTGGGATCAATTACAGAGGGAGTATGAGTATAAAAACTATCATTACAGCTGCTGTTTAGTGAATGTTTACTGTGCTCATGACTGCAAATCCTTATAGAGGGCAAGCTCGAATCCAGGTCTGCCTGTCTGCAGTCTAGTCTAAAACACCTCTTGGAACATAAACAAAATAAGAGTTTTGGGAGCAGATGGGTAGGGGGACAGCCAGGTGTATTAATTTTCTTTTGCTACATAATAAATCACCATTAACTTAGTGACTTAAAACAACATCCATCCCTGGGTGCGGTGGCTCACGCCTGTTATCCCAGCACGTTGGGAGGCTGAGGCAGGTGAATCACAAGGTCAGGAGAGTGAGACCATCCTGGCTAACATGGTGAAATCCCGTCTCTGCTAAAAATACAAAAAAATTAGCTGGGCACGGTGGCACGTGTCTGTAGTCCCAGCTACTTGGGAGGCTGAGGGAGGAGAATCGCTTGAACCAAGGAGGTGGAGGTTGCAGTGAGCCGAGGTCGTGGCACTGCACTCCAGCCTGGGCGACAGAGCAAGACTGTCTCAAAACAAACAAACAAACAAAAAAAACCACCATCCATTTTATTACCTCACAGTTCTGTAGGTCAGAAGTCTGTGCAGGCTTGACTGGGTTTTCTGCCCACAGTATCACAAGTCTGAAATCAAGGCTTCAGCTGGGCCTGGCTCTCATTCAGAGGCCCTGGGAAAGAATCACTTCCAAGCTCATTCACATTGTTGGCAGAATCCATTTCCTAGCAAGTCCTCATTACCATGGTCACTGCTGGCCATGGGGTGGCCTTGGTACTAGAGGCTGCTCTAGGGTCCCTTCCACGTGCACTCTCCACTTTCAAGATAGAGCCCTCCTCATGCTTTGAACTACTGACTTCTTTTCTGTCACCAGCTGGACAAAATTCTGCTTTTAAAGGGCTCACGTGATTATCTTAGGCCTACCTGGTTAATCTCCCTATCTTAAGTCAACTGGTTAGTAACCTTAATTGCTTCTGCAAAATTCTTGCCATGTAATGTAACACATTCCACAGAAGAGCTAATTATCCAAGGGTGAAGGTCATTGGGGCAGGCAGAGTTCTATGATGTCCCCGGTGACCCTCACCCTTGTACAGTGCCCTCCCCTTTGAGTGTGTGTTGAACCTGTAAGGTTATGTTATGCTATGTGGCAAAAGGTAGATTAACTGGGTGGGCCCAATCAAATCCCATGGGTTCATTAAAAGTGAGTTTTCTCTGGCTGGTAAGAGAGAAGGAAGTGAGAATCAAGGCATGAGAAGTACTTGACCTGCCGTTACTGGCTTTGAAGGTAGTGGGGGCATGTGCAAGGAAGGGAGAATGGCTTCTAGGAGCTCCCCTCACCCCTGGCCGACAGCAAGGAAATGAGGACCTCGGTTCCACAGCTGGAAGGAACATTCTGCCAACAGTGTGAATGAGGCTGAAAGAACTTCTAGATGACAGCCCAGCCCTGCTGACATCTTTTTTTTTTTTTTTTAGACGGAGTCTCGCTCTGTCACCCAGGCTGGAGTGCACTGGCACGATCTCGGCTCACTGCAACCTCCCCCTCCCGGGTTCAGGCGATTCTCCTGCCTCAGCCTCCCGAGTAGCTGGGATTACAGGTGCACGCCACCATGCTTGCCTCATTTTTGTACTTTTAGTAGAGACAGGGTTTCACCATGTTGGCCAGGCTGGTCTTGAACTCCTGACCTCAAGTGATCCGCCAGCCTCGGCCTCCCAAAGTCCTGGGATTACAGATGTGAGCCACTGCGCCCAGCCCCCACTGACATCTTGATTCAGACGTTGTAATACTGTGAGCAGAGATCCCAGTCAGTTGCACTGCCCAGATATATGAACCAGAGGACTGTGAGGTAATAAACGGGATTGCTTTAAGCTGCTCTTTGTGGTAATTTGTTATGCAGCAATAGAAAACTAATATGCCGGGCAAACAGCACATCATTTGCCTGACCTAGGCCATCTCTTATTATCTACCTACATCCTCCTTTTTTCCTCCTCCTCCTATTCCTCTATTTAAAAAATAGTTTCATCTGAATATGACTCGTCCACAAAAAGGCTGATTCTGACACATGCTACAACACAGATGAACCTTGAAGACATTATGCTACATAAAATAAGCTAAGCCAGTCACAAAAATACAAATACTGTATGATTCCAAATATATGAGTAATCAGATTCATAGAGACAGAAAGCAGAATGGTGGTTGCCAGGGGCTGGGAGGATTGGGGAATGGGAGTATTGTTTAATGGGTCTGGAGTTTCAGTTTGGGAAGATGAAAAAGGTTCTGGAGATGAATGGTGGTAACGCTTGCATAACAACATGAAGGTACTTAATGCCATTGAATTGTACAATTAAAAATGGTTAAATGGGCTGGGTGTGGTGGCTCACGCCTGTAATACCAACACTTTGGGAGGCCAAGGTGGGTGGATCACTTGGTGTCAGGAGTTCAAGACCAACCTGGTCAACATGGTGAAACCCCGTCTCTACTAAAAATACAAAAATTATCCAGGTGTGGTGGCACATGCTTGTAATCCCAGCTACTTGGGAGGGTGAGGCAGGAGGATCACTTGAACCTGGGAGGGTGAGATTGTAGGGAGCTGAAATGGTGCCATTGCACTCCAGCCTGGGCAACAGAGCAAGACTTCGTCTCGGAAAAAAAAAAGTTAAATGGTGAATTTTGTGTTACGTTTATTTTAGCACAATAAAAACAATTTTTAAAATAGTCTCATCAAAGTAATGCATATCGTGGTTAAAAAGCAACAGCCTCCATCTCCCTGACACCTTCTATGACGTAAAAGACTTCAGACTCAGCCGTTTCTTCTAAGACTTGCCTCTATATATTTATTATGCTTCTCTTGCCTTTTTTTTCTTAATGTAGGCAGAATAAATGGTAAAGATTTCAAACAGTGAAAATTATGTCTTCATCCAACCCCCATTATCTCTGTCCACAAGCCCCCCTCAAAAAAGCAATGCCAGGTTTCCTGTATATTTTTCCCCTAGGTACTCAATGCATAAAATAAGCATATTCTATACATATATACATAGCTTCTTTCTCCTTTCTTTCTTTCTTTTTCTTCTTTTCTTTCTTTCTCTCTCTCCTTCCTTCCTTTTTTTTTTTTAACAGGAGACCAGAGTTTTATTATTACTCAAACCAGTCTCCCCCAAAACTTGGGGACTGCGGTTTTTAAGGATAAAATGATGGGCAGGTGGTCGGAAAGTGGGGAGTGCTGATTGATCCGGTTGGATATAAAATCTAGGGAGTCGAAGCTGTCCTCTTGCCATGAGTCAGTTTCTGGGCAGAAGCCACAAGACCAGATGAGCTAGTTTATCATTCTGGGTAGGGCCAGCTGATCTGTCGAGTACAGGGTCTTTAGTTACAGAGGAGGAAGGCAGTGGCAATCTGACATGTTAGGAATCCTGTACTGTGACTGTGTAGACAAGGTATGAGGCCAGCTCTCCTGAGGGGCTTTAATTGCTCTATAAGTCAACTTTGATTCCTTAAAGCAGTGTGTTTATATTTGAAACCATGCCATTCCAGTCAAAGCCTTGGTAAAATAACCAGCATCTCCAACTGTGTCCCAAAGTCAGACAATTGGTGCTGATAGACAATTTTCCTTTGAATTGGGGGTCTCTTCAGTATAGTCCCTTCATGGTTTGCCAGGAAGATGTTACCAGAAAGCGGTCCCAATCCAGACCCCCAGAGAAGGTTCTTGGATCTTGCACAAGCAAGAATTTGGGATGAATCCATAGAGTAAAGTGAAAGCAAGTTTATTAAGAAAGTAAAGAAACAAAAGAAAGGCTACTCCATAGGCAGAGCAGCATAGCTCCTTTGCTTTTTGCACAATGGTAACACATATGGACTCCCTCTTTTTTTTTTTTTTTTGAGACAGGGTCTCACTCTGTCGCCCAGGCTGGAGTGCAGTGGCGCGATCTTGGCTCACTACAACGTCTGATTCCCAAGTTCAAGCGATTCTCCTGTCTCAGCCTCCCGAGTAGCTGGGATTACAGGTGCACGCCACCACACCTGGCTAATTTTTGTATTTTTAGTAGAGACAGGGTTTTACCATGTTGCCCAGGCTGGTCTCGATCTCCTGACCTCAGGTGATCCGCCCGCCGTGGCCTCCCAAAGTGCTGGGATTACAGGTGTGAGCCACCACTCCCAGCCACACCTTTTCTTTTCCTCAGTTTCTAACTGCCTTTATCCTTCCCTAATATTTATCTAGTCTCTCTTTCACCTGGTCTCCTCCTTTCCCCAGAGACTTCCTTTCAAGGCCCTCTATTATCCTACTTCAGTGTGGTCTGCTAGTGTGCAAGCCTGCTGGACATCTGTCGTCTGACTTCCTTTCACGGCTTTCTGCATGAAGTCCAGTCTCTTTGAAAGTCCTCTTTAATGGTGTATTTCCTTGTTTTTCTGGGGCACACTCTCCAGGTAACTACCTAAGGAACAGTGCAGATGATGAAGGTATTCTGACTCCTATGTATCTCCATATGTCTTTATTATATCCTTAAAAGTGATAGTTCAGCCTATATAGAATTCTAGATGGAAAGTTCAGTTCTCTGAGCAGTTGAAGCATTTCTCCATTGTCCTCTAGCATCTAGTATTGCTGAGAATTCTGAAGTCATTCTGATTCTCATTCCTTTTTGACCTTTTTTTCTTTATTTTCATTTTGCTCCCATCTGAAAGCTTTAGATCTCTTTATCCCTGTGTTCAAAAATGTTAGGATGCTGTACCTGAGTGTAGATAATTTTTTCATTCATTTTCTGGGTACATAGCTCTTTCAATATGGAAAATTTTGAACTTTATGAGAAATGTTTTATTGTAACTTTAAATAATTCATCTTTTCCATTTTTATTTGTTTTTGCAGGAATTCCCATTTGTTGGATTTTTTATTTCTTGGATTGATTCTTTATGTCTTATGTTTTCTACCTCCTTATATTTTTATTTCACTCTGAGAAATTTCCTTAATTTTAAAAGTCTATTAAAATTTTTTGTTTGTTTTGAGATGGAGTCTTGCTCTGTCACCTAGGCTGGAGTACAGTGGCACAATCTCAGCTCACTGCAACCTCCGCCTCCTGGGTTCAAGTGATTCTCCTGCCTCAGCCTCCTGAGTAGCTGGGATTACAGGCGTGTGCCACCACACCTGGCTAATTTTTGTATTTTTAGTAGAGATGGGGTTTCACTATGTTGGCCAGGCTAGTCTTGAACTCCTGACCTCAGGTGATCCGCCCGCTTTGGCCTCCCAGAGTGCCAGGATTACAGGCAAGAGCCACCGTGCCCGGCCAACAATTCTATTAAATTTAAAAGCATATATATTTCTTGAATTTTCAAGAGCTCTCTCTGGGTCTCTGTTTCTTTTTTCCTCATACCATCCAGTTGTATTTGATGCATCCAATGCCCCCTTGAATCCCTGGGAAGGTATAAATAGAGTATAAAAAACTATTTTTTCGTTCTTTTTTGTTTCTTGCGTTATTCCTATTTCCCCTGAGGCCATTTTATTTGTTCATCTTTCTCTGAGTTTGGAGGCTTTCCTCAAATGTGTGGTTATCTTTGATTGTCCATTCATATTTAGGAATGAAGAAATAAAAAGCCCATTGACTAGCTGGTATGTCTTAGGTTGCCAGTGGCAACCAGTCAGTCAATCACTAGAGCAGAGGACTTCCTCTCTCCACTCCCGCCCCAATGCCAGAGCATGTCTTCTGGGGACATTAGATTTCTCCAAAAACCCCCTGATCTCCCACCTGGAGCATAGATGCCAGCTTTCCCAGTGCTTTGTGCACAGGGGTGGGGAGAGACTGTCCAATGTACAGACTTCCAATCAATCCCCTCTTTAAGCTCTGTCTTGCTGGTTCTGCCCAGGTGCTGCCTCCTTCCTGGCCTGTATCATCCTCTCTGCACACACTCTACTGAGGCTTTCTCTGCCCTGCTGCATCAGTTACCATCCCTCCTCCATTTGCTTTTTTTTTCTTTTTTTTTTTTTGAGATAGGGTCTGGCTGGGGTTTAGTGGCACAGTCTTGGCTCACTGCAGCCTCTGCCTTCTGGACTCAAGCGATCCTCCCACCTCAGCCTCCTGAGTACCGAGGACTACCGGTGTGCACCACCATGCCAGGCTAATTTTTGTATTTTGTATTTTTATTTTTTGGTAGAGATGAGGTCTCACCATATTGCCCAGGCTGGTCTTGAACTCCTAGGCTCAAGCGATCCTCCCACCTCAGCCTCCCAAAGTGTTGGGATTACAGGTGTGAGCCACTGCACCTGGCCCATTTGCTTTTTATTGTCCTGAAATTTGTTGAAATATCTTGTCTACTGAGGTTACCTCACCCATTATCTTTATTGTTGTGGGTTTATATTCTTTTTATTCCTTAACAGTCATTTTAGAAGGCCCTTAAGAGACAAGGGTATAAAACAAGTGATCAGTTTATCACCTCTGGTCATGACATGCCAACTCAAGCTCACTCTTGCCCCCAGTCAGTACCACACTGACCCAGTTGTGAGGTCCTCAAAGTGTCTCAGGCCTCTCATTATGGCTCCCTCCACCCTTAACCCCAGGGTTAGGGGGTTTCCAAGGTTCTCTCCTCCTCAGGAAAGCACTGTGGACTCCTTTACCCTGAGGATGCATGACAGGTGAAAGCTTCTGGGAACACAGTCCGAATTGGTTCAAACCTAACAAATGAAGTGTGAACGGTGCGATTTCAGTACTAGGCTTGGTTTGGTGAAGACAGATCTCAGGCATGAATGCAGTTCTTATATGTTTTGAGCCTCTAAATTGGTACCATGTTACTTGCTGGTGATAACACAAGACTGACTCTCCCAAAGGGCTGAGACAGTTTCTGGAGAGAAGCTGTTTTACTCAGCACTACACTCTGTCCCCAGACCCTGACATGCAGTCTGTGGTCACTGAGGGGCTTTTGCGGCCCCTGACCTATGAGATGTAAAGCCTGGTTGCCCTGGAGATAGCTCCATGGGGCAGACCCATGGGCCTATGTGATATCCCCAAGACTGGGACACCAGGCCTCCTAGAGGTCCCTACCTAGAGGATCTCCAGCCGACAGAACCTAACCAACCAGCCTGGTTTGCGCAGGACTGAGGGGTTTCCCAGAACATAAGATCTTCAATGCTAAACCCAGAAAGTTGTAGGCATATGGGGATGAGTTGGTCAACCTACCTGCAGAGGGCTTCTCTGCTGGCCTTTCCCTCCCTTCAACTTCAGGCTGGTTTCCATAGAGAAAGGTTTGGGGCCTTGTTGGCTGCTCTAAGCTAACTTGCCAGGGTCCCAACTAGACCCCTCTGCCCCACCCCCAAATTATAGACTCACTCCCACCTCTTCCCCATCACTGAGCTGTAAAGGACAGTCCAGCTTCTCCCAGGGCAGAAGCCCTTCTACAGCCTCCCTCACCGGTCCCCCAGCTCTGCCTGTAGCCCCATAAATGGGAGCTGGGGTTGCTGTGTCCCTCACAAAGTGCTTTCCTGACACCTCCCCTCAATATTCCAACAATGACCTCATTGGACTCCTCTTCCTCATCTCAATTAATAACGTGATAAAATAATGATAAATGACATTTGCAGATCACTTATATGTCAGACCTCATGCTAAGCTTTTACTATGTATCACCTCATTTAATCATCTGAATGACATCACAGGCAGGTACTATTATCCTTATTTTACAAATGAGGAAACTGAAGCTCAGAGAGGCTAACTTACTCAGAGCCACACAGATAGTCATAATTGCAGAAATAGAGCTCAAACCTAGGAGTATCTGATGTCCAAGTCTAAGAATGTGAAACGGTCTTGAAATGTGCAGTTTAAGTCCTGCCTCCTCCAGAAGGCCTTCTCCAATCATGTTTGGCTCCCGCACCAAACTTTCACAGAAAACCGAACTCCAATGGCTTAAACATTTTTTTTTTATTTTTGAGACAGAGTCTCGCTCTGTCGCCCGGGCTGGAGTGCAGTGGTGCGATCTTGGTTCACTGCAAGCTCTGCCTCCCGGGTTCCCGCCATTCTCCTGCCTCAGCCTCCCAAGTAGCTGGGACTACAGGCGCCTGCCACCACGCCTGGCTAATTTTTTGTATTTTTAGTAGAGATGGGGTTCCATCATGTTAGCCAGGATGGTCTTGATCTCCTGACCTCGTGATCTGCTCGCCTCGGCCTCCCAAAGTGCTGGGATTCCAGGCATGAGCCACCACCCCCGGCTGGCTTAAACCTTTAGGATATTATTTGTTTACTTAACAAGAAGTCCTTCTAGAGATGGTGCAGTAACTTAGAGGTAACAGCTCTTTCCATCTTACTATATCATTATCCCAAGGATATAGGCATGGCAGATTGTACTTACCCAATGTAATACTTGGACACAACAATATCTCCCACGCCACTTGCTCTTCCGCAGTGTGACCTTGCCATTCCCTCATCAACAGGTACAGTCTAATTCTCTTTCCTTTGAATCTGGGCTAGCCTTAGTGACTAGCTTAACCAATAGAAGGTGGAGGAAATGACATTTCGAACTTTCAAGGTTAGGTCATAAGTCTTGCAGCAACTGTCTGGGCTTCTTAAAAGTCTCAGTCTGAAAACACTTGCCCTTGAAAACCAGCTGCCATGCTGTGAGACACCTGAGCCATAAGGCGGTGCCCTGGTCAAGAGCTCTGGATGAACTCCTAGGGGATATCCAGCATCAACTGCCAGCAATGTGCGTGAGCCATCTTGGACATCCAGCCCAGCAGAGTCTTTAAATAAGTCTTGGTCAGGCTGCAAGAACATGACAGCCCTCATGTAGGACCCGTCCAGTTGAGCCCAGTCAACCCACAGAACAGTGAAAGATAATAATAAATTGTTTTAAGGTACCAAATTTTGGGGGTGATTTGTAAAGCAGTAATAGATAATTAAAACAATTGGCTTTCTTCTTCTAGCCTGTTGCCTCAAGTTACAAGATGGCTGCTTCAGCTCCAAGCATCATTTCTTTTTTTTTCTTTCTTTCTTTTTTTTTTTTTTTTTTGAGACAGAGTCTCACTCTGTTGCCCAGGCTGGAGTGCAGTGGCACAATCTCAGCTCACTGCAACCTCCGCCTCCCAGGTTCAAGTGATTCTCCTATCTCAGCTTCCCGAGTAGCTGGGACTATAGGCACCTGCCACCACACCCGGCTAATTTTGTATTTTTAGTAGAGATGGGGTTTCACCATGTTGATCAGGCTGGTCTTGAACGCCTGACCTCAGGTGATGCACCCACCTCGGCCTCCCAAAGTGCTGGGATTACAAGCATAAGCCACTGCACCTGGCCTCCAAGCATCACTTCAAACAACCATATCTAAAAGCAGAAGTGAGTACAGAGCAAAGGCTTTCTCCTTGAGTGACTTTAAGAGGGAGGAAAATCTTAACCCAGAAGTCCCCCAGTATTATCTCTGCATATCTCATTGGCCAGAATTGGGTTGTACCCTCTCCTAACCAAGAGAAATGGGCAAAGGAAAAGGAAGAGGGAAATGATTGTTGGGTGGACAACCAACAGTGTCTGCCATACTTGTTGATGTGGTGGCTCTAGGAGAAAAAAGAGTTAGGTGAGAAAATGATCCAAGGCTCAAGAAGGAGCCTTCCCTACTTCCAGAAGCAAAGCTGCCTCAGTGGCAACAAGTCTATTGAAAGCTCCTTCTTTAGATAGACAGCATGGTGTGCTGACTAGAGTTCTGCTCTGGGAGGCAGAACCTGGCTCTAGTGTGGTATAATATTGCTGAGTCAGTTTCGCATTCTGTGCCTCAGTTTCCTCATCTGCACAATGAAAGGATTCCTTCTAATTCATTCAGGTTAGGAGAAGCCAGGGCAGAAGGGAGGTGCTGGATGCTTAGCTTGTGTGTAGGCAGTGAATGGTCCAAGTCAAGCTCAGCAGAGCCTGCCTCTAGCCACAGATGCTAGGATTTGCCAAACAAACCCTAATCACTTAATGAGAAATGAAAATGGTGGCTGATTCCTCCACTTAATTACCCCTTTGAAAACAACACACAGGAGATTTACAGTAATCACCATAATCGCCTCATAAAAACCCGAGAGTTTGAAGACGGACACGCCTCATTTCTGGGAGGAATTAGAGGCAAAAATCAAGGCAGGGAATTTCTGGTCTGCCTTGGCCTTGGCTCCCTGTAATCCAGAACTCTGGCCACAGAGTGCCCGCTACCCTGGATAGCCTCCCGGTCCCAGCCAAATATTGTTCCTAATGCTCCACAGCCAAGGTGTCCTTGCAGGCCTGCTTCCTGGGTCTCCTCTGTCATGTACCAAGAAGACTCACAACTCTGAAGGTCAGGTGGAGGTCCTTTAGCAGGAGACAGAAACATCTCTGAGTCCTATCACTTACAAAATCTGAGGTAAAAGACTGGAGGGGAGGTTGGGGGACACAGGCTATTCCTAGCTGTAGAAAGCCATAGCTTATAGGTTTTCCTGAGGCCATCCTGTCCTGACTTGTACATCTTCCATGACGAGGAGTTTAGATCTCCTGGGACATTTACTGAGATACAAGGACAGCTAGAAGATTCACGCTCTGCTCAGCAGAAATCTGTCCTCTTTCAGCTCCTTAAAACTAGACTCAGATCACTGGGCATCAAGGTTATAAGTGTCCTCTGGGTTTATCTTCCCTCCATAGCAATTTCTTTCTTTCTTTCCTGTCACTCTCCTACGTGCAATTCATTCATTTATTCAAAACTATTAAATACCTAATGTGCATCAGAGACTATCAATTATATTTTTTTCCATTTTTTAAAAGAGATGGGGTCTCACTCTGTCACCGAGGCTGAGTGCAGTGGCATGATCATAGTTCACTGCAGCCTTGAACCCCTAGGCTCAAGCGATCCTCCTGCCTCAGTCTCTCATGCCCAGCTAATTTTTAAATTCTTTGTAGAGATGGGGTTTCACTATGTTGCCCAGGCTGTTCCTAAGCTCAAGCACTTCTCCAGCATCAGCCTCCCAAAGTGCTGGGATTACAGGCGTGAGCCACTGTACCCAGCTTGACTATCAATTCTTAACACAGTAGGCAGAATGATCCTTTGAAAACCTAAACCAGATCATGTTACTCCTCTGTCACTCTCCAGTGCCTTCCCAAATCAGAGTAAAGGCATAACCCTTACAGTGCTCCGCAGGACTCTCATGTCCTGCCCTTCGCTCACTCTGCTCAAGCCACACGGGTCTCCTTGCTGTTCCTGGAAAACACCAGATCCTCTCCCGCCTCCACACCTTAGTACTATCCCACTGTATTCCCACTGCCTGGAATGCTTTTTGTGTGTATCTACATGGCTCCCTCTCTAACCTCTTCCAAAGCCCTTTCTGACTTTCCTACATAAAATTGGACCCCCTCCTTCTCTAGTATACTCTCCTACTTTATTTCTGTCCATATTGCTTATGACCATCCAAAACAATACACTGCAAAATTTGCTTATTTATCTTGCTTAATGTCTATTTCTCTCTTCTAGGGGTCAAACTCCAGAGGGCAGGGATTTTCTGTCGTCTCTCTCTCTGTTGTATCCCAAACACCTAGTACAATGTCTGTCACATAGTGGGCAATAAATGTTTGTTCAGTGAATGAACTAATGAGGATAGAGCAATGAAAAATATAAAGCCCACGCCCTCAAGGAACTTGTGGTCTGACAGTAGAAGCAGACATCAGACAGTCACCCACAGGACTGAGCAACTGAATGATGCATGTTGATAAATGCTAGGTAGGGAAGTAGCAGGTGTAATGACAGTGGTCTGACTGTAGCCAGGAACACTGTTGTGAGTTACTCTGAAGAGCTGCTTGTGAGAGGATTGGAGTTTAGGGTGATGAGGGTTTGGAGCCACAAAGCTCTGGGAGGAAAAGATGCTGGAGAAGCTCAGATTGTGACTTCTAGGCCCTTTAAAGGTGATGGGACTCCAGGCAGAGGGCAACCATCTGCAAACGGGGTCAAGTGCCCACTGTGCCATGTTCAAGATATGTGCTCTGGAGCAAGCCACCTTGGCGCTGGAGTACTTGCTTCCTTATCTCTAAGATAAAGAAGCGATAACTAGCTCCTAGGCTGGTTGGGAGGTACAAGTGAAATGTTTGTCAGAGCTGGAACCTGCAGATATTCAATAAGTGCCAGCTCATTTTCTGCTCCCTTCTTCTTCGTCAAACCTTTTAACATCCAGCCTCCTTTTACCTGGCCACTCCGTTCTCTCTCCTGGCCCTGTGTAAGCATGAAGAGCTGTATGAGAAAGGGAAGCATCTAATCATCCTAAATGTACAACTGCAGGTTAACAAAGGTTAACAGGATCTTTAAGGGGCATAATTTGACAGATTAGACTGATCTCTACTGTGCCCCAGGACGCTTGGCTTTGTTGCAATTAACTAAATCTCCCATCAGCCTCCAGGCCTGATGCCTGTTGGCATATAAGACCATGCCACTAGAATGAAGAGTTGGAGCAGGGGGTGGCAGACACAGCTAGGCCCTGTGGTTCTGCCCATGGCCTCCCTCTGGGGGAAGCCCTCCTTGACTACAACCTAGAGAGAGCTCCTGCACATACCCATACATACACATACACACATGTAACACACATGCAGAGCCACACACAGCTCCCAACTCCACCCCCCACCATGGGAGGATGGACTCCCGGCTCCTCAAATCTTTCTCTCTTTACTTATTGATAGGTGGGGTAGGAGGTTGATAAGGAGGCAGCAAGTATATTACTTTTTCCCATGGTTAGCATGGACAGTGGACACACTCAGGCATTGAGCAAATTTTCACCTATGCAGGGGCCAGCCCTAGCTTTAGGCAATAGAGAAGCAGATGAATCAGATCAGAGTTCTGGCCTCAGGGCTCACATTCTAGTGGGGGAAACAGGTACGTGCACAGGTAATTATAATATAAACTACGCGATAGTGGGAACCTGAAAGAAGAGAGCTTATTTTCCCTTTGGGCTAGGGCAAGGCTTTAGGGATTAGGCAGACTTTGATCTGGGCTGAGGTAGGATGGAAGGGCTCCTAGGCAGATAGAACTGCATGAAGAAAGGCACAAAGGTGGGATAGTGTGGTACAAGTTCAGGAAATGGCAAAGCCTCTGATGTCAGGGTCAGGCTAGAGCATATGGTGGGGACATAACTGCTTTCACTGTAATGATTTGGTTTGTAACCACCCCTGGGACACCCCTCCATGAGTTAATGCCTCCCAGTCCCTCCCTATACACACTTGACACCTTGGATGGCTTTGACCAGAAGAACTCTTTCTTGTTTACTGCTTCACCTCCCTGCCTGGCCGCACATTCAGCTCCTTCAAGTCAGCCTCCCTTGCATCACCTCAAGGACACAGCGGTCCTGCTTGCTACAGAGAAGCCTTCCCAACCACTCTGGCCCACACTGGCCTCCTCATCTGATCATCTCAGATGGCTGAAGTACCGATATGGTTTCACACAACAGCACCCTTTCTAGTAAAGGTACTTTGCTACATGCTATCTTAGGATGCTATTTTCATAAGAAATCCACTAGAATCAATTCAGACAAAGAAAGGGGAAGTGATTACAAGGGAACTGGAAGTCTAAAGGAACCAAACACATAAAAGGACTTGGCCCAGACTTGGGAAAGCTCTCAGGAGCCCAGGAAATGGGAGTTTCTCCCTGCCTCTGTGCTCTTTTCTCTTCCCGGACTGACCTTCTCCACCAATCAGATCACATGGAGGAAAACATGACTGCTGACAGCACCTGACAGGTCCAGCCATGTAAAAACAATCTCCAAATTCCCAAGAGAGGAGGCGACTGGTGTAACGGAACCACATGTCCAACCCTGGCCCAATCAGCTTTGGGTAGTGGCATGGGGTCACATAAAACAAACATGGCTGCTAGGCTACACCTCTGGGGGTCATTTCTCATAGTCATGTGGATTGGTGAGTGGGCTGTTCTGAAAGAAGGGAAATAGGAGCAGAGCAGATATCCCAAAGATGCCCATTACACACGTATAATATAGTGTGACAAAATGCTCATACGACTTCTAATTCCTAGACTATCCTACTGACCTACTCTGCGACTTCAGGCAAGTCTCTACCATCTTGGGGCTGCAGTTTCTTCATCTGTACACAGAGGAGGATGGGACTAAGTGTCCTGTTGGGTTCCATAACTCTCCAGGACTTTGGCCCAATTACTTACCGCCTCTGAACTTCAGTTTTCTCATCTGTAAAATGGGAGTAATGATATCTAACTCACAGAGTTATTGTAAGACAATGGGTATGAAAATATCTAACATGGGTTGAGTACAGAGTTATTCAAGAAATGCTGGTGACCCTAGTAGATTTAAATTGGGTGGCTGTCCCGCTCACAGTGGTTTCCCCAAGGGTCATAGCTATGATTCCCACGTGTTTGGGAGAATTGCTCCTCCTCTAGTTGGGAGCTGCCATACTCCACAGTGTTTTGTCAAGGGGTGAGCATGGGTCCACATTGGGCCACTCAGAATCCTTCTCTGGGGCCTTGTTTCAACCGCAGCTCTTGTATCTTCATTTGCAGAACTCTAAGGAGAGGGGCTTGTTACTGCCAACAGCCAGACCCCAACCTTGTAAAGAAAGTGGCCTCTGAGAGTGAAGATGACATGAAGAGGACTTTCAAACACTGGGTTTCACACATTTTGAAGTCCAGTTTCATCCTTGCCCTGATTTATGAGCCAATACATTTCCTCACTACATTTTTCTTTTCTTTCTTTTTCTTTTCTTTTTTTCTTTTTTTTTTTTTTTTGAGACGGAGTTTTGCTCTGTCACCCAGGCTGGAGTGCAACGGCACGATCTTGGCTCACCGCAACCTCCGCCTCCTGGGTTCAAGCGATTCTCCTGCCTCAGCCTCCTGAGTAGCTGGGATTACAGGTGCATGCCGCCACGCTCGGCTAATTTTGTATTTTTAGTACAGATGGGGTTTCTCCATGTTGGTCAGGCTAGTCTTGAACTCCTGACCTCAGGTGATCCGCCCACCTTCGCCTCCCAAAGTGCTGGGATTACAGGTGTGAGCCACTGTGCCCGGCCAACATTTTTCTTAAGTTAGTTTGAGTTGGTATTCTGTCAATTCCTTCCTGATGATACCTTCTCCCTTTCTCTAAGCCTCGGTTTCCTTAGCTGTAAGATGATGGGGTCCCATCCTGTCCTCTTTCATCTCTGACACTTTATTACCGTATTTGTTCATTTATTCATTCAGTCAATTAGTCAATCAGTTACTTGGCATTTACTGTGCATGTTATTCTGTCCCTGGCCCTATGCTGGACACTGGCAATCTTGCTAGAGAAACAATCACTTCTCCAGTTCTCAAGACTCATATAGTTAGGTTGGGGAGAAAGGTAAGAAAGGATTCAGTACCGTGGGTGATGATGGCTGTGACAGAGAGAAGCACAGGCACTGTGGGGAAATCAGAGGACTTATCCCTGCTTGGAAGGCTTCCTGGAGAAGATGGCTGAGTTTTTCAGACAGGGGTGAGCACAGAGAGAAAAGGAAAGGTATTACAAGCGGAAGAACCTACCTTTGTAAGGGCCCAAAGGAGAATGACAGAAAGCAACAGCCTGGGTGGGAGGGGAAGGGACACAAGAGAGGAAGCTGCAGGTTCATCTCTACTCTTCTTGAACTTATTTGTATTTTTCCCCCATGAAACTTCCAGGGAACAACAACAACAAAATACTTCTCCATTTTTTAAGCTTGGAAAATCCCCTGGGTGGAGTCTTTGAGTGCAGATAGATGAAAAGAAGTGGCTCTTGACCACAGAGGAACACTGGAGCAAATGATTCTTTCTCCATCAGGGTGCCCCACTGGTCCCAGGTCCTATCAGGGAAGCCAAACTGGCTGTGACATCTAGCGGCTGGTCTAGGGCTGTCTGACGCTTCTAAAAACAGGAAGGCGGGTGAGCCTAAGGCCAACCAGAAGGCAGGAGAGCAGCCCAGGCAGGCCAGGGAGGAGTGCAAACATCCCTCCTCCCCTGATAGGAGACATACTCATTACATTTTGAGCAAAGGAGGCTCACAATGCACCCTAGAGAAAATATGCAGTTATTGCCCCTAACATGCCAAAGCCCTACTAATGACTGCACGCCTGCTCCAAAGGCACAAACCGTTCCAGATGTTGCTCCCTGCCTCTGGGAGGGCCCTTCCTTCCTCCCGCCCGAGGTTCTGGACTCTTTCTTGAATTACAGTCTTTTGAGAGATATATGCACCGCTGAGGGGCTTGGGGTGAGTGACTGTCCTCCCTGGGCCTCACAGGGACAGTCTAGGTGATCCTTGCCTTAACAGACTGTTGTAGAGACTATGCCTGTTGGCCTGGTGGGGTGGTGAGAGAAGAGGTGCTAGGCTCGGAGTGGGGAAAGTGGTGAGGGAGGTGCGTTCTAAATTTGGGTGTTCTCAGTTTTTGCATCTATGAAATGGTAATGTGTCTGTAGGGAGGCAGTAATTTGCAAACTTAATTCTTCAAACACACTCAGGAATTGCTATATCTGGATATGTACTGCATTGGAGCCATCTTCTAGCTGGGTAACTCTGGGCTCCTTCCACAGCTGTGACCTTCTGTTCTCTCATCTGTAAATTGGGGATGGTTTTTGAAATTAACATTTTTT
Source organism: Homo sapiens (assembly GCF_000001405.40). Classification (NCBI taxonomy): domain Eukaryota; kingdom Metazoa; phylum Chordata; class Mammalia; order Primates; family Hominidae; genus Homo; species Homo sapiens. Next base: position 47,406,568 of record NC_000001.11, read on the forward strand.
CCTAGTTAGAGGATGTATGCATTCTTGTAGTTTTTTTTTTTTGAAATTGTAATTAAATAATTTTTGAGTAGGTTACGTAATTCACATGATTCCAAATTCAAAAGATGCAAATAGTAAAGAGTTAAAGTCTCCCTCTCCTTCCTGTTTCATAGCCACACAGTTCTCTCCTCATGAAGCAACCATTGTTTTTTGTTTTTTGTTTTTTTTTGGGACAAAGTCTTGCTCTGTCGCCCAAGCTGGAGTGCAGTGGTGCGATCTCGACTCACTGCAACCTGTGCCTCCCGGGTTCAAGTGATTCTCCTGCCTCAGCCTCCCGAGTAGCTGGGACTGCAGGTGTGCGCCACCATGCCCAGCTTATTTTTGTATTTTTAGTAGAGACGAGGTTTCACTATGTTGGCCAGGCTGGTCTTGAACTCCTGACCTTGTGATCCATCCGCCTCGGCCTCCCAAAGTGCTGAGATCACAGGCATGAGCCACCGTGCCCGGCCCGAAGCAAGCATTGTTATTGGCTTTTTGTATATTAACTATGGATATATTTTAAAAATCTGTTGAAGTATTAACATATATATAGCAAAGTGCATGTGTCACAAGAGCACAACATGGTGAATAATGTTCATAGTTTAAATTCCTAAGAAGATAAACAATAAAAATCACCCCAAATCCATCACCCAGAGATAAAACTGTTGATATTTTAGTGTATTTTCTTTTTTGATGTACATGTATGTGTGTATGTGTGAATATATATGTGTATGAACATTGGAATCATGCTGTATAACTTATACCCTTTTTATAGTTAATATTATATCATGAACATTTTCTTGCTTCATTAAAAATTCCTCAAAAATAGCTCTTTTAACGTTCTCCTAATGTTCCAAGGAATAGATCCAAACTTACCTAGGGATATTAGGTTCAATTTTTCCTCTATGATAAATAACACAGTGATGAGCATCTTTGAACATACATTACTCGGCACATCCCTTCAGGATGAATTCCTAGAAGGGGAATTACTGAATCAAATCATATGTCTCCTTTAGAAGTCAGGATATAATAGGGAGAGTCAGGCCTGATTCACAGAGCTGCTTAAAGGATTACATAAATTATGTAAGACTCTGGCCTAGTGCTTGGCACAGACACTGAGGTCCGTGAGTGTGAGCCTAAGGAGTCCCAGGGAGAGGAGAAGTAAATGTGTATGCCCCCTCTCCCTGGTGGCTCCACCTGCTAGACCTTCCCTTCCTGGAGCTTGCTCACTGAGCCAGATGGGAGTCTCAGTCTTGTCTGATCTTTATTATTTTAATCATTGCCGTCTTGCCAAGTGGCGGGCTGGTGAATGTTTAACAGCTAGATTTCTGGCTGGTGGGGGGCACTCTGATTGGTAGCATTTGTCAATTTCTGTGGTGTAAATACTCCCACTGTGGCCAATTTCAAACTACGACCATGATGTCACCAAAAGCAGTGTTGGGATGAGATGCATAGTCTCACAAGCCAGTTGGAACTGGCTCCAAATCACCAGTCCTTGTCTTTCTAGCTACCCATATCTCCCTTTCCTCCCTCTCTCTTCTTAACCCCTCCCCATTTAGCCCCCACGCTGGGGCTTTTCTGAGGTGATAGAGACTTAACATTTTGTGGGAGGTGAATGTTGCTAAAGAACAAAAACATCCTCTCCCAGTTCTCTAAAGGAGAAACTGATGCTCCTGATGGTCAAGATGATTGCCCCCGGTCACCCAGCCAGATGATTTTTCAGAGTCTTATTACCTGATTCCTGCTTGGGACATTTCTCAGATGGGAGGCAGTGCTTCCTGCAGTGGAAATAAACTTTCTTTTCTAGCCACTCCTTTTCTTCCTCTTTCTCTTCAGCGACTGCTCTCCTGGATCCACAAGAGGATGAGGCCCAGGCTTTGCCCTCAGGAGCTAAGAGCAAGTGGAGAGGCCAGACACATATGAGCAGCTTGCCGAGTTATTACCACTTTCTCACTCAAGTTCTTCAATCAACAGGAGCTTTATACCACTTTCTCACTGAGGTTCTTCAATGGCTTCTCTTAACACTTAGGAAAAATCTGTTTAATGTGTCCCTCCCTGCATAACCACCACCCTCCCCCAGATGTCAGCTCCTGAGAGTAAGAATCCTTGGTCTTCATTTTTGGCTCCCTGGTGCCTAGCATAGTCTGCCACAAATCAGGTGCTGAATAAATATTGTTGAATAAATGCAGAGAAGAAAGAGCTGGGTGGGGGCTGGAGGAAGGGGTGAGTGCAGTGTGGTTACAGTCCTAGGCTTTGCACTGACTTGCTTCAGGACTTTAGACAAGCCTCTCCCCTTTCTGGACCTGCATGTCCAAAACTGTAAAGAAGAGATATTGGATTCTAGCAATAGTTTAAGAATGGGGATTAAAAAAACACCTCCCAGTTACCTCATGTGATAGCAGTTGTGCTTTTAGTATCCACTGATGGACCAAAAATCATGACAAAAAAATAACTGCCAAACTTTTAAATGTGGTTGTATTTATCAATCACAGCAGCATCTACATCCATTTGAAAAACATTCAGACTGTATGTGAGAGACACACTGTGCATGTAGTTTACAGACAGCACTGGGTGCCACATGGTTTCCAGATACCTTTAGCTAAGCGGCCCAGATCATCTCAGAGTCCTTCAAGTATGAGGGGCTTATGTCCCTAACATGGGCCACAGGAGGTGTGTAACTTGCATTGGGTCACATAGCACATGAATGGTGGATTCAAACTCATTCTTCTCCAGCTTGGGTTCCCTTGGCTCTGGCAGCCTGCTGACAGCACCACTCCCCTTCGGCTTCCCTGGAAATGAGAAGCAGGAAGGCCTGAGAGCACTGAGATTGCCTAGGGTGCGGGGGCGAGGTGGATGTCAGAACGCTGACAGTTCGAAATGACACGGAACATACTTCAGATGCCTTGTGTGTGGTTTAGGAGCGGCTGGAATTACACCCTCAGGGCTGAGCCAGCATTGTTGGAGCCAGAGCTGAGCCTGGACCCTGCTGAAGCAAGGCCCGCATGGGGGGTCTTGGCCCAGGGCCACAGAGCTGAGCAGCGGCAGTGAGGGCAGGAGGCAGATTCCTAGCTGGAAGCCAGCACATGGACCTTTTACCTTTCCAGACAGGTGTGGTCATTCATTCATTCACTTATTCATTCAGCAGGGTAGTCAGTCAGGCACTCAACAAATGCTCACTGAGCCGTGCCCCTCTGCAGCCTATCATAGGGTCCAAGGAGGAATTGCTTCCATTCCGCTGGGGAGGCAGGCATGGAGCAGGAGCATGTGATCCAGTCTCTGGGTACGGTCAGGCCAGAGGTGCCAGCAGGCCTTTTGCCTGGAGAAGGAGCAAGAAATTGGGAAATGTTTTCTAGCAGATGAAATGGTTATCTTCTGTGAGTGGTTCTCAAGGGACAAGCAGGATTACACCAGGCAGATCAGGGAAGAAAGGGCCCTGCTGGCAGAGGGTGCAGTGGGAGAAGTAACTGGTTCCCTCTCTACCTTTGGATGGGAAAACTCTCTGGGTTTTCATTTGCTTATTTGTTTGACAATGTGGAAATGGAGTTTTTCAGAGGGAAAGATGAGACTTATTGCTATAAAGGTCTTGGAGATGGAAGGGCTAGTTAGACAAATACATGAGACAGTATTTGTATCTAAAGCTGGCCAGTCGGGTTGTTGTAATTTTGATTAGCAAAAACGCAGAGTGGGAGGAGACTTGGCACTTACTTGGCTCAGTATAGAATGTGTGTGTTGCAGGGAATCAGGGAACAGGGAGGGCGGTGAGAAATGAGGAAGGAGGGGTTCACTGGCCAGTCCTGTGGTGCCTGCCAGCCATGCTGATGATGGGGCCTGAGCCCTGAGAGTGACAGGGAGCCACTGGAGGTGTTTTAGCAGGGGCCACAGATGAAGCGTTGCTCTAGCTGCTGAGTGAAGGAATCCGAGGAGGAGGCAGGGAGACCAGCCAGGAGGCTGCTGCAGTCTTCAGTGAAGAGAATGGATTCAACAGAACTTTCTGAGAACCAACAGGTCTTGGTGACTGGAGGTGGTTGGAGAGGGAGAGAAAGGAAAGGATGATGGCCAGTTTCTGGACGGTGTGACAGGTCAATGTTTAAGCCACCATCTGAGATGGACGGCTGAATGTTCTCTCTCCATCCCTGTCTTGAGTGAAGGGGAGTGAAGTGTCCGATGTGGCCCAGAGCCACAGCCTTAGTTCACATCTCATCACATGGTCAGCCTTCTATCTGGTCTCTTAGCCTCTAGCCTCTTCCCTCTCTAGCCCATCCCCTGATAGACTGAGTGACCTAAATGAGACATCTGATCATGTCACTCCCCGGCTGGAAAAATTTCAGACTCCCTGTCTCTAGAAAGGTCCTACTTGGTCCAGCACACAAAGTCATCTCCAATCTGAGCCCATTTACATTCCTGTCTCAGTCCCTTGGCAGTCTACACCAGCCACAGTGAATAATAGTAGCAACGACAACAGCTAACAGTTACACAGCACTGATATGTACCAGGCAGTGTTCTAAGAACTTCACACATATAACTTGCGTAACTCTAAGAAAAACACTTCCTAAAAAGTCTTGCACATCCCAGAATGGACAATACACACTTGCCTTCAGATCTTGCACCCAAGGTTGTCTCCACCTGGTATTCGGCCATCAACCTTCCACCCATCTGATACATATTTATTACTCATCAACTTCTCCCAGTCACTATACTAAGTACCAGGGATCCAAAGTTGCGTGAGACATGGTATGTGCCCTCAGTGCATACAAAGTCAAATGGGGCAGACAGACACACGAAGGAACACTTATAACATGATAAGGTAAACGCAGTGATGGAGATGTTATGGAGCCACAGAGATTGAGCCCCTAATCCAGTCTGGGGCCTTCCTCACTTGGCCGTCTGGAGCTTTACCCCTTCTGGGATGCATTCCCCACTTAGCCAGACAGGGTGAGGTCTCTTCTTCCTGCAGTCCCTGCTCTACCCACACCATACACCAACGACCTTTTATGGGGGAAGTTCAGGGGCTGCTTCCTCCTGAGCACAGTGAAGGCAGAGAACAGTCTGACTCACCATAGGATCCAGCACCCAGGGCAGCCTGGACACAGATGACTGGAATTTGCTGAATGAAAAGAGCATGAGGAATAAAGAATCACAAAGGGGGCATCCTCCTCCTGGGTTATTCCCTGATGCTCTCTCCAGAGTCAGGACTGTACTTGCTACCTTTCCTGAGCCTGGCTCAGGCCCTCTGGAGTCAGACCCTGCTGGTAAGGATGGGGCTGTGGCTGTCATCCCTAGTTCAGGAGCAGCCTGGTCAGAAAAGGCCTTGCCAGAGCCCAGCCAGCGGGCAACTGCCTGCCTCGGGCTTCTGAGAAACAAGCAGTATCCTGGGCAGCTCTAGTTTTGGGCCTAAGAGGGAGGAAGCCCTGCGGCAGCCTTCAGGACCTCTGAGTGGCAAGAGATGGTGTTGGGGAATCTGAGATTTCCTTGGCTCCAGAGCCCCTTCTGCAGCCTCTGGGCTCTGAGATTGGTGGAAGCTGTGATGGAGGGCTTTAGAAATAAATGACTCTGGGATGGCCTCAAACTAGAGGTGTTTGAGGAACATTCCAGGAAGCCTTCAGGAGCCTCAGGCTGGTCCCTTGGGCACTCACAGAGTTAACATGGCTCTTTCTTCTCAGAGCTCTGAAGGGCAATCATGAGGATGGGTATCTTGGGCCAAGGACCTGAAAGGGCTTTCTGCCTCAGCCCTCTCTCCTAGGCAGAGTAGTTGGGAAGCCCTGGCCCCTACCCCATGTTCCTTGCCTCAAGGCCTGTCTTGGCTAGTGGTGCCTTTGCAGAGCTGGGGCTGGGGGCAGGGAGTCTTGCGGGCTAGTGCTAACAGCTTTGGACAAGGGTGGGAATTTCCACTCCTATCTAGAGAGTCATCAACGCTGTGTGCCCTGACCTGGGCCTTTGGCCTCCAAAGGGCAGTGGGAAGGCCGGCCCCAGGGCCAATCCCTGGCCATTAATCCCTCCTGCCAGCCCGAATATCCACCCAGTGTGGTCAGACAAAGGACTGCCCAGCCCAGCCACTGTGTTCCTCCCGCCCCAGGGGCTCCACTCAGACGCTGGGCCGCCTGGAATCCAGGCCCATGAGAAAGGGGCCGCCTTCACTGGCCATCTTATGCCCGGATGCTCAGCCGCATCACGTCCGGCCCAGGGCCTGTGAAAAGAGGGCCCAGCCACGCTGAAAACACGGATTAGCCCTTGGGCCGCCCCCTGACACTGGCCTGCTCGGCTCCAGCTCCGGGAAGCAGGCCCAATGGAGGGGGCCAGACAGGCATAAAGAACTGGAAAAGTCTGGGTCCTCACCCCTTTGGCCTAGTTCCCCACCCCCACCCTTCCCAGGATTAGCATAGCCAACCACACATTCAGTTTCATTTATTGAACATGTACTATGTCCTAGGCTGTACACATTGACCAGAAAACTGAAAGTACAAGGAAACTGCACGTAGCTACGGGTGGTAATAAAAGCCACTTTTCCCTCAACCCCCTCACTGCCTGGAGGTGTGAGATGGAAGCTGTGGTGGGTGCTTTGGAGGGGCTCCATCACTAAGGGAAGGTGGGAAAGGCAGTGTATGAGACCTTGTCAGCTCTGGTCTGCACTTGAGTCTAGCTGCAGGATTATGTTGCACCTGCTTGAAAATATGCAGGTGCTGAAATAACTTCTCTGGCTCTGCCTCTCTCCTTCCCCTGGTTTAATACTGATTATGCCAATTGTGTAGTAGGAAAAGAAAGCACCTCTTGCTAAGTGCCATTGTGGGCCTGGCACTTTCATACCTGATCTCATTTGGCTCTCAAAATGCTGAGAGGGGGCTTCCATTATTCCGTTTGAGGAAACTGAGGCTCACTGAGGCTCAAATGAGAACTGGCCCCAGGTCACTCTGCTCTTGAAGCTAGATTTCCTCATGCTGCAGTGGCTTGTCTTGCCTTCTTCTTTGGTGAGCTGGGCATTGTGACTGCACTGTCTTGTGTTCCATATGGTCTACCTTCAGGCGGTAGAATGCAGGGTGGGGCCGGGTGCAGTGGCTCTTGCCTGTAATCCCAGCACTTTGGGAGGCCGAGGCAGGTGGATCACCCGAGGTCACGAGTTCAAGAGCAGCCTGGCCAACATGATGCAACTCCGTCTCTACTAAAAATACAAAAATTAGCTGGGCGTGGTGGCGGGCACCTGTAGTCCTAGCTACTTGGAGGCTGAGGCAGAAGAATCACTTGAACCTGGGAGTTGGAGGTTGCAGTGAGCCAAGATAGCCCCACTGCACTCCAACCTGGGTGACACAGCAAGACTATGTCTCAAGAAAAAAAAAAAAAGAATGCAGGGTGGGGAGGTTGAAGAGGGTTCTGAGGCAGGACCTGCTAGAATATAAACTGAGCTGACTCTTCATTGTTGTGGGTTAGGGATTGTCTGTAGATCTCCAAGTGTCATCTCCTTCCTCTCTGCTTCTGTAGCCCCTCTGGCCACCTCTATCATAACTGGCAGTTGTCTGTCTCTCCACCAGATTTCGAGTCTTCATTTCTGTCTTGCCTGGAGCACTTGCTAAGGGACTGGCCCAGAAGTACTCGGTGAGCAATGAAGCCTGAACTGAGGCCAGGAGAACTGAAGGAGGGATGGATCTGGGACCCATGTGGAATTGACGGGACTTGGCACTTGCCTGAATGTGGAGAGTGAGTGGGGAGGAAGGAGCCCAAGATGATGATAACCACACTTTCATCTGGTGGTGGTGGGAAGGAAAGGGGAGAGGTCCATTTGCTGAGATATGGAATGCTGCAAGGAGAGCCGGCCAAGGCTGGAGGATGTACCGGGTAGAGGAAGAGATGCATTTCATTTAGGACATTTGGGTTTGAGATACCTTGAAATATCCATGTGGTTATGCCCAATGGGCACCTAGATATGCTGACCAGGAGGTGAGGAGAGAAGCTAAGAATCTACTTTGGCAGCTGAAGTTGTGGGAGCTGGAAATACTCTGATTATTTCTAATGTCTCAGCTCAGCCTTAAAGGATGGCATTCTTAGAAGAGTGGGGTGCTAGAGCTTTGAACTTCACATTTAATTCCAGCTCTACCACTTACTACTAGCTGTGTGAAGTCAGGGAAACCACTTAACCTCTCAGAACCTTAGTTTCCTCATTTGCAAAACAGGAATAATAACAGTACTCACTTCACGGGGTGCCCAAACTTAAGTGCAATAATGTACATAAAGTGTTTACCAAATACAAAATGCTCAGTAATGGTGGCTGTGATGTCATCAGCTGAGACTGGAGCTGAGAGAGGGGCCCTTGAGCTCCATGCTTTGAGTTTGGATTTTGAACTGGATTTTGAGTTTGGAGTTTACAGGCCTGCTGTAACTAGCTTTGGTCACCTATACCTAGGGACACTCTATAGCATGGCTGGGGGACTAGGATGGGGCAAGTGAGATGCCCCAAATGTAAGGAGGCCCTGGCTCTCAAGTGCTGACTGCACTTGCAAGGCCCTGAGACTGAGCTCCCCTTAAACTCAGCACCTCAGGCACCTCAGTGGGCTCACTGTCCTTCCAGCCCTGCTCCATGTCCAAGTCCCTTGATCTGCCTGTCCCCAGGACAACCCACTTTAAGACAAGGCTCCTTCACCCTGTAGTTCCCTTGGAGCTGGGGATGGGTCTCCTGTCTCTTGGGAGAAGAAGTTTCCCAAAATAGGCTGGGTGCTGCATCCCCCTGGATGCCAGTTGTGGGTGGAACTTCTCAGACTGAGTTTTTAACAAACACTGCCAAAGACCCCCCATCCCCAGTGAGATGTGAGTGTGGTGTTTCTGGGTCAGAAGGCGGCTTTTTCAGACCCCCAGTCTGTGGAAGCCTACATTTTGTACTGTGTGTGTGGGTGTATGTGTGTGTGTGTGTATGTGAAGAAAAGCTGTTTTCTTTAACAGGGGGGTGTGGAGAGGAGGCAGCCAGAAAGGCAGCTCCAAGTTGTGGATTTCCTGGGGGCTCTTCATTTAAAGCGGCCGCACCACTTTCCACAATTCTGTTTTTTCAGAGAATGCTCTCAAGGCCTGGAGGGAGGGCATGACAGGGGTATGGGGGAGGGGGGTGGCAGAGAGGCAAGATGGTGACCCTGATCTGGAGCAGTCAAACATTCTCCCAGAGACAAAACCGGCCTGGCTCTGCCCTGCCCCGCTGCTTCATTACCTTGGCCCAGGTTCCCTAATGTCTGTGAGTGGGCCTGACACCTCCCCATCAGGATACTGAGGGCTGGCAAGGCGGCCTTCATCTCTGTTCCAGCTGGGGATGGAAGGCCAGGAGAAGGATGGGGGGACCGACTACTGGGAGGAGCAAAATGGGGAGGAGCAAAATGGGGAGGGGGCTGGGAGAGTGAATGGGTGGATTTGTGATTGGGAATGATCCAAAGGAGAGGGGGTAGAAGGAGGGGTGGAAAGGGAAGGGGACTGACCAAATACAGTGGGATGGGGCCAGGGGCTGATATAACCGAGATGGGGAAGGGGTGAGTCTGGGTCTGGGAAAAACTGATCCAAAGGCAGAAAGGGAGGGGCGAAATGGAGGAGGGTACCGTGAACAGAGTAAGGGGGCTGGGAGAGGAAATTAGAGGGGAGGCGCTGGCCAGCAGGCAAGGCCTGAGCCCTCTCCCCCGGCGGTGGTTGGGGGGGGGCCGTGTCCATATAAAGCGGGTCGGCGGCCCCTGCGGTCCCGGAGCCGCGCGGGCAGGGGCTGCCGCAGCCGATGGCGGGGCGCAGCGACATGGATCCGCCCGCCGCGTTCTCTGGCTTCCCTGCCCTGCCAGCGGTCGCGCCGTCGGGGCCGCCGCCGTCGCCGCTCGCAGGAGCCGAGCCAGGGCGGGAGCCAGAGGAGGCGGCGGCTGGCCGCGGAGAGGCGGCCCCCACGCCCGCGCCCGGCCCGGGGCGGCGGCGGCGGCGGCCCCTGCAGCGCGGGAAGCCGCCCTACTCGTACATCGCGCTCATCGCCATGGCTCTGGCGCACGCCCCGGGCCGCCGCCTCACGCTGGCCGCCATCTACCGCTTCATCACCGAACGCTTTGCCTTCTACCGCGACAGCCCGCGCAAGTGGCAGAACAGCATCCGCCACAATCTCACGCTCAACGACTGCTTCGTCAAGGTGCCCCGCGAGCCGGGCAACCCGGGCAAGGGCAACTACTGGACGCTGGACCCCGCGGCCGCAGACATGTTCGACAACGGCAGCTTCCTGCGGCGCCGCAAGCGCTTCAAGCGCGCCGAGCTGCCCGCGCACGCGGCCGCGGCGCCAGGGCCGCCGCTCCCCTTCCCCTACGCGCCCTACGCGCCCGCGCCCGGCCCCGCGCTGCTGGTGCCGCCGCCTTCTGCCGGACCGGGCCCCTCGCCGCCCGCGCGTCTGTTCAGCGTCGACAGCCTGGTGAACCTGCAGCCGGAGCTAGCGGGGCTGGGCGCCCCCGAGCCGCCCTGCTGCGCCGCGCCCGACGCCGCAGCCGCAGCCTTCCCGCCCTGCGCTGCCGCCGCCTCCCCGCCACTCTACTCGCAGGTCCCCGACCGCCTGGTACTGCCCGCGACGCGCCCCGGCCCCGGCCCGCTGCCCGCTGAGCCCCTCCTGGCCTTGGCCGGGCCGGCAGCCGCTCTCGGCCCGCTCAGCCCTGGGGAGGCCTACCTGAGGCAGCCGGGCTTCGCGTCGGGGCTGGAGCGCTACCTGTGAGCCTGCGCCGCGCGGGCAGGCACCTGTGCGACCTGTGCCCCGGACCTGCGGCGCCGCCCTCGAGCGCCCCATCTCTACCCCCCACCCTGGCTTGGAGCACACCCTGCGCCTCTCGTCGTGGCCTCCTGGACTCAAACTCCTGCTACATCCTTCTCCGTCCCCCATCCCTGGGGAGGCTCCCACCATCTCGCCACTGGACAGAAGCGTCCCCTTTGACCTGCCAGCCTCTCATTTCTTCTCCCTCCACTTGTGAGCGCCCCCAGCTTTGCGGCGCCCCCCACCCCAGCGCTGTCTGTGGGTCCCTTGCCCCGGAGCTGACTCGCCTCCAGTGAGTCCATACCCCAGGTTTCCTGGTGAGTTCCAAGCCTTTGGAAGCCAGATCTGTGATCCCAAGCCGCCTCCTCCACCGACTGTACTTCATCAACCTTCTCTCATGTTTTTCCGACACTCCTGGGTCAGACTCCTGGGTTCATGACTTACTTGCTAGCGTCCCTTCATTTTCCCACAAGTTTGCCCCCCACCTCCACTTACCTGTCTGCCCTCAGCTTCTTCCTGGGAGAGAGCCCCCCTTTCACGTAGACACACCTGGCTGCCTTCTTCACGCCCTGAGGACACTTCTTGGAGATTTCAGACAGGCAGCACCAGGGCTCCTGACTGAAAGGGGAGTTGGTGGGCCTTTAGGTCTGCCCCATCCCCTGGAAAACTTAGGACTTATTGGGTTATTATTATTTTTAATTAAAGCTGGTTTAATTAAAAAGAAAGAAACTTTTTTCTGGACTTGGTGTGCTGGCTGGTGACTTGGGGGAGTGGTCTGGGGAGACGGGTGAGCTTTATTCTAGATCTTGGGTTGCCACATGGGGTGAACCTCCTTGTGAGACATCAATCAGAAGTTCATGAAATGGGATTAGGAAGTGATTCTCCAGCAGGATTAGTGGCTAACACAATTTTGTTTTAAAAAGGAAGTGATTCAGCCATAGCTGTGCACATAGTAGGCCTAGTCAAATGCCATCTCCTGCATCTCAGCCTGGTAGAGACGAGATGGGCTGGGCATGTGTGTGTACACACTTGTGTGAATGTATCTGAGCAGCAGGTTGTCTGCTCTCTGGGATTATTCCCAGCTCCCATGGATAAAGGAGCACTGGCCGTTGATTCACTCCTCCAGTTAGTTAATGTGCTGAGCCTGTGCTAGACACTGGGGAAATATTACTGAATGAATGGGCAAAATCCCTGCCTCATGGAGGTTGTGGGCCAGTGGGAAGAGTCATTAATCCAACCATCAACGCTCAGAGAAATAAGATAAGTGCTCTACAGCCTTGCACTCAAAGTGTGGTCCACAGACCTACAACATCACCTGGGAGCTTGTTAGAAATGCAGAATCTGGCAGGACGTGCTGGCTCATGCCTGTAGTCCCAGCATTTTGGGAGGCCAAGGCAGGAGGATCGGTTGAGGCCAGGAGTTTGGGATCAGCCTGGCCTAACGTAGTGAGACCTCATTTAAGTAAATAAATAGAAATGCAGGATCTTGGCCCCACTCAGACTCACTGAATCATCAGATTCTGCATTTTAGCAAAATTCCCAGGTGACTAGTATGCATAGTATTCTGGAGGAAAGGCGCTGGCCTCAGGCAAGGGGCTCAGCCTAAAAGATTACGCTCTCTACTATAAAGATTGAGGCCAGGTCACAGAACCACACCCCACCCACTCTGAACTTCCAGGCACTGCACCATTGGCTATGCCCCCTGTCTTACCTCCCCTGCTGGATTGTAAGATAGGGCAGAAGGGATCTGAGCTGATTCCTGACTGTCCCCAGCACCAAGGACAGGGTAGCACTGAGCAGAGACTCTGAGGTGTGAGGGAGGGAGTTGGCCTTTGACCCTGTCCTGCTGTCTGGTGCTGACCCAAATGCTAAGCATCAGGCTTTTTCAAGCTCCCCCACCCCAGGGCTCCCAGTCTAGTTGAGCCTGAATTAGGGGTAGGAGAAGATGGGGGAGGTAGTCCCCCATCTTGAACCCAGGGTGAGTGTGATTTGCGTGCAGGACGTGCAGGATGTGCCTCTCTTGGATACCAGAGTTTGAAGCTCTGGGGTGGTGATGGAAGATGAGGGTGGACAATGGGCCGCCCATAGAGGAGAAAGTATGAAAATCTGAGAAGGCCAGGAAGGCCCTCTTTGAGGGGAGGGCAGTAGGTTTACACAGTATGGTAGGAAGTGACCTGGATAGACCCCCTCCACCAGCTATTAGCCCCTTTGAGCAAGGGTCAGATCTGATTTGCCTGATGCACAGCAGTCCTTCACTTAACATATTTTGACTGCTCGAGGGCATGAATCCCTGCTGTCTGATACTGTGCCTGACTTACAGAATAATGACTGAGTGGACAGTACTTTGACTTTGGCACCTTCTTATCCACTGGCAATCCTCATAGTGACCTATAGAAAGGGTGAAAGAGGTGAAGGTGGAGGCTATTTCCCAACTTCTAAGTTTAGTAAACTGCCCCTCCCTAGCCCCAGCAGGTAGCAAAAGATCCGGCCCTCGGTTCTCTAGGAAGTCGAGCTCCGTAAAGATCAAAATGCGAACTTGCTTTTGCTCCAAACGGTATTATAGCCCCTCCTCCTGCCTCAGAGCCTCTGTTGATAAATTCTTTCCTAGTCTAAGAAATCCCAGGGAAGGAAAGGACTCTTCTCGCTCTCCTGAAGCCAGGAACTGCTTCCTGAGCTCTGAATTCAATTCTTGCTACTACCCTGCAGGTCTCGGTCCCAGGATCTTGGAACACTTCGAGGACAGGTAGAAAATATCTGTAGGGAAATACTAGGAGGGTCACCCTTGAACTGGAAAATCAGATTTTTATTTTTTAAATGCTTCCTTAATTTTCCTTTATTCAGGCTGGGCATGGTGGCTCATGCCTGTGATCCCAGCACTTTGGTAGGCCGAGGTGGGTGGATCACCTTAAGTCAGGAGTTTGAGACCAGCCTGGTAAAATACATGGTAAAACCCTGTCTCAACTAAAAATACAAAAAGTAGCTGGGTGTGGTGGCGCATGCCTGTAATCCCAGCTACTTGGGAGGCTGAAGCGGGAGAATTGCTTGAACCTGGGAGGCGGAGGTTGCAGTGAGCCAAGATCATGCCACTGCACTCCAGCCTGGGCGACACAACGAGACTGTCTCAAAAAAAAAAAAAAAATCGAAAGCAGCACATAATTTGACAAGTCAAGTAGCAATCATAGGCTTATAGTGGTATCTTGCACCACTCTCAGGATCTCTGCTTTGTTCCATACAAAAATCCGCTTTCAATTCATATTTCTTTCTCTTGAAATATACTTCCATATTTCCATGCTTCTACTCATCTCTCTTGAAACAGTAACGATTAACTTCCTATTATGATAGATGAACATTTACCTCTAAAATCTCTTATCTCCTTCCATTCCCCCTCAAATTACCAACTTTCGTTTAAATAAAGTTTTAGCATTTACATCGTTACTATGTAAATATTGTTCTGTGATAAGCTACTAGTGTACTACAATTATAATTCCTTTTGTGTGTGTGTGCAACCTTTTATTTTACCTGGACTTAATACTGCCTTATTTTTTCATTTGTTCAACTTCCTTTGCACCTACAAAGGTACAAAGCTAAATCTATGGGAAGCTAAATCTTCCCATACCTTCCAGTAACACTGTGGTACAGCTTTTCATGAGATGAGGTCAAACTTACCAGGAAACCTATAATTGCTTTTGGTGGTTGTGCTTTTCCCTTCCTGGGGCATCTCTCCCAGAACCCTCCAACCTTCTGCTCATCTGGACTGATGGTGCTCCAGGTCGGCTGAACAGAGCTGGATCTGGAAATTCCCTTCACCATTACCTTGGTAATTCTGTGTCCTGTTTTGGATCTTCTACTTCCTGATATCCCTATCTTCCCTTTTTTCTTAGTTTATTCCCTTTTTTCAGTCGAGGTAAAATTTTTTGGAAACTTTGCACATCTGAAATTGTTTTAGCATGAGAAGCTAAGCAGGCATTTGACAATGAAATATTTGCGTCAATGCTATGCTTCTCTGTAGACCTTTTTTTTTGGAGGGAATCAGAGAATGGGAGATATTTTCTCAGCTTAGTATGCTTTACCTGTAGGGAAGCAGGGAAGGTGGTGGAGTATTATGGAAATGAGGGGTTAAGAGTTTTGGCAGGAGGACAGGGCAGGAGAACTCTGGAGATTTCCTTACAGGAGAAGGAAACCTGAGAGGAGAAGCCCTGAGAGGGGTGACTTCCTGACTTAGAGGGAATTGGAACACAGGGAGGGTAGCTTTGGGCCCAGGATGGTGCTGAGCTGGTTTGAGGGCCTCCTGGATCCATTTAAGAAGGAAGCCAACATTACCCTGGCACATGGAAAATTGAGTACATAGGAAAGTGACACCCTTGGCAGTGACACTGGCAAACATGGTAACAGAGAGGCTCCTTCAAGAGAGCCCTCCACTGTAGTGACTGGATTGGTTTTGAGCCCAAGTGTATTACCTCTCTGGGAGATCCTAGAAGTATGGGGGTGAGGGGATTTTGCACGATACAGGTTATTGTGGTTTACTTTTAAAGGGAAAGAATTCTGTGGACTTCCAGTACTGACTTTAATTTTTTTATTATAATGTCAGTATTTGCAGGTATAAATTCTTTAGACTTGTATTTCTTATGTGATTGTTAAAATTGTTTATAAATTAAATTCAAACAATGAAATAAAAATTCAAGTGCATAACATTAGTCAAATGTAAAAGAATATATTGTGGCTGGGCGCGGTAGCTGACGCCTGTAATCCCCAGCACTTTGGGAGGCTGAGGTGGGCGCATCATGAGGTCAGGAGATCGAGACCATCCTGGCTAACATGGTGAAACCCCATCTCTACTAAAAATACAAAAAATTAGCCAGGCGTGGTGGCACCTGCCTGTAGTCCTAGCTACTCGGGAGGCTGAGGCGGAGGAATCGCTTGAACCCAGGAGGCGAAGGTTGCAGTGAGCCTAGATCATGCCACTGCCCTCCAGCCTGGCGACAGAGTGAGACTCCATCTACAAAACAAAACAAAACTAAACAAAAACTATATATATATATATATATAGTTTTGCTGAGACTACATCACTTGCTCCGTGAATGTGGCTCTGACTTCTCCATAGCAGGTTTTCTGGGTTTGTCATTCCTCGGGCCATGTGATGACTAAAGTCACCATTTTTAATTTTATTGATTGATTGATTAACACAGGGTCTCACTCTGTCACCCAGGGTGGAGTGCAGTGGTGCAGTCATACCACACTGCAGCCTTGACCTCCTGGGTTCAATCGATCCTCCCGCCTCAGCCTCTCGAGTAGCTGAGACTACAGGCTTGCACCACCATGCCTGGCTAACACCATTTTTTCCTTTTGAATGAACTGCAGGCATTCCTTCATGTAGCAGGCCATGATACCAATGGGCCCAAATACAGCATATATGTATAAAATCTACATTGTTTTTTTGCCTCATCTCAAGATTAAAGTAGCATTACCTGATAATAAATGGAAATAAAGACTTCAAGTATTAGGTATCTCTTACAAGGAAGTCATCTAAGTGATCCAGAATATGCTTATATGAATGTGCTTATTATAGCGAAAAAAACCAACATTCAAAAAGTTTTATAAATTCCCACATGAATAAGAATATATTCTTGGGCCAGGTGCGGTGGCTCACACCTGTAATCCCAGCACTTTGGCCGAGGCGGGCGGATCACCTGAGGTCAGGAGTTCAAGACCAGCCTAACCAACATGGAGAAACCCCATCTCAACTAAAAATACGAATTAGCCGGGCATAGTGGTGCATGCCTGTAATCCCAGCTACTCGGGAGCTTGAGGCAGGAGAATCGCTTGAACCCAGGAGGCGGAGGTTGCGGTGAGCCAAGATTGCACCATTGCACTCCAGTCTGGGCAGCAAGAATAAAATTCTGTCTCAAAAAAAAAAAAAAAGTATATATTCTTGGACCATACTTCAAACTAAGCAATTAAACATTTTAAAACATTTATCTAAATAAATAACTCTTTGGTTAGAAGAAAGTTGTCATTACAGACTATTTATAAATTAATAAAGGTAAGAACAGTACATATTAAAATCTAAAGAATGTAGTCAAACTTGTGCTCAGAGGAAATTTCATAGCCCTAAATATGTCACGGACACAGAGTTAGAGGGGCCCTGGGGTGGGGTAGGGAGACCAGTTACAAGGCTACTGCAGCATCCAGGCAGGAAAGGGTGGTGGTTTGGTAGAGGTGGAGGTGCAAGTGGAAAAAAGTAGATATGCAAAGCTATATAGAAAGAATCAGCCATTGGCTAACATCATCCTAATCTACCATCCTAATCTACCAAGGCCAAACGCTTTCCCATTTAATCATAGCCTCAGGCCAACCCTGAAAGCTTGGAGTGGTCATTTTGCTGGTAGTCACCGCTGATCTGGCTTGCCTAATTTAAAGAGTAACTAATTTCAATATACCTATTAGCCCAGAAGGAACAGACAACATTGTCAGAGATGGTTCCTCCACTGCTCCCACCAGAGGGCACCTAGGTTAGCTGTTTTTTTCCTGTGAATTCTGTCAAACCATTGAGGAACCTATTTCTCTAGTTACATAAATTGCTCCAGAACACAGAAAAAATGGAAGTCATCCCAATTCTACGGACTATGTTATCTAATTATGTTATCAAAACCTGATAAAGGAATACACAAAATATAGCCTAATCTCACATATGAAAGATGATGCAAAACTTGTCAGCAATATATCAGCAAATTAAACTTAGTAATGTATTACAAAAAAAATATGCAATCGTGCAGTTTATTCCTGGAATGCAAAGATGGCATTCTTAGAATTATTTGCTCCCCATTGTAGGAACTGTGCATCATCACCTTTATAGATGATGAAAATCAGGCTCAGAAAGGTTAAGTGACTTACCCAGGTCAAGCTGCAAAGTGACTGACCCAGGACTTGCTTCCAGGTCTGCCTGGCTTCAAAGTCATTCTCCTTTCTCTCAGGAAGAAACAAGTGGAGGTGGAAACTTGGATGAAAAGCCCCAGGCACCAATAAAATTATTCAGTTCACCCTAATATCCTCCTCCCCTACACCCGCACCCACTGTCCCGATCTTGAAAAGAGCCTTTCCAGCCGTGATGACAGGTCTTTGGTTTCCTCTTTTTTTGTCTGTCTTCCACTCCCCACACCCTTTTCACACCCGAATACTCCTCTCTCCCCTTTCCCTCTTTCTAATCTCCTTTCTCCCATCAATTTTTGGAGATAAAAGCGCCACCTATTGGCCACCTCGTGTGCACCTGATTTGAGCAGGAAATCACTGGAATGAAGTCAGGATCCATTTGGATGCTATTTTGGGCTGGCAGGAGCCCCTGGTGGCTGAAAGGCACTTGCTCCAGCAGGGAAACCAATTGTTTGGTGCAGAAGAGGAAAACTAGCTGCAGTTCCCACCTCCTCTAGAAAACCCTCCCAGATCTTTCACCCTCCCCACTTCCTCTTGACAGGCTTTGGTAGTTGCTCCACTGCAAATGGAATTGGAATGGGTGTGAGGTTGGTGGCCCTAGGTGCAGACAATTTATCTACTCTGTAAGAGGGAGACAGAGGAAAGGGGGCTGGGCTGGAGGCAGAAAACCTGGGGTCTAGTCTCAGGTCAAACACTTAGGCAAGTCCTTTACTTTCTCTGCACTTCATAGCAATTACTGCCTCTCCCCAAGTCCCTTGATTGTGCCAGGTCCTGTGCTCTTTCCCAGCTGAGGACTCAGAGATGTATCAGACACTGTCCCCGCTCAGAGAGCTCAAATATTGGCAGATGACAATATAGTATGTAGAATGCTTTATGA
The DNA here is from genome assembly GCF_000001405.40 of Homo sapiens. NCBI lineage: Eukaryota > Metazoa > Chordata > Mammalia > Primates > Hominidae > Homo > Homo sapiens. Next base: position 47,425,115 of record NC_000001.11, read on the forward strand.
GATGAGGGGTTGCTAGGTCTCCTTGGTCACTCACCAATTCCAGCCTCTATCCTGACTCAGCCTCAGTCTACCTCGAAATAGAGAATGTGCCCGATCCTCTCTGTCTGGGTAGGGATGGCCTTTGTGACTGCTAAAGCATTGTGATGATGGGTGAGGATTTTCTACCCTGCCTGACTGGGGCTTCCCAGACAGCGCCTGTGTCTTCTCTGTTCCACTATGTCCCTCACTGGGCAGCCTGGCCAGAGCTGGGCATACTGCAGCTTTGGTTTGAACTGCCCTTATCTGGAGGCTGGACTTGGGGTTTAGGGAGTTGATGAGACTTAGAGACAAGAGGCCTGGACCCTGCTTGAGGGAGACACAGGTCCCACCCTGGGCATCAGTCTGTCTCCCTTGAGTTATGAAGGGGCTGGGGTTTTGTGAGCTTCACAAAGGAATGCTTCCTGAAGGTGGTGGGTTGGAGTTCTGAAAGGAGGGAGGGGAGGGCCTGCTGCTCCTGTTCCTGTGAAATCCCTTCTTCCTCTATCCATCCTAACCCCTGTCCAGCTGGCAGACTTTCAAAGTAATTTAGATGGGACGAACAGAGGGAGGGAGCCAAAGACAGAGGGATGGGAACAGAACAGGAAGGAGGAAAGGCAGAAAATCTGGGGTCCTAGCTAGCAGACTCAACTGCTTCCCTGTCTGATGGGCAGGCAGATGATACTCACAGGCACCTCACATGTCTGGCTTCACGTCCCTTGCTTTCAACATTCATAGCCACCAACCATATTTTCAAGTTGGAGCCCATAAAAAGTGTTCAGCTCATAGTAATGGTTTTTATTCTTATGTTCTGCACACTCAGTCTTAGTTATTGAAATAATCCAACTGTTTCTTTTAAAGTTTTTAATTGTTGAATAAGTAATACATTCACTTCACTTTACAAATATAAAAAAGTCATCCATGAAGTCTCCCATTTGTTTCCAATTTGCCCTAGTGTATAATCAGTTACTAGATTTTTATTCATCCTTCTAGATATTTTTGTTTCATACGTAAACCAATACAAGTATACATTATTTTCTCCTTGAAAAACACAATTGGATGCATGTTTACACTGTTCTATATATCTTGAAATTTTTTTTTCACTCAACAATGTATCTTGGCTGGGTGCAGTGGCTCATGCATGCAATCCCAGCACTTTGGGAGGCCAAGGTGGGTGGATCACTTGAGGTCAGGAGTTCGAAACCAGACTGGCCAACATGGTGAAACCCTGTCTCTGCAAAAAATACAAAATTAGCCAGGTGTGGTGGCACTTGCCTGTAATCCCATTACTCGGGAGGCTGAGGCAGAAGAATCGCTTGAACCCGGGAGGTGGAGGTTGTAGTGAGCCAAGATCACATCACTGCACTCCATCCTGGGAGACAGAGCGAGACTCCGTCTCAAAAACAAAAACAAACAACAAACAAACAACGTATCTTGGTGCTTTCTCCAGCTGAGTACATAAAGAACTTCTATATTCTACTTTTACAGTATACTGGTCCCTTTTTCAGATGTTTCATTATTTGCTTAACCTGTCCTTGATAGACATTTATGTTGTTTCCAACCTTTTGACATTCCGAACAGCACCACAATGTGACTTTGTACATATGTCATACCATATGTGTGCAGGTATACCAGCAGGAGAAATCCCTGGAAGTGGATTTCCATGCAGCCTTTGTCAAGGCACTACGTCCCCTGTGTGGTCACACTGGCTCCTTTCAACAGCAGTCCTCTTTTATTTCTCAAAGGGACCCTTGATGACCACAGTCAGATTTTCACCTTCTCAAACCCGACTGCCTTCTTCTCCAGGGCCTTTCCATCAGTCTGCCACCAGTCCCTTCACAAGGTATCCTGGCCTCTGGATTTGGGAAGCATGGGTACTTGCCATGCCCACCCTGGGGTGTGCTGTGCCGTGGCTGTCAATCCATTCAGGGTGGTGGCTCCTTTTCCTTTTTAGCCCCCAAATCCTGGGCATCCATGGCAGGTATAGGGAACCAGCTTTTTGGACCTCCACCATTCAGGCCTCCAGGCTTCCTGCCAAATGGTGCTGTCTCCCCATCTGGGTCCCCAGTTGTGACTCCTTTCTTCTGACCATAGGATAATGCTGTAAGATCTGCTCCACTACTGTTTCAGATTTCCCATTTCATTGCCTCTAGTCCCCCAGATATGAGTGGCCCCAACTTTGAAGGAAGGTGTGGATGAGGAAAGATCACACAGAGCCCCTGTGAGAGGTGTTCATGTAACTAATGGGGAGTCAAATTTCAAGGCTGGAAATGAGGCCCTTGGCAGACTGGGAACCTCTGGGTTGCCCAGGCCTGTGATGTCAGCTCATGTAGCAGTTGTCACCATTTTGGGCTGACCTAGGCAGAGGATGAGGAGTAGCCTGTTCCAGCAGACCTTGAGGGGGCTGGGCAGGGCAAGGCCAGGCAGTAACATGATGATTATTGTTGTGATAGGTATGGCACAGTAGTTAAGAGCCCTGATTCTAGACCCAGATTGTCTGTGATGGAGATACACTTCTCATATGTTGGATGAGGAAACTGAGGCCTTGGAAGAGGCGGGGGCATGCTTGAGGTCACATAGGAAGTCAGGGAGAAGACAGAGAGTAGGGCCCAGGCCTCTTGGCTCAGGCCCCACTGTTCCTCTGCAGTTGCAGGAACAAACCAGTGGGTAATGCATTTTCATGGCAGGATGGAGGTGTCCCTGAACATGTCAAGGTTGGAGAGGAGGGCAAGGCACCTCACTGAGACATCCTGATCCATGACGGGCTCCAGCTAGAGCACTAGGTCTCAGGAGTCCCCATGAGGTAGCAGGATAAGAAATTTCCCTAGTCCGTTTCCAACCCAGCTATCTGGATGCTTTACAAATGAGGAAATGCAGGCTTACAGAGATTATTTGTCTGAGACTAATAAGTGGTAAGAGCGTAATTTGAACCCAGCTCTAAGACCTGAACTCTTCTTGCTACACCTGGGTGCCTCTATGATTCATACTCAGTGATTACCCAGCCTCCACTCTAGCACTTCCAGTGACAAGGAACTCAGAGCCACCGAGGTAATCTACTACATCTCAGAGACAGCCCTGTTAGAATGTTCTCCTTGCATGGAGACACAGAAAGTGAGGCTTTTTACCCCTTTCTGGCTCTCTTTTGCCTTGGTGTCTCTGCCCCAGATGAGCCCTGTGGAGATTGGGAGATGCTGGCTGTGTTAAGCCTTTATTCTCCAGGCTAATTACCTCAGACCTTTCTTTCGTGTTTATAGGACATTTTCTCAAACTTTCGTGCATTAAGCAGGGTTAGGTTCAGTTGTGAATGACAGACTGGCCCCCCCAATCCCACATCAGTGGTCTAAACAAGACCAAAGTTTATTTCTCTTTTACATAACAGTCAGTGCAGGCAGTTCAGGGTGGTATGGCAGTTCAGTGGTCTCAGAGACCCAGGATTCTTCTCTTTTGTGGCTAGGCTATTTGTGAAATTCAACTCAACTAGCAGAAATCCACCTCAACCTAGCTTAGCAAAAGGGGAGATTTCTTTCTTTTTGAATGTCTGGAAAGTCTAGGGGTTCCAGTTTCAGGCAGAGCTGGATCCAGGGACTCAAACACTATTTTTAAGTCTCTTTCTCTCTTTAGGCTGTTTTCCTCTGTGTGTGGGCTTTGATGTCAAACAGCACTCTCCATGTGGCAGGGAGATGGCTTCTGACAGCTAAGCCTGTGTGCTTGTCTTCTGATCCAAAAGGAGAGGTGCTCCTCCCAGAGTCCCAGAGTGCCAGTCCCATGGTCTACATAGTCCCAAATCTCAGAGTCCATATGTCAAATCATGTAGAAGGGGTGACTGGCTACTTAGGTCACTTACCACTGCCTGGACCAATCACTGGGCCTTGAACTTGCAATGGTATGTATGACCCAGTTGGTTGCCTGTCTGCTCCTGGGGAGTAATTGTGAGGGGAACAAATTGGATAGCCCCGTCAGGACCACATGGAACACAGGAGGGAAGGTTTCCTTCAACAGAGGGCCGAGACATGCAAAAACTGTAAGCATGTTCAGCTCATCATGCCAGGGAAACTGCATTTTGTCTTACAAGCAATGTGGAGCCCCTGGAAGACTTTGGCAGGGCTCAGTCTGGAAGCTGGTTTGATTTGTCACAACCATTTTAAAAGGAGGAAACTGAGGCAGAGAGAACAACAGACAAATCCAATGACTGCTACAGCCAGAAACCACGGATAAACTCTGTCTGAGAGGGAGACATGTTCTCCTCCCCTCAAAGATGGGGACTGATGGGAGAGAAGCAACCTCTGTTCTTAGTGAACACGTAGTTCTATTGATGATCTGAGCTACAACCTCTGTTCCCAGTGAATACAGAATTCCATTGATGATTTACTGATGAACTCCCTAGAGTTCTATAGGGAGTCCCAGAGAGAGAGATATGCCATACCTTCCTTTCTTCCTTCCTCTTTTCTTTCATTAATATATCCACATATCTAACATTAATTGAGCACCTACTGTGTGTCAGGCTTTGTGCCTGGCAGGAGGTAGAGTGATTAATAATGATGATGCAAAACATTTATTGAGGTTTTTTTTTGGTTTGTTTTTGTTTTGTTTTTTTGAGACAGAGTCTCACTCTGTTGCCCAGGCTGGAGTGCAGTAGCATGATCTCGGCTCACTTTAACCTCCACCTCCCGGGTTCAAGCAATTCTCCTGCCTCAGCCTCCCAAGTAGCTGGGATTACAGGTGCCCACCACTGCACCTGGCTAATTTTTGTATTTTGTTTTGTTTTTGAGACGGAGTCTCACTCTGTTGCCAGACTGGAGTGCGGTGGCACGATCTTGGATCACTCCAACCTCCGACTCCCTGGTTCAAGCTATTCTCCTGCCTCAGCCACCCGAGTAGCTGGGATTACAGGCATGCACCACCACGCCCAGCTAATTTTTGTATTTTTAGTAGAGACTGGGTTTCACCATGTTGGCCAGGATAGTCTCGATCTGCTGAACTCGTGATCTGCCCGCCTCAGCCTCCCAAAGTACTGGGATAACAGGCATGAGTCACCGTGCCCGGCCTAATTTTAGTATTTTTAATAGAGATGGGGTTTCATCATGTTAGCCAGGCTGGTTTCCAACTCCTGATCTCAGGTGATCTGCCTGCCTCAGCTTCCCAAAGTGCTGGGATTACAGGCGTGAGCCACCACGCCCGGCCTTTATTGAGATCTTTCAAAGTTTCAGGTAGTAGGCTAAGTGCTTTATATGTGCATCATCTCTTTTAATCCTTACAGCAATCCAATGAGGTAGGTACAATTATTATCCCCATTTTGCAGAAGAGGAAAGATAAAGATGAACACAAAATGAGCCCTGTTCTCAAGGAGCTCACAGTCTAAAGCAGGGATCCCTAACCCCCTGGCCACTAACTGGTTCCTAACCGGTGACCTGTTAAGAACCTGGCCACACAGCAGGAGGTCAGCTGCGGGTGAGCAAGTATTACCACCCGAGCTCCGCCTCCTGTCAGATCAGTGGCGACATTAGATTCTCATAGGAGCACAAACCCTATTGTGAACTGCGCATGTGAGGGATCTAGGTTGCGTGCTCCTTATTTTTTATTTATTTATTTATTTTTGAGACTGGAGTCTCACTCTGTTGCCCAGGCTGGAGTGCAGTGGTGCAATCTCGGCTCACTGCAACCTCTGCCTCCTGGGTTCAAGGAATTCTCCTGCCTCAGCCTCCCAGGTAGCTGGGACTAAAGGCACCCACTACAACGCCCAGCTAATTTTTGTATTTTTACTAGAGGCGGGATTTCACCATGTTGGCCAGGTTGGTCTCAAACTCCTGACCTCAAATGATTCACCCACCTCAGCCTCCCAGAGTGCTGGGATTACAAGGTGTGAGCCACCATGCCCCGCCTGTTGCGTGGTCCTTATGATAATGTAACTAATGCCTGATGATATGAGGTAGAACAGTTTCATCCCAAAACCATTTGCCCACCACCACCTTGGTCTGTGGAAAAAACTGTCTTCCATGAAACCAGACCCTGGTGCCAAAAAGGTTGAGGACTCCTGGTCTATAATAAAATCTACAGACTGAAAAACAAGTAACAAAAACAGATGGAGCTAAGAGCTTCAGGAACACAGAGGTGGGAGTCAGGTGAGCGCAGGAGTGTTGTCAGGGAAAGCATCTCACAAACTTGATGTGTGAAATTAACTAGGAAGGATTAGAAGTGAGCCAGGCAAGAGTGAGCCACCTGCAAAGGTGAAGAGGGAAGAAAGAGGAAATCAGGTGTGAGTAGAGAACAGGAGTTGGAGGTAGGGGCTGGGCAAGCAGGTAGGGGCCAGGCTGCCAGGTATCCTGTGCAGACAAGGACTCTATACACAGAAAGTGATGCAGCTCTGAGAAGGCCTCAGGCTACTGAGCAGGTATCACTAGAGCCTCATGCAAATCACACTTCCACCTTTTCACTAACTGAATTGCAAGCACCAGAAGGCCTCCTGTTGATCTGGGGTCTCTGCAGTGCCCTCTGAGTGTATGAGCAGGAGAGGTTTCTCAGCTCCTCCTTCCCTTGGGTGGTGGTGGTGGATGGGGGAGGGTGGTATTTTCCAGAGTTGAGTCTGTTCCCAGACCTTAGCCCTGCCCACTTGCTGATGTAAGAAATGCAGCCAACCCCTGAAATGTGAAGTCCTTCCAAGTAGCTTGATCTGGGCTGAGGATGGGAGAAAGAAGGGTCTGGCCTCCCAGCACAGCATTGCCCTCCCTGCCTCATCCTGGAGCAATGACCACTCTCTCAGTTTCCTCCTGCATTCCCCGCTCCAGTGTGAAACCTCAATTCAGGTCTCACCCATCAAAGTGAGTTCTCCCCAAATTACCTGCTCCCCATCCAGGTGAGATGAAGAGCACCCTGGCCTGGGAAATGGTGTAGGGTTCTAGTTCCACCTCTGCTACCAGTTTGCTGTGTGATTTTGGGCAAGTCATCCCTCTCTCTGGGTCTCAATTTCCCCATCGGTGAAATTAACTTTGAAAAATCAACAGTCCAATTTTGGAATGAATAACTTCAGTCTTTATTCACTGGGGGGTGGGGTGGGTTGGGGCAGGGAACGGCATGCCCAGCATGCAACACAAGGCGTGGGTGGAGTGGATTCACAGTCTTTTTGGAGAAGAGCAGGCAGGAAGCAGGTTGGCTGTGCAGTGTGGCCTGAGAATGAGCTCAGAACAGGAAGAGGGGAAGAGGAACTGGGCTGGCCAGAAGGCTTCTTTCTGGAAGAGGCAGGACTGGAGCAGGGATTTTGAAGCGTGGGTACAGGTTGGAAAAAAAAGCAAACATAAGCGAAGAGTGGAGTCCGGAGGTTAAAAGTCTCTGGATAACTTTTCCAAGCGGGTGGAATGGGAGTAGGGTGAGGAAAGGGTGCTTTGTCTCAGAACCAGTCCTTTAGTTCCTGACTCTGTGTGGATGAGAGGCTCCTCCAGAGGTCGCTGTTCCCCAGGAATCCATTACTAGCGTCCGCACCGCGAGGCCAGAGCTCCCAC